>NC_000008.11:135714222-136016299 GCF_000001405.40 Homo sapiens | reverse complement strand
CCCTTTCCAATTTGGCTCTTTCTTCCCCATCTTCTGTCTGGTGTCAGACTAAAGTGCATACCTATGCATTTTTCATCAATCTGGCAAGTTTCTTAAAACTTTGGTATGAATAAATCACCACCATATAATTCATTATGAATAGCATCGGCCTGGGGTATGATTCTTCTGCTGCTAAAGAGTCAGCATGTTTTACAATTTTCAACAGGAGGATTTGATTTTTTTTCTGTCTCTCTCCTTTCTGCTGAAAGCAATTTTAAAGTGTTCCTCATATATGTATATGTTAATGTCATTATTCTTTATGTTCTTCAGCCATTCATCTCCAAGCTGCTTCCACTCAGCTCTGTCATGGGTGAATGTGATTGATCATCTCAGCTCTTGTACTCAAGAGAAAGGAGAAAGAATTAAACCATATGGCAGGAGTACAACTAGACATCCAGGGTGAGGAGTGCTTTGTGGCTGGCGGGTAGGTCAGAATTCTGGTTTCCTTATTATTGTCTTCTGAAAATTATGAGTAAATGACAAGCTGCTTTAAAATTTCCAGAGTGGTGACACTAGTTACAGGGAGATTTTTGTTGGTACCTCCTACTGTACCAGGCACTGTGTCATTCCTTTTATTTTAGAGTCTACTTCAATACTCAAGTCCCTTATGAGGTAATTTTGCTCCTCATTTTCTGAGAAAACTGAGGCTCAAATGCTGCAGCAGCCTCTTCAGTGACACATACTATAAAATGGCACAGTGGATACTCAAATCAAAATCAGCTTACCCCATAAACCTGATGGGTATTTCTCTCTGAGTAGCCCAGAATGTGGAGTGACATGAAACAAAATAACACACAATGAGCGCAGATCAAAAAATGAAGTTGCTTGTAAAACACTTGCATCTGTACATCTTGCCTGAATTTCTACCAGTAATTACCTTCATGGAAATATTTATAACTGGAGTCTTTCCCTCTCTCAGCCCTTCTGAGAAATGTCCAAAAAGCCACGCAGATTCTCGTACAGTTGAACAATAGTAATATGTTTAATTAACATGAAGCAGCACCAACTCATTAGTTGATGTTTGACACTGGGAAACTGCACCCTCCCTGGGCCACAAAATTTCAGCACTTGTGAGGGTTTGACCCAGTTTATGGCTCCTGAATATGGAGGATGCCTTCAAGTGCAGTGGGTCTAGATACTGCAGGGTCTCCAGCACTGGCTGTGGCTCACCTAAGCCTGTTTCTTTTTGCGTCTGTGAGCCCATCGGTGGCCAGGCCTGACTGGGCAGTGTGCTGGCCTTTCTCCTTCATTCTAGAACCTGTGGTTCTTAGTTCATGGGTCTCTGATCAAGCAGAGACAGGAGGTTTCTTTTATTTTTGTTTTATCCCCCTCCTGTTCCTTCTCTCAATTCCTTACACTGCTCATCACCCGACACACAACGGACTTAGCATCTGTGGAGGTCTCTCTGTGCCTCAAGCTCTGTCTCCAACCAGTCCAGGAGCCGTTTCCCAGTGGTATCCTGCAGCACGTTGTGGGAGCTTTGCTATTAGATATCGTCAACAGCATCTGGCAAAGGCAACCACAGTTCTTTGGGGTCAGAGCCAGGGCTAGTACAGCAGCTGGATGGACCAGACTGGATGAAGCTGGGAGACAAAAGTCCTAGCAGTTACCCAAGGCTGGGGACAAATGAGGACTGGAGCAAAAGGAGCTGTCCGATGTGGGTGACTCCAGATGCATACATAAGAATGTGAGTCCAGAGGCAGAGGCTAAATTAGGAGCTGTCATTCATTTTTTCTGTCATCCCATTGCCCAAAAAGTTGTGTGGCCAAGCTCAGTGGTAGTGTGGTAGAAACTATCCAAGGGCATGGACCCAAAGAGGTGTGAACAAGTCAGGGGTCATTGGCATAGCAATCTCCCGGTATGGATGAAGACACTGAGGGGATCCAAGCAAGAGAATCAAGAGGTGCAACAATGAGAGGATAAACAAGAGACTGGGTTTCCTCATAGCACCAGTTAGGTAATTAAAGCTGGTCTGGAAAGAGAAAGTGTCTGAATATAGCTATGACATAGTTCTGAGCATGTTTAGAGGAACTATTTAAATGATCCCCAATGTCTTGAAATGCCTGGAGACGGCTAGGTGATGCCAGGGAGGCCAATGATGCACCCAGCTCTCCACTGACACTTCCCCAAACTGCAAAACACCAGGGAAGCAAGTGATCTGATCTCTGGGAAAGTCTCTACAAAATGACAGAGAAGGCATACCGTCCATTGTAATCATCAAAGAACTACGAATTCAACCTATCCTCAGTCGTTGAGAATGGATTACTGGGCCCCTACTAAGCACTGTGAACGGCCTCCATCTACTATCCTGTAGAACTTTATTTTTATAACACTCTTATTTTAACATAACTCATCATTCTTTCCCAATATTAATGATAAATTCCCTTCTCTCCTCTGAGAATCACTTCCAGATTGGGAAACAAAATATGGTAAGAACTCTTCTTTTCAAGTTCGTCTAAGTGGGATTCATTCACATTTCCGTGTAAACACCACAACATTATCTCCAATTCAAATGTCTCTGCATTCATTTAGTTTTTACAGAAAAAGTCAGCCCTAGAAATTCTTAGCGCAGGCACAATTCAGAAGTGTATCACTAGAAAAATGAGACAGGCTGGAATTAGCTAAAACCTTAGCAATAACAACCTCAAACTCTGATTGATAATGGTGATATTTAGGGAAGGAAAACATGTATTTCTACTTAGATATGATGACTGTCTAAATCTTACTCTTCACTGATTCATTCTTTAACACACTAATAGTTACAGTTTATTAACAACTTACACGGCAATTAAAACACTTATGTTTTATAAAGAAATCAATGATTGCCTGCATTTTGGTTTATTCCAACAGATTCAGTTAAGCATGCATACAAGTCATTTAATTACAAGGCCTAAGATGCAAAACCTAAATCAGAGAAGGAAGCCAATAAGGTGTGAAGGGAAGCACAAAATCTTCAGGACTCTGTTGGGAAAATCTCATTGTTTATAACTGCATAATCTGTCAGAAATGTGATCATTACTTTGATCTAGAAATTTATTTGAATGGAACTATTTTATAGTTTCTATTTTTTTTTTCAATTTACAAAGTGAGGTCAGTTTCTCATCTCCAGAATGCCCTCATCTAGAATAGGTTGTACAACATTTCTAAGTCTTTACCCTTATTCCGCTCATGACATTTAATCATAGTATTTTGTAACTAACTGGGTTTACTTTGCTCATTTCTATTTTGCCACACTACACACACACCAAATCCTGAGCTCCTTGAAGTTAGTAATTATTTGTTTTGTTTTTTTTTTTCATATTTAAAGTCCTTATCAGAGATCTGTCACACAGTTGATTACTAAATGTTCTCAGAAAGAAAATTAAAGAACATGTCCAGGGGATACGATCTGTGCATGTGTGTGTGTGACTGTGTGTGTGCACTCTCCAGGGTTATGGGGTAAAGTATCTAAGGCTGACTATAGGAATGACTAAGTAAAAGGTAAAAAAAAAAAAAAAAAAAAAGCACATAATCTAGGCACATAAATAAGGCATTTTCTTTTCAAAACAGATTTTTATTTAAAATAACAAATGGTACAGCTAACTACCTCCTCTGAGAAGTGCCTGAACCCCAAGAACACATCTGTAGCACCTGCTGAGCTCACCTGCTGATACAATCCCAGCACTTCTCAATTATGTCTCACTGAACACCAGAGCAGGGACATTCTGGAAAGAGGTGCCGGGGATGGGGATGGTAAATGAGGAATGGTCTCGTCAATTTAGGAAGACTCTGAGAAGTCCTGCAATATCGTAAGTGTTTAACGTTATTGAAATAAGAATTTAATCACACTTATGAGTATGTAGAGACACCATTGCATATGAAACCTATTGGTTTCCCCCACAAAATGTCTGCATGTTTGGAGAAGCATTGCATTCAGCCTTGCTTATCAGTCATTGCCTTTTTAAATCTTCTTTCTTCTCTCTGGAAAGCTTTGTTTTACCTCATCAGTGTTTTCAGAAATTGAAAATCACATTTAAGTCATGACTTTTCAAAGAGGCTTGTACTGTTGGGATTGGAAGCCCTCTGGTACCCACCTTTATCAGAGGGAGGTGTCAACGTGTCTCTCCACATTACATCCGAGGTAAAATCTGCGTCCAAAAGCCACTTCTTCTTTTGGCAGACAGCACAGCTCAAACACAGCTAATAACTCTGAAAATTGCTCCCTTGTTCCTATTGACCAGTGGGGTGCTGGAGACAAAGCAAACCTACGAACACAGCACCAGCATCTGTCAATCAAAGTGACATTTTATTTAGTTAACCTGGGAACTTCCCACTAGCACTGGTTGTTAGTTTGGGGCAGGGGGAGGAGGGTGACGCTAATGGTACACTGTAATAAATACACCTTTAGCATAGGCTAAAACTGTTTATTTTTTCTGAAGACTCAAGCTGTAGCTTTGGGCTTTCAAATGTAATCTTTCAAAAGCCAGGATTATTTGTCTATGAAAAGCTTCAGATGTAGCTCATCTGAAGAGGCCAAGGTTAAACACACTAAGAGAAATAGTTTATTTATCAAACAGAATTAAACAGATGTGGTCTTTACTCTGGGGACTCTGTTATTTGATATTATATCACACTGGACATGCCCCAGTATTCTCAACTACAAAATTGAATTAATAAAAGATATCTCATGGTTTTGCTGAAAGGATGTGGTGGCATGAAGAACGTACAGCTCCTGACATTGCATACAGCTCAACACGTGTTAGATCTATTCCCCTTGTTCCCTGACACTTACCCAAAAGAAATAGAGGTGGATTATATTAAATGATAGATTGAGAGATTGGTTGATGGGTATTGAACACAATGGCAATTCAATGAAAAGGAAAATAGCATGCTGCCCATCAGGGATTATATATGTGCTATAACCAAGCACCCAATTAAGATAGCCATTAGGACAGTATTTGAGGTAGATAAATAGGCTCTGGTATTGTCCTTAAGGTTATAACATCTAGGAGTCAACTTGAACTTCACATTAGCCTGATCCTGAATCCTTTTCAACATCACCACCATCATGATGAACATCATCTCCTATATCATCACTGCCCAGATCTAAAGGATTTTAACCCACTGCAAAATTATTGTCCCATTTGATCCTCACAATATCCCTCAGGGTCTGATGGGGCATGCATTCTCTTTCACCTACAGAATAAAAATATGAAGCTCAGAGAGCTTAGTGGACTTATCAAAGTCACAGAGCAAATGAGGGAAGAACTCAGATTCCATCGCTGGTCTTAAGATCTCCATTTATCTCATTTCCTCGGTTCTGTGCCATCCTCCAGTCCATAACAACCCTGCTTGTCAGTGAATCCCCACTCTAAGCATTCCCCCGGGAATGAGTAACAGTGATTCTTTCTTGTGACATAGTTCCCAGTTTCCTCCAAGATCTCTGCTTTTTTTCTTAAAAAGCTTTCTGAAAGAACTCTTTAAATTGCTGAGTAAATTGGCTTCTTAACTTGCCATTCATTACTCACAAAGACTCTGGCCTATTACAGAGAATCAACACAAGGCGGAGTTTCTCTGTTAATTTATTTTATTCCTTCATTCTGTATTCTGGTTGATGTGCCCTCTTGGCATTATAAATCCAGAGCATGTAATTAACAACCACACTTTGAACCCAATTCTCTTTCTTTTTTCTTTCCTAACTACCTCTGCCTCCTTTGATCTCGCTCATTTTCTTAATTAACTTATGTGCATGCCAGACCTGTTTCTTTGTGTCTTTGCAAATTTGGGAAGTTTGGAAGTGTGGGTGAGCAGAGCCAGGCTGACTTTACAGTGAAGGGGTAAAAGAGGTCAGCGCCCCACCACACACAACTGCATAAGCCCTACGAAAGTGCAATTTACAACACTCACCACAGCAAAGAAAGCACCGTTGACTAAGCAAACATCAGGTTTCAGGACTTTCCTACCCTTTACCTCTTATCCTCACCACTCCCCAAGGAGAAAGGTGTTGGTACCGTCCTTATTTTGGAGATGAGACAATTAGGCTCAGAGAGGGTAGGTGGTCTGCTACAAAACAACAAGGATGTGTGATTTTAACAAATAACAAAAACCTTTCTCATGATTCTGACAATTGAAGCTGTGAAGTTTGTAGGAACTGGGAGAGAGAAGGAGAAGGATGCAACTGGAGATTACCAATCAAGGAGACCGACTTTCCTATAGAGATGTTCTCTAAGTTGGATGGACAGTAGTCCAGGATACAGTGAGCACCAAAGTGTATGGGGCTCAGGCTTAACAATGGCCCTGAGAATGAGAAAGGGGAATCAGATTAAGTGGGCAGAAGAGAGAAACAGATGGAAAGGCTGGGCTCCTTCCCGAGCCCATGAATTCTGGCTGACCAATGTCTCGGTAGCTGACCTGCAGGGGTAGGTGGTGCAGGGATCAAAAGCTGGGACCAGAAAGACAAGACCAGCAGGCAAAACGCAGATTTTTCAAGACTTCAGACAACTAACTGAATTCACAGTGAAAATTTCAAATGCAGTAGAGGACCAGAGAAACTCAAGCAACCAAGTCAGGAGCCAGGCCACATGGCCGGGCTTAGGAAAGGTATTCAGATGCCCTCAGGGCAAGTTGGCCACCAGGCCCACAGAAGGATGTGTGGTAAACTCTCCATGCCCCCAGCCAGTAGGACGGCACTGCCAGACAGTGGCTAAGACCACAGCCCCGGGGTCAGACAGTTCTGCGTCTAATCTTAACTCTGCTGCTAATTTCCTGTAGCGCATCCTTGAGAAGTTATTTAACATGCCTCAGTCGTGGTTTTCTTATTTGTAAAATTAGAATGATAGAAACAAACTTGCGATAGGAAATGAGCTATGGCAAAGTAAGTTAATTTGTTCGGAACGGTACCTACCATATGATCAGTGTCTCACAGGCAATGTGAAGGTCTTTCCTGTTTTAATCAGAATTTACTTTAAGACCAGATGGATTTGAACTTGTACTTGGTAGGGTCCCATTTACTTACTCATTTAACCAATAATTAAATGCCAGACACTAAGTTAAGGCTGGGGCTTGGTGCCATCTATCAATTTCTGTCTTCCTCCCCCTTACTGCTGCCTTAAGAACTCAAAGATGATCGATCATACCAGGAACTTAGGAAATAACATGTTACTCAATGCATTAATCAATTTACTTTTCTGGAATAATTCAACTTATTAAAATTATTTATATAGTAAACTTTCTCAGCCAGGCATGGTGGCTCATGCCTGTAATCTCAGCACTTTGGGAGGCTGAAGCAGGAGGACCGCTTGAGCCCAGGAATTTAAGACCAGCCTGGGTAACATAGGGAGACTCTGTCTTTAGAAATAATTAAAAAGTTAGCCAGGCATAGTGATGTGCACCCACAGTCCCAGCTACTTAGAAGACTGAAGCAGAAGGATCACTTGAGCCCAGGAGCTACAGGCTGCAGTGAGCTGTGATAATGCCAATGCACTCCAGCCTAGATGACAGAGTGAAACCCAGTGTCAACAAGAACAAAAAAAGAAAATGTGGCTATGGAAAAGAGTATAGAGGTATCTCAAAACATTAAAAATAGAACTACCATATGATCCGGAAAATTTCACTTCTGGGTCCAAAAGTATTGAAATGAGCTACATCTGCACAGAGATATCTGCACTCCCAAACTCCTTGCAGCACGACTCACAATAACCTAAATATGGAAACAACTTATGTGTCCATCAACAGATGAAGGTAAAAAAGAATTGTGAGATACACACACACACACACACACACACACACACACACACTCTGGAATATTATTCAGCCTTAAAAAAGAGGAGATACTGCCATTTTTGACAACATGGATGAACTGAGAAGACATTAAGCTCAGTGGAATAAGCCAGACACAGAAAGAAAAGCACTATAAGATCTCACTTATACACCAAATCGAAAAAAAAAAGTCAAATAAATAGGAACAGAGAGTAGAACAGTGGTCACCATTCACAGGGAGAAGGCGGAATGGGGAAAAGTTGGCCAAAGTGTACACATGTGCAATTCGGTTGGATGAATAGCCTTAGAGAGCCAATGTACAGCCAGAGAACTATAATTAACAATATTGTATACTGAAAATTTGCTAAGAGAGCAGTTTTTAAGTTCTCTTAGCACAAAAGTTAAAAAGGTAGCAATGGAAGACGAGGAATATGTTTAATTGTTTCACTGTGTAGATATATATCAAAACATTATGTAGTAGACATTAAACACATGTAATACAAAATATTTTTTTTAAAATAAAGGCCTATAGCTGGTTAACCAGGCCACAGGACTGGTTAATGTTAGAATCAGGGCCTCCACCTCTTTCCTCTCTCTTGCACCAGTTTTCTGTGGGTAATGTTTAAAAAATAATTGTTGGAAAAAAGAAAGGTAAGAGGATGACAGAGCTGGAATAAAGGAAAACGCTAAGGAGCCACCTTCTTAGCCCCTTTGCAATGAAGTTGCTGGAGCATGAGATGAAGCTGATGGAGCCAGGGCTCCTTTTCTTTGTCAACAAATTTTCTGAGCCAGAATATCCTGGTGCTTCAGAGAGGGATTTAAAGTTACCCCCAGATGACCCTTAATATGCCTTATCTGGGTGTGCTGAGTTAGATACACAGCTAAGTTTAACTATGGTCTTTTCCTCTCCCATTAGCCCAAGTTATTCTCTGCTTCCAGAACCATAAGGATACAGAAGGTGGGCAACAACCCACCTGCTTCTACATGGTGCTGAGAGTTGCAACGCCTGGTGTATGTGGCCAACAGTTTTCCACTGCAGCATATGGAAAATATAGCAGTCAGCACAGGCTGAGTGCTAAGCCACAGACTTCATTTGTTGGGTGTTATCTAATATGTGGGCAAACCTCAAATGATCAGAAGGCTTAAGCAGGAGATGGTATTGAACTAGAGTGATTATTGATTATGCCTCTAATAGCACTGTGGCACATCAATTGTGAGTCCAATGAGAAGTAATTATACGCATTAAACTACTGTGTCCAATTGAAAGGGTTGAAAATTGCAAAAGATTCTAGGAATTCTTACATAATAATGGAATATACCAAAAGAGAGGGAAGTTACTAAGTTTCACTGAGAGATATATTAATCTCTGCAAAACTGCTGGTTGGAAGAACCACCAGAGTTTATCACAGAAGTCAGCATCCAAAACTCTTCAGGATAATGGCAAGTGGCCAAGTTCAATAGACTGACAGATGCCAGCCATAATGATCATCATCATAATCTCAATGACAGCTATTATTTTATTAGTTGCTTTCTATGTACTAGGCATTGAATTTTACAAATAGCATCTAATTTCATTCTCTTGACAAGGGGTTGGTAAACTATGGCCCTAGGGCTACATCCAGCCTGCCTCTGTTTTGGTAAACAAACTTTTATTGGAACACAGCCAAAGCCTTTTATTTATATAATATCTATAGCAGCTTTCACCATTCATTCAGAGTTTGAGTTTTGTCCCAACTCATTGGATTTAGGAAACTGAGTTGAGAGAATTATTCTACCTGGTGTCCCTCCTGCCATTTTCCCAAATTTACCATCCCCACTCAGATCTCACTTGTGTGTCCTCCAAGTAGGAATTCTCAGTATGCTCTATGACAAGTACTTTAATAACTATGTTTCTGTTTGAGAAAAAAATACTTCATTGAACTTAACTCATTTTCCTGGAAATAATTTTTAAATGTATCAGCCATGGAAAGGTAAGCATTATTTATAAGCACACACACAAAAAAACACTGGACGGTACTCAATTACCCAACTAGAAGGGGATGATAGACTGAAATAAGATGTCTATTTGATGGAATAGTGAGCATCTAATCAAAAACATCATTGTTTATAATGTAATGTTAACTGAAAACGGCAGATCATAAAATGGTACCTTTGTAGTTAAATTCAGTCATCAGCAAAGATTCAAGAAAGGTGTAAGCACTCAGCTAGAAACTGCATATACAGTGGTGAATATATAGATGTTCTCCACTTTCAAGAAACTTACAATCTATGAGCAAGTTACAGTCTATGGGCAAGAAGGTAATGAAACAAAAATCCCCAAACTGTAATCATTGCAATGAAGCAGAAGTAGAAAAGTATAAAGTATTCAGATATAACCTGATTAGAAGAATCTAGTTTATATGGAGCAAGGAAGAGCACGTTTGACACATGTAGAAT
Organism: Homo sapiens; assembly: GCF_000001405.40. Lineage (NCBI taxonomy): Eukaryota > Metazoa > Chordata > Mammalia > Primates > Hominidae > Homo > Homo sapiens. The sequence continues at coordinate 136,006,087 of NC_000008.11, read as the reverse complement.
GTGTTCTTCAAGCAATAAATAGGCGAAGGATGTTTGAGACAAAGGATAAAGCCAGATTAAGGTCGAGCATGAAGAGAAAACATAGGGTGTGTTTGAGAACTGGAAGTGGAAGGAATCTAATAAGTTGGAGGTTACAAGAAGAGAAAGTCAGAGAGATGAGGATGTCCCGAACGTGCAAGGCAGGGGCCTGGTGAGCATTTGAGACTTTATCTTGAAGATCCCGAATAAGCTCCTGCAGGATACAAGCAGTGCATAGTGTGACCGCATTTACATGTTAAGGCAATCTTTCTGATGACTTGAGGAGAATGGGTTGTTAGCAAGCAAAATTAAAATGCAAACATAGTCTGGGCACGGTGGCTCACACTTGTAATCATAGCACTTTGGGAGGCCAGGACAGGCGGATCGTTTGAGGTCAGGAGTTCGAGACCAGGCTGGCCAACATGGTGAAACCCCATCTCTACTAAAAATACAAAAAAATTATCTGGGTGTGGTGGCACTTGCCTGTAGTCCCAGTTACTAGGGAGGCTGAGGCAGGAGAATCGATTGAACCTGAGAGTTGGAGGTTGCAGTGAACCGAGATCATGCCACTGCACTCCAGCCTGGTGATACAGCGAGACTCCATCTCAAAAAAAAAAAAAAAAAAAAAGGCAAACATGATACATATTACACATATATGCAAATAGTGACAAGATACAAACACGAAAAAATTAAACTACTGTGATTTCTTTGGGGTTGAATATGGCTTTTTTATTTGATCTATTTGCATTTCCCTTCATGCCTTCTATGTAATCTGTTTTCCAAACAGGAATTCAAACAATTATCCCAAGCCAAATGAAAAATGAATGCGTGAGACCATGATCCATATTGAGTAAGTAGAACTTGGTACTGGCTGAAGCTCCTGCTGCTTTTCAGTCTGCTGTCTCTGCTGCCCCATGGCTCTGGTCCTGGCCCTGGGCTTCTCTCTTCTACACTGTACCCAATGCACAGCTTTTGTCATTGATTAAATGCCGCAGCTCGCCGGGAGCCATTTATCAATTTCATCAGCTGCTTATGGCTTTATTTACTACAAAGGAAGCAAGGTAATCCCTGTAAACTCAATAGATCTAAATTAACTGAACGTTCAGGAGCCAGCTTAGAAAGAATTATTGCTCCCTGACTCAGTGGGCCAGAGAAAAGGAATGAACACAGGAACCTGTAACAGAGGCTCTGAGAGGTTCTCTGGCATCCAGGAGGGTCGCTTCACAAAGGACACCTGCTTGACTGGGTCTCTATTAACCAGGTTTCTCTGCATAGAGTCCAGGTAAAGCTCTGTTTTGTTTTGAATCAACATTACTTGCCATGAAAAATCTGTCTTCCATTTCTTTCTCTCTCCTTCCCGCCACTCTTCTGCTTTGTCTTCCTCTGCCACCCATTCCCTTCCTTTCCATAGCACACATTCTTCTTCAGTGATATTTTTCATTATTTATGAATAATCATGATAACCTTGAATTTGTTTCTATTTGTCTAATGAAATTGTTTTCAGTCCAAATTTACTGAGCATCCACTGAATGCCAGGGAAGATATTAATATTTACGTGCCAGGAATGTTACTGGGTTCTTTCATGCCACTGGATTTTTTTTTTTAGCCTTCCCAAACAGCCCTGTAAGATATATACTAATGATGTTAGCTAAAAGATGAAAAAAAAATGAGGCTCGAAGAGGTGAAATAATTTGCCTAGCATTGGCAGAGTGTCTAGAACTTGCCCCCTCTGGGCTTTAACCTGATGGATTAATGCATGCTTCTTCTAGGTCATGGCACCATTAGTACTGGGTGGTTGGTGCTATGTGGTCAAATAGCTTCTTAAAGAATCATACCATGGCTCCTGCCTGCAAAAACACCTCATGTCCCATTCCTCTTCTCAGCCCATCTTCTCTCCCATTTCCCATTCTTGTCTTTTCCAGACTCCCACTGTCACTGCTGCACATTTTAGACCTTAACACCCCAAAGGGCTTGTAATTTTTCAAGCAAGTCATGCCTTCCTGTAGGCTATTTCTTCTGCCTGAAATGTTGTGGTCTCCTTGCTTCCCTGGAAAGTCTCTATGAAGCCTTCAAAGCCTATTTCTGTAAACTTGCTGAGAGTTTACTTAATCTCTTTCTTCCTTTCCTGCCTAGAAAGGGTTAATTGCCCCTCTGATCCCTGGTCATACTCAAATTACTGCACCTATCACTCAGTTGTGTTTATCCCCAGGTCCCCAGCACATAGCAAAAGTGACTGAATGAATGCTCAATCTCTTTGTTGAAGTGCACTGGATTCAAGCAGGAAAGAAGATTTTGTCTCTCCAATACATTGGAGAGACAAACCTTTAACACGTGCAAAGCAATTAGACAGATATATAAGTAAATAAGCTTGCATCATTACAAACTTATTATATTTTCCTAAGACAAGAGCTTAGTCTTTTCCAGAGTGTCATGACATCAGGCAAAACAGCAACAGGAGGTTATTTATCTCAAGTCCCTGTGGTTTTCCCTTCTCTCGCCTTCTGTGCATACTTTTTTTCTGGCAAGCTAAACAGCAGCAGATGGATTACATAGCACCCTTTGCATCCTCCAAAGCCTGAATTCAGTGCAAATTCCAGTCACAATGTAATTATGTGCACTTGCCATTTTCACACCATTCCCACCCCAAGCTAAAAATGTTCATGTTCCTTTTCCTCCACGGACTCACCATGACTCTCCACCAGCCTCTCAGGCTAAGATTCCCAGTGCTAATAGATGTCCTTGTACCCAGTCATCTGCGCTAATCCACAGAACCCAGTCTGCCAGGGTTTACAGGGAGGCCTCTTTCACACAGATGCTGTTGAAATTGTTCCCAGTCCAGATGTATGGACCTCCCAGGAAATTTACTTTTTGGATAGATTTTATCAACAACAGACAGTGACCCTGACATCTGTTAATCCAGGCAGGGCAACAGATAGGAATTATGACTTTTCAAAAAGAGTGGTAACTGGTGCTCAGGGCTCTTATTTACCACATCCTCCACTCTTTGATTTTTAGGATATTTTTGCTGCTCATCTCTTGACTCTTCTGCACATATGAGCCTCGTGATAAACAAGAAGGGAGGGTATATTGCTTAGCAGTGTAGTGGTGAAGATTAAGGACTATGAAGTCAGCTAGATCCGGGTTCAAATGTAAGGCCTGCTATTTTTTAAGTACTTGATTTGAGAAGTTATTTAACTTCTTGGTCTCAGTTTTCCTAATCTGTAGGAAAAACTGAGCGTCTTCTTCATTGAGCTCCATTGATGATTACATGAGCTAAAGAACTTAAAACACTTAAAGCTTCCTGCATGAAGTAAAACCTCAATAAATAAAACAACTCAGGGTGTTTTTGTAAACATGCATTGAACTAAGGACCACAAAGCCTGGTAGATGGTGAGTGCTCAGTAACAGTTAATTCATTTTCCTGATTGCCCTGTGATCCCCAGTGATGAACCACGAGAGTGACTTTTGCAATAAGCCTCTTCTAGGCAATTTAGCAATAGGCATCTGGAGCTAAAAGCATTTCTAGTTTGCAACCCAGGAATAACACTGGAAGAAATCTAGTCTAAAGAAATAGCCCCCAAAATAGTACATGCTATGTCCTGAAGGTGTTACTTATAAACAAGAGCAAAAACTCTGGGAGGAACATAATGTCCAACAGAAAGAGAACAATTTATTAAAACAATTGAGCATCTATGCAGGGGAATATTAGGTAGGCATTAGAAACGATCTTTCAGTGGTGCTACAGCAACATGAAAAAGTTAGCATGTTGTGTTCCCAAAGTGAGATGGAAAATTGCGTACAGTATGACTGTAAGAGCATACAATTAATTTAGGCAGTTGGATAAGCCAATAAATGAATCTACAAGAATGAAAAGCATCCCTTTGGGGTGAGGAGATGGAGGGTGATTCAAGATCTGTTTTCTTGTTTTTCTCTTCTGCTTTTCCTTCTCTTTACCTTGGAGAAACGAAAACAAAATGAACACCTTCTGCTACTCAAGTGTTGACATGCGCTTTAGCCAAAGCAATTGATCCCACACCACCTCTCCTGTAGGAAGATGGGGCCTGAGTGCCCCATAATGATGACAGTAATGGAACTTTCCCAGTTGTAATAACACCTTTTGGAGACAAACCCTCCTTCCTTAAACATCCTCTAAAGATGATGATCCTTCCTCATTTCACTCACTCTCTCCTTTAGCCTGTCTTTGTCATCAGAGTAATCGTTCTAAAACACACGCCTGATCACTTCACTCCAGTCACAAAATGCTTGGCCGGTGTCATATTCTTCTTCTGATAAAGTCTGAAGGCTCTGGCGGCCCTCAGCGCCCAGTCACTTCCACCTTGCTCCAGTCCTCAGCCACGTCTCACTCTCCCCTGCAGGCTTTGCCATGCCTTTCTTTCTGCTGGGAATTCTCTTCCCCAGCTCTCTGTTTTTAGGTCTCAAGATTTAGGTCTCATCTTAGAAGTCAATTCCATTAGAGAGCTTTCCCTAACATCTCAGCATGCCTTCTGTGGTCCCAGCACAAGTACACATGCATGGAAATGCACACACACACACACACACACACACACACAACACACACGTTTTCTTCTTAAATGTTTCTGCTACTACTTTTTCATGGCACCTCATATACATATGGCAATTATCTGGGTTGTGGAGTAGTATTTTCTGAAACATAAAGTTTTTTTAATCTTTGGTACTTTCTTGAACTGACTTCCTACCTATTGATGCAGAGCCTTCAATATCTTCAAGGAAGGTTAGGATTGTTTGCATGGCCAAGAGAAAATAGCCATGATCATGGGCTCCTATGTGGGCAGCGGCTATGGCGGGGTGGGGTCAGACATGGAAACTGGTACAGTAGCCTGCAGATGTTGGAGCAAATTGTCCTATTGCAAGGCAGCTTGCTAGTTTTCTATTACTGCCATAACAAATTATCATAAATGCAGTGTCTAAAACAACATCCACTGATGATTTCACAGTTCTTTAGAGGTCTGGATACAGCATGGCCCAGCTAAGACTTCTGCTTAGGGTCTCAAAAGGTGAAAATCAACATGTCACCAGGGCTGTTTCCCTTCCTGGAGGCTCTGATGATCAATCTACTTCCAATCTTATTCAGGTTATTGGCCCAATTCAGTTCCTTGTGGTTTCAGGACTGAGGTCCTATTTCCTTGCTGGCTGCCAGCCAAGGCCAGTCTTTGCTCCTAGAAGTTGCCTGCATCCCTTCTCATACCTTCCACATGCCCCCCTCCAGCAATGGGGGTTGAGTCCTTCTCAGGCTTTGAATTTCTCTGATTTCTTATGTATCTCTTTTATTACAGCTGGAAAAAATTCTCTGCATTTAGGTACTCATGTGATTAGATTGAGTTTCCCAAAATAATCCAGAATAATTTTATGCTGTGTGGTGCATAACCTTGATTACAACTGCAAAGTCCCTTTGTCATGTATTGTGACATATTCACAGGATTCAGGGATTAGGGCATGGACATATTCAGGGAGGCATTCTGTCTACCACAGGTAGCAAAGCCTAGAGGATGTTGTATGACTCCTTTCCTAAACAACCACAAGGTCATATGACCACACACTTCATACAACCAAATTTCCTCTAAGCTGCAAGCAAAGCCTGGATGGAGTCTATAAGCCTAAGAATTAGCTTAACCAAACAGGCAGAGACTGAGTGGGCTAAACAGGATGTTTAAATATCTCCTTTGGGCTCAGCCTTGATTTGCCACATAATTATGCAAACATTTTTTACTCCTCCATGCTGGCTTATGAGAAAGAAACAAAAATATTAGTTAAAAGAAATGTATCAGCTAAAATTGATTGGCATTAAATCAAGTCTTACTCTACTAGGCTTATAATAGTTTTTAAAGAATATATGGAATTATTTCTAAAATAGGCACATAGAAAATGCCCAGCTATTTAGCTAGCATTTTACCTTCTAAGCAAATGTCATGGCAGAAATGTTCACCATGACCTAGAGAAGAGAGAAGGCTATGAATACATTTATTCTAGAATATGAGAAGAAAATTCCAATGGAAACTCTAGAAAATATAAAAAGGCAAGCCAGGAATATCATCCAGGGACAACAATGATGAGAGCTCTGTCAGATTCAAGAACTTTTACTCCCACTCCTAAAGGGATAGGAAGCATGCCTGTGGTTTCTTCCTGTTGATCTTGTATTTTTACACATATGGATTATTACAGAGAGCCTTTCATCAAAAGTAACCTCTTCCCTTGGTTTTGAAAATAGCAGCAGATAGAGAAGGAAGTAGGAAACTTGGGGAAATGTCACATTCCAAAGCCAATGTGAGCAGGAGATACACTCCATGCGTAGAGAGGGTTCCAGCAGTCAAGAGAGTAGAGCAGGCATAGTCTCTAGGTCAGAGAAGTTCTATGAGACCATCAGAGGCTGGGGGAAGGAAAGGAGGCTAGGACCAGGGGAAAGGGTACTGGAGTATCTGGATGGAATCCTTATCTGACCACTGTCTGACATAAAAACCGAGGATGCATCATTTTCCCATGTGTAAAATAAAGACATTCATTTGTGTATTCATTTATTCCTTCACTCACTGATTCATTCCTACCCTATCATAATTCTAAGTGTTTCATCTTATCTAGCAGGGACTGGAGCAAGCCCATGAAAGGCTCTGGACTAGCAGTGGTCTATGGATCCAAGTGAAGCGTAAGACAGGGTACAAAGGGTCAACCCAGAAAAGTACAATCTCTAAGGCCGTGAACAAGAAAAAGACAAACATTATTTGTGAAAGTTATTCATTGCAGTTTCCTGCCTTTTGTGGTTTCAGTTGAGCATTTTATATGATTCCAATTTTCTCTCATTTCTTAGCATATCAGTTATACTTTTCTTCACTTGTTTTAGTGGTTGCCTTAGAGTCTGTGATATACATTTATGACTAATCCAAGTTCACTTTCTAATAGCCCTATACCTCTTTATGGAAAGTGTGAGTACCTTATAATAACAAAGTAATCCTAATTATTTCCTCCCGTCCATGGACCATTGCTGTCATTCATTTAACTTATATCTAAGCATATATACATGTCTATATATGTTTGTATATATGTACATATTTGAATAAATTATTACACTTACTATTTTGAACAAATTATTTTCTGTTAGACCAATTAAGAATAAAAACAATTACAGTTTTTATTTTACCTTCACTTATGCTTTTTTTGATGCTTTTCTTTCTTTATCTAGATCCAAGTTTGTAATCTATATTATTTTCCTTTTCTCTAAATAAATTTTTTTCTTGAAAAGCAGTTCCACTGGAAAGAAATGTCTTCAATTTTCATCTTAGAAACTCTATTTCTCTTTCACTTTTGAAGCATCAATTCACAGGGTACATAATTCGTGGTTGGTGGCTTTTGTCTCTTAACACTTCCAATATTCCACTCCATCCTCTTCTTGCTTGCATAGTTTCTGAGAAGCCACATGTAATTCTTATCCTTGTTCCTCTCTAAGTACAGTGTTTTTTCTCTGGCTCCTTTCTGGACTTTATCTTTGATTTTTCTGTGTTTTCAAAATATGTCTATAAATAATATGTAGGGGTTTTGTTTTGTTTTTTTGACATTTATCCTGCTTGGTGCTGTCTGAGCTTCCAGAATCTGTGGTTTGGTGTCTGACACCTATTTGAGGATAATTCTGAATCATCAACTTTTCAAATAATTTTTGTTTCTTCTTGTCTTTCTTTTCCTTCTGGCATGTCTATTACTCATATGCTACTTTTTTGTAATTGTCTCGCATTCCTTAGATATTTTCTTCTTTTGCTTTTGTTATTTCAGTCTTTGTTCTCTGCTTCTTCATTTTGGAGGTTTCTATTGAGGCATTTTCAAGCTCAGAGATTCTTTCCTCGGCTATGTCCAGTTGATTAATTAACCAATCAAAGACATCTTTCATTTTTGCAGGAGTATTTTTGATCCTTAGCATTTCTTTTGCTTCTGTCTTAGGAGTTTCATCTCTCTGTTAACATTGTTCACTTGTTCTTGCATGCTGTCTGCTTTATCAATCAGAGCCCTCTGCATATTATGCATCACTGTTTTAAGCTTACTATCTCTCTTCAAATTGTGCTTTTACCTTTTAGTATGCCTTGTAATTCGTTCCTTATACCTGGAAATGTTGTACTGGGTAGAAGGAATTGCTGTAAGTAGGTCTTTAGTAAAGTAGTGGTAAAGTATGGGGGAAAGGGAAGTGTATAATCCCTATGATAAGGTCTCAGACTATTAGTGAGCTTATACCTCTAGACTGTGAGCTTCACAATACTATTCACTTATGTTCTCCTCCGCAGGAGGGATAAGATGGCTACAGTGGGTTAGAGTTGGGTATTTCTCTTCTCCCAGGTCAGGGTAGTCTCTAGTTAGTTTCTCCTAAGGGCAGGCTTTGTTAAAAACAGAGTGCACTGGCATGTTTCCAAATGGTTCCTTTTCCTCTCCCCCTGCTGGAAGCACAAACAAATTTTTCTCTGATGTTTACTGTGAGAACCTAAGAAAGTTCCTGGATGTAAAACTCACAAAGGTGTGGAATCCCTCTGTGACTGAGCCCTCCTGGAGATTTTAACACTTAGACTTGTCCACACTGAGCGTCTGGCAATTCATCAATTATAGTCCAGGTCTTCCTACCCCAGCACTGATTCCTGCAGAGGTTTCTGCTCACGAGTCTCTGCTCCAGTAAGTGGTGACTCCCTGTATCCACCAGTCTGTTCCTCCAATCTTGGGGGCAGTGGTTTTCCCTGTATCCTCACCTCTCTTACAGATCTGAGAAGAGTTGTTGAATTTTCAGTCTGTTAAACTTTTTACTCATTGTTAAAATGGATTGGCCATTTCCAAACTCTTTACATATGAAACCAGAAAACAGAAGTCTCCCTTTGAGGTTTTATATCTATATATCATTTAATCCTCATAGGCTCCCAAGTAGAAATATTTAGATTAATTTTCAGGTAAAAAAAAAAAAAAAAACTGAGGCTTAGAGAGGTGAGGAAGCTTTAAGTCATCAAGGTGGAGGTACTGAAGCTGGGATGAAACCCAGGTTGTAGGTCTCCAAGATTAAGGCACTTTACAATACATCATATCCTAATTTACTAGCCAACTGGACAAATGCTCCTCCTTCTTTTTTTCCTTTCACTTTTTTAAAATTCTATATTAGTACATGGCTTTGGTTATAAACTACCTTAAGTCCTTTCATAAAAAGATAACCTAATAAATAAATATAGTTGCTGCAAGTTGTTCCTGCCTTCAAGGAAATATAAAACGTGTTGTTTTCAAGACCACTGTACTCAGAATATCTAATTTTATTCTCATGACAATCTTTGAATGTGGGTAAGGAAATTGCTCAAGTCACTCAGACCCTGAATAGATCACTGTGAATTTAGAACGAATGGGCCAAAGGTTAATTACAGTCTAAGTGATGCTAGGTATAGAGATTGATTTATCATATTGTAGTTTAAGGGTGTTTTAAATTTAAAATCACATGTCCAATAACTCTCTATGGATAGGTGTATCTCCCCAAGCAAGTTGTGGGATTCCAGAAACTTAGGGAGACCCTCCTTCATTGTGGTTACCTTGGTGGCTAGAATAGTCTCTGGCTTGCTGTGGGTATGCAATGAAACATGGGATAAACATAAATGAATGAAATCAGCCATTCTCAATTATTTTAGAAAATCACCAAACCTTAGAGTAAGACATGCTTACTAATTCATTGATTCTCAAATTTAAGATCTCTTGTGGATCCCTAAGAGAAATATAACAATAAAATTTAAACTTTCACAGTTAAGGTTTGCACTTGAGGTAGTTAATACAAATGCAAATGCTGGGACGGAATTATAGGAAGAAGTTGGTCATTAGTCATGGAGATAACTGAGCTATCACTTTTAACTTTCCATATGCTTCTAAATAAAAACAAAAAATTTAAAATTTCTCACAAAATATTCAATGACCCCAAGAATATGTCTCCCAATCCCAGTAGATCTGTGGACCCCGAGTGTGTGAGAAACACTTGGGTAGCCTAGTTCCCTTGACTTAAAAAGAAACAGACCCTATTTTTCTAAAGTTTCAATATCTCTATTTATGCACTTTTATTGTGACAGCAAACATGAGGTTACTGTAAAAATAAATAACTTTTTCAATGTCACACAGTTATTTAGTAGCAGAGCAAATTCTAGAACACAGGTGTTGTAACTCCAAGTACAGTGTTCTTTTCTAACAAATTGCATGCCCAGCTATTCATCCAACAGTTGCTTAATGAGGTGTTTTCTGTAACATTAAAGAAAATGGTAAAAATAATATGTTTGGGGAGCAAACCAAGAGACACAGGCTCTCTATCACTAGCACTTAATTGGCTGGGCCTGGGTCCCCGGTACCGACATGGTCACTTGCAAATCCAGACACAGAGGACAGGGACTAAGTGGTTTTCCTAGCCAGGCAGTGTGGAATCGTTGGCTGAAACTCATTATATGTTTCAAGTGCAGAAAACTGCGAAGTTTCAGTTCCCTTGAGGCACCGTGGTTTTTCTCTATTTGTAAGTAAAAAATGAAAAGTAAGCAAAATTAGTACATTTATTTTATATTCAATACATTTAGAATCATTATGTTGATCGGGGGTTGAAATACACTTTAGTCTCCATTTTTATTGCATTTTCAGGATTTGAATGATGCATAATGACATGGATTCAGACTAAGAAAAACAAAATCTAGGGCAGAGATTAATTGGACAAATGTTTTGCTGTTTGATAGAAAAGGCAGATAATTTGATTTCCAAGTTTCAGTAAGACACAACAACGAAGGAAAAATGGAAAATCCCAGCATGTGTTTTCTTCTTGTATTTTTATACAGCATACAGCTAAAAGCAGTACCTTATCAAAGTCAGCATATATTTTTGCATTAGGTGTAAGAATAGAAAATTGTTTGCACCTTAAAATATTAAATGGAAATGGAAAAGTACCAGAATACCCACCCCCACCCCCTCCTTGTTTTTTTTTCTTTCTTTTTTTTTTTTTTAATTTTCAGTGTTCAGATGTTGTGTTGTTTACAGACTTCATGTGTTTCCTGCTTTGCTGAAGAATGCCAGGCTGTACTCTGATGTCAAAGACCCAGAAATGGAAGCCAGAAATGTGGCTTCTCAGGCCGGCCCTGCCAAGCTGGATTACCTTGGGCACATCAAGAGGGACAAGATGATCTCTCAAGCCACTTCCAGTCATCCATCCACCCATCTTTGTATCCATGTATTTCTCTGCAAAGTTTTATTCAGCACTTACCCATGCCAAGCACAATATTAAAGGCTGGAGAAACAAAACTAAATATTCATGTTCCTGCTTCACCTTCTAGAAACTTACCAACTAGATGAGGCACAGATATGTAAACAGACAACTACAATATAGTGTGACCAGCATAAACCCACAATCGATTGCTGAGGTGTCACCTGGAGCTCTGAAGTCAGAATATATCAAATCCCGGGCATGCACTTACTAGCCTCTGAGACCTTAGACAAGTTAGTTAACTTCTCTGAGCCTCAATATTCCTTATCTGTAAAATGTTGGTGACCACCCTACATGCCTTAGGACTTGTGGGGATTTGGATGAGATAATACAGGTAAAGAGTTTATCCCAGCTCCTAAAAATAAATAGTTATTACTTGTCCTATTTTATTATTGTTACTATTCTTTTTAAAAAATTGTATGTTCTTAATTTTTGTGGGTACAGAGTAGGTATATATGTCTGTGAAAAACATAAGATATTTTGGGGCTTTTTGTTTATTCTTTAATTTTGTATTATTTTTGTAGGTACCCAGTACATACATACATACATATATATATATATATATATATATATATATATATATATATATATATATATATATATATATGTATATATATATGCACACACACACACACACACACACACATATATACACACATACATATATATATATATATATATGGGGTACATGAGATATTTTGATACAGGAATATATGTTATACGTAATAATCACATCAGGGTAAATGAGGTATCCATCACATCAAGCATTTATCCTTTGCATTACAAACAATCCAGTTATACTCTTTTAGTTATTTTTAGGTGTACAATTAAATTATTATTGAATATGATTGCCCTGTGGTACAATCAAATACTAGATACTAGATATTATACATTCTGTTTTTTTTGTAACCAGTAAACACCCCTACTTCCCTCCCACTACCCTTCCCAGCCTCAGGTAATCATCATTCTACTCTATTTTTCCATGAGTTCAATTGTTTTCATTTTTAACTTCCACAAATAAGGGAGAGCATGTGAAGCTGTTCTTTCTGTCCAAGCCAGGACAGAAAATAAGACAATTTTACTTAACATAGTGACTTCCAGTTCCATCCATGTTATTGCAAAGGACAGAATCTCATTATTTTTAATGGCTGCATAGTGCTCCATTGTATATATGCACCACGTTTTCTTTATCCATTCGTATGTTGATGGACACTTAGTTTGCTTCCAAATCTTGGCTATTGTGACTAGTGCTGCAGAGATCTGAGAATGCAGACATCTCTTTGATATGCTGATTTCCTTTCTTTTGGGTAGATACCCAGCAGTGGAACTGTTAGATCATATGGTAGCTCTATTTTCAGTTGAGGAACCTACAAACTGTTCTCCATAGTGTTGTACTAATTACATTCTCAATAACAGTGTAAGAGAGTTCCCTTTTCTCCACATCCTCATCAGCATTTATTTATTGCCTGTCTTTTGGATAAAAGCTCTTTTAACTGGAGTGAGACAATGTCACATCGTATGTTTGATTTTGCATTTCTATGATGATCAGTGATGTTGAGCACCTTTTCATATACCTGTTTGCCATTTTATAGCTTCTTTTGAGAAATGTATCTTCAGGTATTATGCCCATTTTTAATTGGATTACATTTTTTCCTATAGAGTTGTTTGAGCTCCTTATATATTCTGGTTATTTATCTTTTGTCAGATGGGTAGTTTGCAAATATGTTTTCCCATTCTGCCAGTTGTCTCTTCACTTTGTTGATTGTTTCCTTTGCTTTGCAGAAGCTTTTCAATTTGTAATCCCATTTGTCCATTTTTACTTTGGCTGCTTGTATTTGTGGGGCATTATTCAAGAAATCTTCGCCAAGTCCAATGTCCTGGAGAGTTTTTCCAATGTTTTCTCTTAGTGGTTTTATAGTTTGAGGTATTAGATTTAAGTATTTAACCCATTTTGATTTTATTTTTTATATGGTGTGAGATAAGAATTTAGTTTCACTCTTCAGCATAAAGATATCCAGTTTTCCCATTACCATTTATTGAAGAGACTGCCCTTTCTCTAATGTATGTTCTTCACACCTTTGCTGGAAATGAGTTTACTTAGATGTATGGAGTTGTTTCTAGGTTCTCTATTTGGTTCCATTGGTCTCTGTGTCTGTTTTTATCCCAGTCCTATGCTGTTTTAGTTATTATAGCTCTGTAGTATAATTTTGTTAATACTATTCTTATTCTTCTTATTAACTAGTAGTAATGATAGAAGAAAAAATAGGAATTCCTCTGAGGTAGCTTAGAAAAATCAGCCCCTGAATATGCCTGAAAACATCAAAGGGACTTAACAGAGGAGATGAATTCACAGGCATTAAGGGGTTTTGCAGGTAGTCAGGGCAGAAGAAAATAACACAAGAAGACAGAAGGCACAAGTTATACGTGACTTGAATAATTTATGTTATAACAGATACTGCAACTAAAGGCTAGAGGGGTTTTTGTTTGGTGTTTATTTGTTGTCTAAGATCGCCCAGAGAGTTAGTCTGAGACTTAGAAAGACTAGCAATTCCTTCTGTGTTACTGGAACACAAAGTGAGAACAAAAGTGGTGAGGGATAAAGTGCACACACAGTGACAGGCAAGCTCTTAGGGGATCTTGCTGTTCACAGTAAAGATTTAGGTCTGTAGATATTTTGGAAACACTACATTTTCAGCAGTAGAGTCACTTATTCTGGATTCTGGACCTCTTTGCCCTCCTAGAATCACCTGCTATGATGTAAATGTCTAGTAGACAACTGCTTTTCAGGCCAAAGAATGTGACTCTAGCAGTGGCCAAAAGGTGAGAAATGGTTCTTGTTCTATGGTTATGAAGGCCCAACTGTAAGGCTTTTTCCTAAGTGAACCTATGAATTCCTAAAACTTAGGAAATGAAACTGGAATCAGGGTTCAGTCAGAGAAGCAGAACCCAAAGATATGTGTATGATGATTAGACAGATAGATAGATAGATAGATGATAGATAGATAGATAGATAGATAGATAGATAGATAGATAATAGATAGATAGATAATAGATAGATAGACAGATGGATTTACTGTAAAAATTTGACATTATGTTCTGGTAATGCTGTTGTTTTGGCATCTAATTTTGAAGGCTGAGTTGCACAGAGTAGGCAGTCCCTTCAGGAAGAGAAGGTGTTTGTAAACTGGGCCAGAGCAAGGACATGCGGGACCCCCGCAGAGTGAACTGACAGATCTTGATGTTGTGAGTATCTGGAAGAGAGGTGGACACCCTCCCTCGGGGAGCTAAAGGCACACCTGGCCCAGGGGTTGGAGAAGCTGAAGGAGCCAGCAGGAGGAGATGGAGCAGCAGAAGGAGGTGGAGCAGCAGGAGGAGGTGGAGTAGTCACAGTCCCACACCGCTGCCCCATGCCATGAAGGTGAGCCAGCAGGTAAGTGACTACCTGTGTGAGCTGCTGCTTCATTTCCACCCTCCAACAGGTTTACCAACAGTTCCTGTTTGCCTGAGACTGACCTGGTTTTAGCACTGATAGTCACATGTCCAGGGAAATCCTTTTGTCCAGGAAAACTGAGATGAATGATCACCTTACCTCCAAATCTCACACAAGAATCTCTCTTGTGGCTCTTACCTGAAACATACAGCAAAGAGGATTCTGGACCATGCAGTTCCTCCTGGCCCAGTTGACACATTACTAAAGGACTATAGAAGCTAACTAATGGATGGATTTTTTTATCTCTCTAATATTTATTGAAATCACAACAAAAAGTATTTTTTTACATACAAAATAATATATAGCTGAGAATATACATGAAAAATAAAGATTTGTAAAATAGGAGTAGCCATGAATTTTATCCCTTACTCTGTTTTCCATTGCTATGTAACCCAATCCTTGGCTGCTTTTCTACTTTCAAGGATTATTTATAACTTCCTCTAACTTCCTGTGCTTTTAGATTGAAGAGCCCTGGGTCCCAAGACAGTTGATAGTCGCTGACAGATATGAGCAGCTTGGGAGCTAAAGTCCTTGTGGACATTCTTCCTGCTGTTGTTTTAACTGAGCCTGGTTGATGAAAGCTTTGCCTCATGTAGACACCTCAGTCCATCACGGATGCATTCAAATGAATGGATCAAGCTCTACCATTTGTCATGTGCTTCTAATTCACATTGTCCATTCACCTTAATTGGGTGGGGTAGGGGGTGTGATTTTTGAGGTCAAAGCATATATAATTGAAGCAAGGCAGTCTTACATCTCCTGTAAATCACCACTACTTATTCTTAGCAGGAAGCAGTTGCTGTGCTCAACAGAGGGGATGGAGAAATGCTTAATGCCACAACTACTAAAAAGGTATAGTCAGGGTTAAGGAAAGCCAGCAAAGAATGATGAAACATTCTGGACTAGTGACAACAGGTACAGGAGTGGTATCTCATTAGGCCTAAAAGGGAAGCAGTGAAAAAATAGTTATTGGACTTAGAAAGAGAGCTATAGCTGACCTATAGCTCTAGGGAAGGACCCATAGGAGTGGTAGCCTTAAGCAAGAACACCCCACTACCAACTACAGCCCAGGGGAATAAAGACCTCAGATTCTATCCCCTCACCCTTACCATCTCCTGCTGGTACTCCCATTGGCTAAATCCGACCTCAGCAGGA
Organism: Homo sapiens; assembly: GCF_000001405.40. Taxonomy (NCBI): domain Eukaryota; kingdom Metazoa; phylum Chordata; class Mammalia; order Primates; family Hominidae; genus Homo; species Homo sapiens. The sequence goes on along the minus strand of NC_000008.11, from coordinate 135,990,164 downwards.
GGGTAAGGGAGTGAGGTTGAAGCCATCCTTTGGGGTCAGCTTCCCAGAGCACACAGCAGGGTAAGAAAGTGAGGGAAGCTAAAGATCATCCAGTGCCCACTTCTTCCTTTGTGTTCAAAATAACTTCTCCTAATTTCCAATAAGCAAAGAATTATCCTAGCAACTAAGTTACTATCACCATTGATTAAGTCTTCCAAATCTTTCGTAATCCACTTGCCATAATCATATCTTTGCAAAGCCCTATAATTTCATTATGCAGATCAATATGCCCTTAAGAAATTTATAGCCTTATTTTCTTTGAATATTTTTTCAACAAATAAAAAGAAGCCATTGGTCCTCATATCTGAATTCAGAATCTATGCTTGGGGACAATATAGCAAATGAAATCATGTAAAAAGACATTACCAATAATTGTCCTAATTAAGACTCTTGAACCTAACAGAGGCTGATGGGGCAGCACAGTGAAGATGGCACCTGTCAAGTCAAGAGATGGAAAAGCTGTAACTGAACCCTGAAAGTCGCTTAACCTGGGACCTTGGTAAAGTCATTTTACCTCTCTCCATCTTGATTTCCTCACCTGCTCATAGAAATAATTATAATGATTTCACAAGTTTTTCTGAATTACAAATAGAAAATGGATACTAATGCTCTGTAGCAATTGCAAAGCCTATATAAAAATTCATTGATTGTTCATGAGTATTTAACTTTTTGAAAATGAATGGCAGGTGCTAGGAAGTCTTAAATTTGTATGCACAATATGCTTTGGGGTGGAATAAAGTGATTACAAACATTGCCTTGCAATACTTCTTTAAAAATCATAAGGAACATGCATCATTACCTCTGTTTTTTAAAAAAAAATTAAGTTTTGTCTTTACCTTTATAAATGCTTTATTATTTTTGTACAGTTCTCTGAAGAGTTCTGGGCAGTAGGCAGACAACATCACACTTTTTTTTTTCTACTTGATGAGTGAGAAAACCTAAGGGGTAAGTTGTTAATAGAAGAACTCAGAACTGAGTGAAGACACCACAGGTCCTGGCTAAATCCATGATATGACATTCATCCTGAAAGATTGGTGTGAAACTGGTCTACTGGAGAAACAAATACCACCTTCACATCTTCCAAGTTAAAGACCCGGTTCAATCCCTAACTCCGTCCTCTATCAGATTTATAAATTGGACTATAGTGATCCCCATCCAACTGGGTTACTATGATCTTTTTAATGAAATTGTAGATGTGGACACAGGTAGCACAGTTCCTGCCATGCTCAAGGGAACTCAAGTGATGCTCCCTAAATACCATCTGAGTCTGAACTTCTATTTTCACCTAAATATTCTAGAAGTATTTCTCAAAAACCTTAGACTGAGGCACCTTGACCATGGCCTACATTTTATTTTATACTTATTTACAAAGATCTTCTTAGCCTTAGCCCTCCTGTTCATGCTGTTCCACAAGCACAGTCTTCATTCACTCAAAATTGCATTCATTCTACAAACATTGAATAATAAAGCTACCATTTATTTATTGCTCTCTATGTGCCAGGCACTGCGAAATGTTCTATGATGATTGTCACATTTAATTCACAAAAGCCTGATGTGCCTATTATTATTCCCATTTTTTAAAGGTGTGAATTGAACTTTGGAGGCATGAGGTAAATCTATTCAGTCACTCAAGCACTGATGCACTGGTTTGAGAACCGTGCCGTTCCGGTGAGCAGGATCTGCCTTCATGGAGCTCACATTTCAGCAATTTATTTCCTTGCCCAAAGCCATACACCTAGAAAGTGGTAGAACTGAGATTAAATTTCATTATCCCTGGTTTCAAATCCTGCATGCATAACCCCTGTGCTGCTCTGGTTGATTGTTCTTCAGTGACTTCTGCCCTTAGAGACCACACATATATTCGGCCAGGAAGGACAAACATCCAGAGCAGCATTTGCAAGTTACCGTCATGCTGGATGGCTGGAGGAATCAAAACGGTCACTTTTCCAAACATTAATATTTTATATAATCTGTAAAGAGGATTTGTATTTACTGACCTACTTTTGCAGTTTTTTTCCTGAATTCAGTGTGAGAGAGGAGAGTGTAGCTGTATAGTTTAGCTTGTTTCATTTGTTTGTTTGTTTGCTCGTAAATTCTCCCTCTCGACTCAGTCACTGGGAGGCAGCATGATGTTGCTAAAAGAATGTCATCTTGGGCTTCAAAAGCCTGTGTTAATACCAGCTGTGATGAGGAGGAGGAGAAGGATGGTGATCATAATGATGACAATGATGATGATGACAATGCCTACCATTCCTGTCTGTGTTGTCTCCTCAAAGAGACTTTCTGGAACCAACATATCCAGATAACATACCTATTATTCCAACTCTTCTTTTTCCAATTTCTTTATCTTTTATCAGAGTACCTGACATCATATTATACATGCATTTGCTTTTTTAATGGATAGTCTGTCTTCTACTAGAATATAAGCTACATGGAGGTAAAGACTTTGTCTGTTTTATTCTTTTTTTCTGCCATCAGCACATAGACTAGCATCTGGCACTCAACAAATTATCAATAACTATTTTTTGAGAATTCACCATCTGCCAGGCACTGTGCTAAGCATTGTAAGTGTCTCATGAAGTATAAAAACCTGTAACAAAGTTACTTGTTCTTATATCATTTTAAAAATTAAGATACTAAAGCACAGGGAATTTAAGAAACCAGCTCAAGGACACACAGCTCAAAAATGAGTAAGGACAGGATTCAATCCCAAACTTTTAACTCTACTGCCATGGACTGATCAATATGGCTCTGGGCAAGTCACATCACCTCTATGAGACTCAGTGTTGTCATCTTTAAAATGGAGAGGTTGATTGTGACTATTTCTAACCTGCTGAGCTGCTCTGACCTAGCTGAATTTCATTTACTTCCAGCAAATCTCAGTAATCGTCAGAATATCTATAGGTTGTATTTTCAATAGAAGGCTTCAGGAACACTATGAGGTAAAAGGTCACCCTTGAAGGGGACACAGAGACCATCCAAAATAAGAGGAAAACAGATTTTCATTCCAGAAGTATAAGCTAATTGCAAGACCATAGCTACCTGTGGCAGAGGTTGCAAAGTGTGAAGCTTGGGGAGATTTCTAGTGACAGCCTCCCACAAGATTGCTGGGTATTTGTGTAGTTATGCATTTCTGCATAACAGATCACCCCAAAACATAGTGACTTAAAACAACTCAATATGTATATAGCAATTCTGTGGGTTGACTTAGAAGTTCTTCTGCTGATTTTGTTTACCAAGTGGTTGGGCTTACTCAAGTGGCTACAGTCAGTGGAGTTTAGCAGAAGCTGGAATATTCAAATTGGCTTCACTCACATGTCTGACATTTGGTGCTGGCTGTCAGCTGGGACATCTTGGTTCTCCTTCCTGGGCTTCTCATCTGCCAGTAGGTGATCCAGTTTTCTTACATGGCAATCTCAGAGAAAGCCCCAATGCAGACACATTTATAAAGCCTCTGCTTGTGTCAAATTTGCTGATGTCCCGTTGGCCAGAAGAAGTCAAAGGCCAAGTGCAAAGCTCATGCAGGAGGAGGCTTACACTGCTCTTGATGGAAGGAAGGAGTGGCAAAGAACTCGTAAAAATCTTTAACCTACCACAATATTGAAACAGACAAAATTACCCAATCTGACAGTGCTCAACAAAGACTAACAGGCAAAACTACTCCCCTCCAATCATCTCAGTTGATAGTAACTCCCCCTACCTCAACTGCTACCACCTTGGTTTATGCCACCATCACCTTCTTCTTGGAGCTCAATTCCTCTGGGAACCCTCTGAGAACTGTGGAGTCCACTTCAGAATTGTCCCACCAAATGATGGGTTGGTTGAGAAATCTATCTGTTGGCTCTCATCACTCAATGACTGAGGAGTTCCCCTCACACTCCCTGACATTTTCATGGTATGCTTGTACTTGGTTGAGCAGGCTCCCATGAGGTCAAAAGTGCCTTAAAGCCAAGAACGAGAGAGATCCAGTTTCCCAGGGCTGTCCTATCAAAGCACCGAAAACTTGGGGGCTTAAAACAACAGAAATATATTACATGACAGCTCTGGGGGCTAGAATTCCAAAATCAAGGTCTTCACAGATGAATGCCCCTTCTAAATCCCATGCGGAATAATCCTCCCTTGCCTCTTCCAGCTTCTGACATCTACTGGTAATCCCTGGTGTTCCTTGGCTTGTACATGCATCATCACTCCAAGGTCTGCCTTCATCACTGCCTATCCATCTCTTCCTTTGTGTATCTCTCCTCTTTCTATAAGGGTATCAGTCGTATTAAATTAGAGACCCACCCTGCTCCAATATTACCTCATCTTAACTAATTACATCTGCAATAACCCTATTTCCAAATAAAGTCACCTTCTGAGGTACTGGAGGTTAGAAGTTCAGTACATCTTCTTGGAGAACACAATTCAACCCATAACAGATGGGAAGCCATAAGCATGTTGAAAACTATCTAACATGGCCAAAGCTTAACTCAGAGGTAACCACATGGTATATAGGGCAATATATATATATATATATATATATATATATATATATATATATATATGAGATTTTATATATATATATAGGAGATTTTATATATATATGGGAGATTATATATATATAGGAGATTTTATATATATATATACACAAATATATATAGGAGATTTTATATATATATATACACAAATATATATATAGGAGATTTTATATATATGTCTCCTTTGCTATAGATTTTTTACCTAGAATGATAAATTTAAGGATTGCTTGAAATTGCATGAAGGATGGGGAAGGGACCCACAGCCAGTTCTAGAAGAATGTGAGCCACTGTCAAGTTCAAGGCAAGAAAAAGTGAACATATTTAGCCTGAGAACTCACTTGTATTGGGATTTGCTGTCTGATAGAAGGTCAAGTCAGCAGATTTAAAGGTGGAGACCTACCATTTCTAAGAAACTTAGTCATCTCAGACAATGAACCTCCGGGGTAGAGGACTGCCATGTCTTAATCTGCATATCACTGTGGAGGGTAATCAGCTTTTAGAGGGAGTTCCAGCACACAAATGAGGCAGGTCAGAAGGAGACATTTAAGCATCACTGTAATTAATCACTTTGGATGGAAAGCTGGTGACCCAAATGTGGGTGTCTATGTCTTAACTCCCATATGCAATAGCTACATTAGAAGAACTTTTCAACCCTTGGAAACTCTCTTCCCAAGAGGGTCCCATTGCAGAGCAGATGTTTGCAAATCATTTAGCCTGCCGGTGATGAATTAGTTTTTAATGGCATTCTTGTGTACTTGTTATAAATCATTAAGCATCCAACAGACTGTCTCCTATCTTCACAGGCCTGGTCGGGTTGGGTTCCTAAGCAGCAAAATATACAGTGATGGGAACGAAGTTGCTGTACCCAGTTGAAAATCCTTCACTCCCCTTCCCACTTGTCCTTGACCCTGGTCCACTCCTTTTCTCACCTCTCCTCCACTCCTCTCTCCCCTTCCACATCTTCCTCTTCCCCATCCATGCACTTGGCCTTTTCCCAACTCCTTAATTTTCCCTCCTTTCTCAACCTTCCTCACATCTATTATTCTTACCTCTTTCCTCCCTCCACACTTTTCCATACTTCTCTTTTTACCATCCCAATCTTTCCTCAGCATTAAAAATAAAGGCTGTTTTCTTTTGATAAGCTGAGAGAGAGTTCCCCATGCTGACACAGTATGATTCTTAATACCAGTAATAAATTCATGGTCAGTTCTTCCCGGATATGCAGGAAATTAAAGTTGGGGTGAGGGTAGGGAAAGAGTGAAAACAAACCTGAAAAAGAGCTTCAAGTCCATTGAAGAGAAGTCATTAAGTACTAACAATATAAGATAGTGCACTAATCATAAAAATTAACACTATAGTATCCTCATGCTAGAGAGAACATATATGCTTTTTGGAGACATGAAAATGGTTTGAATTCTGGATATGACACTTACTAACCTATGACAGGAGAACACAGGAAACCTCTCAGTTCAGCTACAGAGTGTAGGATAATGTAGATAAAAGATCATAGCACAGAGTAGGTTTTTCAGACTTTAGCATCTAGTTGGTAGTTAGTAAAGACAGTAAGATTAGAGACAAGATAGGTCAAATTTAAATAATGTAAAAATTCAATATTTATTAACTGCACATTTTTTTGAGTGTTTCTGGGTGTTGACCACATGTGAGATCCAGAATTCAATTCAGGTTCTATGGACTTGTCACTGTCATGTGCTTATAACTCCACTAAAACTAAAAAGTAGATGAAGTTATCCTTTGGCATTATCAAGTTAACTTAACCCCATCCAAACATCTAGAAACAGCACTCCTCACTAGCCACTGCCTTTCCTGATGGGAGCCTCCTTGGTGTCACGCACCTGTGTCATACATAGATAACACTCTCATTCCTAGTCATTGATTTTCCTTTGACTTCCATGACAATCTCTTACTCAAAAAGCACTACTGGCAGAAATGCTTGATCTTTCCTTCTGTTAGTAGATGAAGGCTCTGAGATGAGAAAGTTAAACTTTTATTGCCTCCTCCAAAAATGTTTCTGTTCATCAGCTTCCCTCACTCCTGGCCCTTTTAGTTACCAAAGCTAACTTTGGTAACAAAAGTTACCTCTACCTGTAACCTTAATGCAAGTCTTTAAGCTTCATGTGGCACTTAAAACCAATCTATCTCTCTCTCATCTGTGCCTGGACTTTCTCCCTTGTTAGAAATTTTCTCATCAGTTTTAGGAAATATTCAGGTTTTTCTTGTTTTGAAACAAACATATCCACTTGGGCCCCCCATTCCTATGTATTGAATGACACTTCTCACTCTCTTTCTCCTCCCATCAAAACATCTAAAAAGAGAACTTCTCACTAGCCACGCCTTTCCTGATGGAAACCTCCTTGGTGTCACACACCTGTGCCACAAGTAGGTCACACTCTCATTTTTAGTCATTGATTTTCCTCTGACTTCCATGACAATCTCTTAGTCAAAAGACCTTCAGTCCTCATCAGAGCCTGATGAATTGAGTCTAAATTACATAGTCTGCCTCCTGTATTCTTCCTAACTTTCAGAATGCTTCTCCTCACATCTTTTCTGCCATTTCCAGGTCCCACTCCTTCAACCTCTCTGCTCCTCCAAAGGCTGCATTCCCATCTCTCATCTTCTGTATCTATGCATTCCACCTTGAGAGCCACCCCTCATTCCTTATGCTTCAGCCTCCCACCCTCTGCTGTTTATCCACAAATGTCCAGGTCTAGCCAATTCCCTCTCCTGAGTTTCAGATTCTGCAGTGCCCACTATCTGCTGTGGAGCTCTATTCAATTATCTGTTGTAATTTCAATACACCTAGAAATCAGTTCTTCATGTCTCTTCCAAAAATAGCTCTTTCTCTGGGCCTTACAATTGCCAGAAATGGCACCATTGTCCTGGTAGGCACCTAGATTCTCCAGCTGATGGACTGTGGAGGCCTCTCTCCTCCTTGGTCCTCACGCTTATTTCTGTGCTTAGTTTTTTCAACACTGCCTTTACAGCACTTCTTAGGAAGCCTCACCCCCACCTGCCTGGGTTTCCACTGCCCCTTCCCCAGTTCGGTGCTTCTTGCCGCTTGCTTGAATTGTCTCAATAGTGTGATTTAAGAATCAGTGGTCCACAACCTTTTTGGCACCAGGGACCACTTTTGTGGAAGACGATTTATTCATGGACCTGGGTGAGGAGTGGGGCTCAGGATGATTGAAAGGCATTACATTTATTGTGCACTTTATTTCTATTATTGCATTTCAATTTATAATGAAATAATTATACAACTCACTATAATGTGGAATCGGTGGAAACCCTAAACTTGTTTTCTCGCAACTAGATAGTCCCATCTGGGGGTGATAGGACAGAGTAACAGATCATCAGGCTTTAAATTCTCATAAGGAGGGCACAACCTAGATCTCTCACATATGCAGTTCACAATAGGGTTCCTGCTGGTATGAGATTCTAATGGAGGCAGAACTGACAGGAGGCAGAGCTCAGGCGGTAATGTAAGACTGAAATGGGGAGCTACTGTAAATACAGATGAAACTTTACTTGCTGGCCCATGGCTTACCTCCTGTTGTGCAGCCTAGTTCCTAATGGGCCACAGACCAGTAGGAACCTGATCAGTATGGCTTTGGGCAAGTCACATCACCTCTATGAAACTCAGCTTTGTCATCTGTCAAATGGAGAGGTTGATTGTGACGATTTCTAAGTTGCTGAACTGCTCTGATCTAGCTGAATTTCACTTACTTCCAGCAAATCTCAGTAATGGTCAGAATATCTGTAGGCTATATTTTCAACAGAAGGCTATATGAACACTATGGGGTTCGAGTCCATGGCCCAGGAGTTTGGAAACTGCTGTCTTAAATGATCTCCCTATCTTTAGTCTCTTACCCTCCCCAACCTTCATCCCACATAGTTGCCAATTTGTATTGCTGAGGCTCAAACATCACTCAGCTCCCGAAAATGCTACTGAATAAGTATCAGCTCTTTATCCTCTTGTTCAAATATCTTCATACTCCTTCCCAACCCAGCTGTCCCCATGTGTTAAGTGGCTAATACATAGGCACTGTGCTGACTGATATATGCTTCTGTGTGTGTATGTGTGTGTGCACCTGTGTGTGATGATTACATTGTCTGATGAATAGTAAGTGCTCATCCCATTGTAGGTTCTCAAAAAATAGTAGCTGTTTTCATTATTACATTGAGATCCTTGAGTATCAATTTCCTGTTTCTTTATATAGCAAGGGGCAATCATGTATAATTCAGTGAAGTATTGTGAGGATCAAACTAAATCATATATTGATAACGCTTCGCACAATATTTACTCAGCATATGGTAGGCACTCCGTTGATAGTCCCCTTTCCTCTCCCATGACCCTGGGCCTGGTTAGCTATTTTCTAATGCTTTAAAACTGAACTGGAGACTCATACATTCATTCAAGTGTTTATTAAGTTATTACAATATCAAACAATGCACTGTTAAAACCACACAGAATGGGACAGAGAGCAAATGCTGTAGAACTGCAGTAAAAATGATAGCTTGAGCATAGAGTGAACTTAAAGTTGATATGACAGTCAAGCAGACTTAGAGTAGAAGTAAAATATACACAAAGCCTGAAGCAAATCAATTTGACGTTATTTATATGAAAGAAAACTGTGTTACCTTTTCTGACCAGAGTAGAAAGTTTCATTTTGATCTGTTTCCATTTATTTGTTTTTATTAAGAGAAGGTGTTTAAGCCTTCTTGCCGATAATTCTAACTAGCACTTATTGATCGTTTATGAAATAATGTCATATGTGTTATACATTTATCCTGGACCCATGAGGTAGGAAATTTCACAAATGAAAAATGGAGAAACAAAGAGCTCATTTACATGCCCAGGACACACAGCTAAGAAAGGATAATGCTGGCACCTACTAAGATGACAGACACCAAGATCTCTGAAACTACTACACAAATATTTTTGTATTATTCAGATTACATATGTGCATATCTATTTTATATATATAAATGAATCTATGTATCTATGTGTATATACATATGAGCGTATATGTACACATGCACATATATACATATGTTGTTTAGGACAAACTTTGGCACATGGGAAATGCTGTTCACTAGATATTTCCATCTCTCCCCCCTTCAGACACATGGAAGAACTACACTTCTCTGCACTTCCATTTAGAGGTGATCATGGGACAGCCTTCAGTGAATAAAATGTGAGTGAAATTGACACATATCCATTAGATTCTCGTAAGAAGTGCCTGATGTAGCTGCAACATGTCAATTTCAGATGGAAGCTTTGAGGGCTGGCACCTCCTTCAGTCTTGTTGCTTTTCTTATGCCATGAAGACCAACAATAATCTAGACCATGGCTGTTTCACCTGTCTTGGTACTAAGAGGTGGCCTGATGGAGCAGAATCCCCAGGAAACCCTGGGTCGACAAGAACCATGAGTGAGAAATACACCATTGCTGTTTGGAGCACTAAGATGTTGGAATTCTTTGTTATTGCAGCATAAGCTAGCTTCTCTTGACCAACATTGTGTGGTGATAGTTGTGGCTGTTGTTGTTACATTATGCCATCTCAACTAGCGTTTGTAAAAAGAAAGCAGAGATGCCCAGGTTGAGCCTGCAATGTAGCATATATTGAAAGTTCATTCTACAGATTATGAGGTGCAACTCATATTGCCTTTATCATACTCACTTGGATATGCTGGTGACTTTAAGTCAATCCTGGGAGGAGAAAGGAGAAGGGATGCAGGCAAAACTAAGGCTATTTAATCGCACTTACTAATTTCAAGGTAAAAGTTGGGTTTATAGCATTATAAAATGAAAAAGTACTCCCTTGCCTAACTCCTTAGGAGACAGGCCTAAATGTCATTCTTGGTTTATTTCTCTGGGGAATTAACTGCTTGGATTCCTTCAAAGTTTAATTAAATTGTCACATAACACATAAAATAGCAAATAAAACAGGCTTTTCCTGTGTCCTGGTGTTAATTTTATGTCATCAAAATTGTTCAGCTTGTTAGCTGCCTAACTCGGGCTGCCCTAGTTACCAATTAAGGGTTCTGTGTGAATGCTTTTCCCCCATTTAAACACCAGCTCTGCCTGCACACTAGTTAAACTTTTCATTTCCTTGGGGTTGCAACTACTAATTTTCTAATAGGTTCTTGGTCATTTAAGTTTTATGCTGTGCAGTTTTTTTTAGCGAAAGAACATCTGAGAAGTTTGGCTCAGGGAAAAACTGTCAACAAGCTGAAGTGTCTGTGGCAAAAGACTTTACATATTATCAGCTCTAACCTGCTTATTGTGTAGATGAAGAAACTGAGGCTAAGAGGAATGGTCTGAGCTGCCAAAAGCCATGATGAATAAATGGCAAGGACGGAGTTATAATCCAGGAAAGTGGATTCTAAGGACCATGCTCCTGTGAATATACACAGCTTGTGTTTTGTTCGATACCCTCTTCTCTATTCAGTGATATTTCCTAACTGAGGGTCTCATCATCTCTTATGCTAGTGATGTCACAATCTTTTTTATTAGCCTTCCTGGATATACAAACACCTTAGGTAGGAACTCTTATCTACTTCCTATCCATCCTCTATCTTCCCTTCCCCACAGCTCAGTTTCCATAAGAACAAGAAGCTTTCTATTCGTTGGTAGGCTATTAATTATTGCCTCTATTTCAGATTAACCAAATATATGGACTGCTAGCCAGACTAATAATAAAGAAGAAAGGAGAGAAGAATCAAATAGACGCAGTAAAAAATGATGAAGGGGATATCACCACTGATCCCACAGAAATACAAACTACCATCAGAGAATACTACAAACACCTCTGTGCAAATAAACTAGAAAATCTAGAAGAAATGGATAAATTCCTGGACACATACACCCTTCCAAGACTAAACCAGGAAGAAGTTGAATCCCTGAAGAGACCAATAACAAGTTTTGAAATTGAGGCAGTAATTAATAGCCTACCAACCAAAAAAAGCCCAGGACCAGACAGGTTCACAGCCGAATTCTACCAGAGGTACAAAGAGGAGCTGGTACCATTTCTTCTGAAACTATTCCAGACAATGGAAAAAGAGGGACTCCTCTCTAACTATTTCATGAGGCCAGCATCATCCTGATACCAAAACCTGGCAGAGACACAACAACAAAAAAAGAAAATTTTAGACCAATATTCCTGATGAACATAAATGCGAAAATCCTCAATAAAATACTGGCAATCTGAATTCAGCAGCACATCAAAAAGCTTATCTACCGTGATCAAGTAGGCTTCATCACTGGGATGCAAGGCTGGTTCAACATATGGAAATCAATAAACGTAATCGATCACATAAACAGAACCAATGACAAAAACTACATGATTATCTCAATAGATTCAGAAAAGGCACTTGATAAAGTAAAATTCAACAACTCTTCATGCTAAATCTCTCAACAAACTAGGTATTGATGGATTGTATCTCAAAATAATAAAAGCTATTTATGACAAACCCACAGCCGATATCACACGGAATGGGCAAAAGCTGGAAGCAGTCCCTTTGAAAACCGGCACAAGACAAGGCTGTGCCCTCTCTCATCGCTCCTATTCAGCATAGTATTGGAAGTTCTGGCCAGGGCAATCAGGCAAGAGAAAGAAATAAAGGGTATTCAAATAGGAAAAGAGGAAGTCAAATTGTTTCTGTTTGCAGATGAAATGATCGTGTATTTAGAAAACCCCATCGTCTCAGCCCATAATATCTTTAAGCTGATAAGCAACTTCAGCAAAGTCTTAGGATACAAAATCAATGTGCAAAAATCACAAACATTCCTATATGCCAATAATAGACAAACAGAGAGCCAAATCATGAGTGAATTCCCAGTCACAATTGCTACAAAGAGAATAAAATGCCTAGGAATACAACTTACAAGGGATGTGAAGGACCTCTTCAAGGAGAACTACAAACCACTGCTCAAGGAAATAAGAGAGGACATAAACCAATGGAAAAACATTCCATGCTTATAGGTAGGAAGAATCAATATCATAAAAATGGCCACACTGTCCAAAGTAATTTATAGATTCGGTGCTATCCCCATCAATCTACCATTGACTTTCCTCATGGAATTAGAAAAAACTACTTTAAATTCCATAGGGAACCAAAAAAGAGCCCATATAGCCAAGACCATCCTAAGCAAAAACAACAAAGCTGGAGGCATCATGCTACCTGACTTCAAACTATTCTATAACGCTATCGTAACCAGAACAGCATGGTACTGTTACCAAAACCGACATATAGACCAATGGAACAGAACAGAGGCCTCAGAAATAATGCCACACAAGTGATTTTATATTCCTCTTTTACTTTCTCCCTTTTTAATTAACACTATTTGTTAATTTTTGTATATTTAATTAACACTATTTTAGAAACAAATAGCACCTCTTCCTCCCCCCTTCTATTTTCTGAGATTAGGGTCAAACTATACCCTGGACCTGAATGGCCTGGCTTGTCATTTTAATTTAGTCAGTATTACACATAGATAGTGTAGGATACACCTGAGTGTGATAATGTTATTGTTTATTTGTGTTTTTGAACAGAAAAAAATATACTTTGATTATCATAAATTCATGCATAGCATCATAAATCCACTCATTTATTTTATTTGACAAACGTTTAGTAAGCACCTACTTCATTTCAAGCCTTCTCTATTCCTTAAGGATTTTAAGATGATTAAGATATATCCCTGCTCCTAAAAAGTTAACAAATTAGAAGAGACAGAACGTAGATAAGTATAATATAATGTAACAAAGTGAATGAGATTCAATAGGGCCAGAGTGTAAAAGAGAGTTTCAGCTTCTTTAGAGTAGGTAAGAATTTTCAGAGAAACTAAACTCAACCTGGTCCTTAAAAGATGAGTAACAACTTGCTAAGTGAAGAGGAGATGACATCTGAGCCCTGTGAATGCTAGCGGGGACAATAGCTGGGAGCTAGGAGAAAAGTGGTGGTTAGCTATTCTCTAGTGCTTTAAAATTGAACTGAAGACTCATACATTCATTCAAGTGTTTATTAGATTATTACAATATCAAACAATGCACTATTAAAACCACACATAATGGGACAGAGAGTAAATGCTATAGAACTGCAGCAAAAATGATAGCTTGAGCATAGGGTGAACTTAACGTTAACTGGCTAATTTAAAGGCTTCCACTTTTTGTTGGGGCCCAGAGTTAGAAAGGCCTCTATAAGAGGTCCAAAAACCAGTGCAAACCTCTGATGACATGAGCTTTATGACCTGGTGGATTCCATGGTGTTGAGATATTAGTAGATTACAATAGTGTGAGGGGTCTTCAACAAGCCTATTGGGAAAGTCACAGTGCAGACCTAGAATTCTAAAGCAATGCCATCACCTCTGCAGAAGAGAAATACTCTCCATTTGAAAATCAGCTTCTGGCAGTGGAAACAGCATATGAACAAAAACACCAAGTATTTATGCTACTGATGTCTCTTCTTTATCTCACCATGGCCTAATAAGAGAAAGTGGGATATTTCGTATCATCAATTGACAGATAAGAAATAATTTAGCTGCTTCATTAAGCCACACTTTCGGGTTCTGAAAAGCTATATAGGAGAGGTAGATAGGCAGATATATGACCATTGGAAGGCTGTCCACTTGACATGCAGGAAGGGGTGAACTGAGATACGGATATACATTGACTTTTGGGCAGTGGTGAATCACTTGATCAGTTGGTCAAGAGTTTGGTAGACACATGAATAGACAATTTGGGGGAAAAATCTGAGTAAGATGTATAGAAGCAGATCAATAGGACTGACTACAAAGATGTGGATCTTTATGTTTCAAAGTATGCTCACCACAGAGGTTATACCACACAGTAGATACTGAATAGTCAAGTGAAGAGAATAACCCAACCTGTGGATGAGGGCCAGCCTTTTCTATCAGCCACCCCAGTGTGTGTTCATTGCACCCATGAGCTTGTTGTATATGATGGTACAGATAGAATTTATACAAACTTAACAACATGGGTCTTCTTTATCTGGGATGATAGCCATTGGCACTACTGGGTGTCCAACATCCTCAGCAGAGACCAACGTGTCTACTTGGCATCATTCCTCAGGGTGACTAGTGAGCTGCTGAATGGGACATTGACTATGTCAAACATGCTTCACCATGAGGAGGCAGTGTAATCGATACCCACTTCGGACATTAGTTGTCCTTCCCTGACTACATTGCTTCCTCTAGCACTATCATCTAAGGACTTATAAAATGCCTGATCCATATTATCCAACGCAATATTGCCTCATGTGAAAGGAGTAACTTCCTAAACCAGGAAGATGTTGGATCCCTGAAGAGACCAATAAAAAGTTTTGAAATTGAGGCAGTAATTAATAGCCTACCAACCAAAAAAAGCCCAGGACCAGACAGGTTCACAGCCGAATTCTACCAGAGGTACAAAGAGGAGCTGGTACCATTCCTTCTGAAACTATTCTAAACAATACAAAAGAGGGAATCCTCCCTACTCATTTTATGAGGCCAGCATCGTCCTGATACCAAAACCTGGCAGAGACACAACAAAAAAAGAAAATTTTAGACCAATATCCCTGATGAACATCGATGCGAAAATCCTCAATAAAGTACTGGCAAACCGAATCCAGCAGCACATCAAAAAGCTTACAATGGGTTCAGAACCATGAGACCTGTAGGTCTAACCATGTGTCTTATTATTCAGAAGTAGGCAGTCTGGAGGAATCATGGCTTAAAGCTTAAAGGCTCGCTAAGACACCTTCCAACCTAACAATAGTGAGTTTAAACACTGACTTTCAGAACATCTCACTAAACCAAGAGTCAGCAAACTACAAACTACATGGCAAGTAAGGCCTAAAGTCTATTTTTGTAAATAAAAGTATATTGGAACACAGCTATGTCCATTTGTTTACATATTATCAATGGCTACTTTACCACTAAATGGGCAGAGTTCTGTAGCTCCAACAGAGATGGTATGGTTCATGAAGCTCAAACTATCTAGTATCAGTATCATGCCCTTTACAGAAAAAATATATATATTTATTTCTGCATCCATTTAATGGCTGTTACATGATGCTATGTCCTCAATAACTAGAATAAATTAGAATAAATGGGTATAGGAACCATGGGTGTCCTTTGACACTCTTGGCTACTATAAGCATCAATTGAAGTAGTTATAACCTGCTCAAAGACTAGGAATTAGGGGATTAAACTTCTCTGGGATGAACATCTGGGTCACTAGGCAAGCAATCCAGAACAGACAAGGGGCTGTCCAAGGATAAGGAAAATCTTGAAAGGGTCATAGAAGAGAGAGATGATGAATATCAACTATGGCTCCAAGATCAGCTGTTAGGACATGAGCTTACAGGGGCTAGTGTCCTAAACCTGGGGAGTAGGTACAGTCCCTGGGTTTGCTAATCCTAATTAAGTATTTTGAGGAGATTGCTAGGGCTACCACCTCGAAGAATGAAAGAAATAAATGCATGTTGTTCTAGTATCACAGAGTGAGATGCACATAGCATAAGATAGTGAGGGCCTAGAAAGTAGATTTGCATGTACTTCCTCAGATTTTATGAGGCCCACCTGCACCCCAGGTATAGGACACTAGCCCCTATAAATTCATGTCCTAACACTGCTGGCTGTTTCATCCTTCCCAGGCAGAACACTGGGCTTTAGCATGTCCTTTGACATTCCTGCCACTGTATCCCCAACAGCCAGGTCCAACCCAGCTGGACCCACAGATGCTTTGACTCTCCCTGCCTTTTCTGATTTTAGATGAAAGACCTCACCATGAGACATGGGCCTGGCTTTGTCAGCAGCTACTTAGAGAGGTTAGGCAATACCATCTGGAAGTACAGATGAGCTAACACCCTGCGGACCGGTAAAAGACAGAAGATGGGAAGTTACTGAGAAATAAACACCCCTTTCTCCTTGCCTGGACTGACAGCTCCGAGGTTCAGTGCTGTCACTTAGCTTGTCTGAAGCTGTCCCTTGTGCCAATCATGCAGTTGTGCTTCCTGTAAAACTGACCAGCTCCGTAACCTATCTCCTTGTATTTTCTTCCCCTCCTTTGGAGTTCTCACTTTCCCTTTCCCTTGCTGCCCTGGGATTGCACGTCCCAATAAAGCATTAACAGGCTATATTTAGCTCAATTTTTGTTTTCTAGCAGAAAAATAATTAAAACAACCTGCTTGAATATTAATCTTGAGTGAGGCTTAGCCAAATAGAATAATCAGAGAGATTATTCAACATGTTTCACCTCGAAGGCATCCAAGTATTCTTCATTTCAAATTACTGAGACTTGATTAAGCAGAAATAAAATGAAATTTGAGATCAGACATTCCTGATTTCAACACTTGGATCTGCCATTTCTTGGCCTGGCCAAGTCTTTTATCCTCTCTGAACATCAGGTTTTTTTATTTAAAAATTGGAAACAATCATATCTTTTTTATTGGGCAATTTTTCAAAAGTAGCAAGACAGCATATAAAGAACCAGTATATCATTTAGCATGTGATATACAGTCAGTGGGGTCCCAACTCCCAGGTATCGTGAAAGCTGTGGATATCCTAACATCAGAATCTCTAGCTTCCTTCTGTTTAAGTTCTAGACAGGAGAACCATACATTAGAGGGGACACGTGGTGTCTGCCAGGGACAATACATTTTAGGAGTGGCATCCACATGGAAAGGGATTGACATTTCAGGCACCCAAGTGGTCCATTCTCTCCCAAATGCCTGATACCTCTTAGAGACCTTATTTCATTCATCAGGACTGTCTTGCTGGGGGACATCTCCCATGTGCTGCATCTACCTCTGCTCTCCTTTTGTAAGACAAATGAGTAAATATAACTCATAACCACTTTTAGCTGTACAGAAAAAGTAGTTAGGTATTTAATTTGGCAATCCTGCCCAATGAACTTCTCCTAAATCTTAGGATCAAGCTCTGTGAATAAATTATCATTTCCAACCTTCTGTGTAGGATATTCTTTTCCATTGATTCCAGGAATATATCTACATAAATATGAATATCAACATGCAAATTAATGGAAATGAGGCCCAAATGGGGCTAAATATAGGGTTGTAAAAGAAAATTAACTTGTATATGTGAGCATATAAATGCTCTATATGAAAAAGGCATTTAGTTATTGTTCTCTACATTCATGAAATCTACTCAGAAGAAAATTACCTACAAGAGAGATCTTAATTAAACATGAAGTAGAACTACTTGGTTTTCTCAGAATAGGGAGGTAAATGAAAATCTAGAATGGGGTTCTAAGGAAGAGTATGACATCTCTGTCCAGTCCATTTTCACCAGAACATAGAAAATGTCTGGACATCCATATGCCTGGAGGCATGAAGATAGAAAAGATGGCTTCAATTCTCAAGATGTCAAGGCAGGGAAAGAGCTGAGTACTTATGAATTCCAAGCCTTCCCTCTACCCTATTTTATGTGTAAGAAAATAAGGCCCAGAGAAGTTAAGTGGGTATCCTGGGTGGATAGAGCTAGTCAATTTAAGTAGGAAAAGAACTGTAGTGAAACTCACTTGGGGCAGCTGAAAGGTTACTAAAAGGTCTGTGAGCAAGGAGCATTGCAGGCGAAAGGCACAGAGGGTTTCCAGTCAAAGATGTCTCCACACTTTACCCCTCAGGACTCATGCTGTTCCCATGCTGCTGGAATGTTTTGGTAAAAGATAAAACCTGGGGAAAAGCAAGGAAAGAGATGTGGATGGGAGCACAGGGAAGCAAGGGTGAGTGAGAACTCTGTGGGCCAGAGAGGCCCCCTGACAAGTCTGCCCTAGACTGGCCTCATCAGAGAGGTGTGATCACCAGCATTCACTCCAGTCCAGGCCAATTCTAGCCCTGTGGGCATCACCCCATCAAATTCAAACCCAGGTCCTGGAGCTTGCCTTACCAGGACACTGCTTCTACTGCATCACACCTAGAACAACCATAACCCCATAAGAGGAAGGTCAGAGAAATGCACAAACATTTGCCTTATCTCCCCTCTGAGGTGGGAAGTTATTTCTGGAGAGAGGGCAAGGAGCTGTGTCTTACTCACCTAAGTGAGCCCCTTAGTAAGGCTTAATATAGAGCCTTGTTTGTGGTGGATGCTTAAACAAATGCCCCCACACATCTTACTAACTCATTCAGCCTTTACCATGCTTCCTTGGCATGACCAACAAACCTGAAGCAGCATCTTTCAGCAGTAAACACTCAGGTGCCTTACTAGACTTCCTGCCACCAGGGAGCTGGAGTAATTCCCTGTGGCCCCATTCCAACAGGAAGAGCCACTTCACTTCCGAGCTCCTTTCTTTGTTGTTTGTCTCTACCCACCAATCAGCTATAAATTTTCAATAGCCTCTGAATTCCATTGCTTTCCCTTTTAAGAAGCAAAGCATAGCTAAACTCATCTGGACCTTAGATTGGGTCTGCCTTTTCTAAGATGAAAAAGCCAATCATTTAAAGAAGTGAAACAAAAGATCCAGGCAGAGAGTGAGGGAGGATGTGAAGAACACATCCATGGTGCACAGCAATAAACAAGCTTAACAGAGACCTTGCCTGTCCCTTCTGTGTGTCAAGGAGAAAGTGCTCCAGTTTATACATATTCTGGATGGACACAGAAGAGTGAGAAGAGTTTATTAGAAAGACGCTAGAGAGGAGAAGGAAGGTAAGGCAGGCCGAGAAGAGGGAATCGCAAGAGCATGTTGGTATACAGGACGGGCCCTGTTTGGAGAGTCCAACACAACCTCCTGATAGAGTTTGCCTGGATCACATCTTTCAAAGGACTTCTCAGAATTGTGGTATCTGAGCCAGGTGGCCAAAGAGAGATGACTGGGTTACAGAGGGTCCTGCATCCTTCCCCCTTTCACTTACAAGGAACCAGGAACAAAAGAGCACCTTTGCTGGCCCAAGGAAATAAGCTCTGCCTAGGTCCACTTACTTTCCATTGGGTACAAGAGGGAGGAAGAGAAGAAAAGAGAAAAATATGGGCTCTTGCCCTTACAATGGAGAATCCCTGCCCCTGATCCAAGATTATCCAATGTTTGTCTTGGCTTCTAACTAATCGGATATTTCTTCTTCACTTGCTGAGTGTGGTTTGCCCAGAAGTGGTGGGTAGAGTCCTGGCAGGAGCAGACGGCTGACAGCCCACCTCCCCCACCCTTGGTATCCAATATGAACATTTGTCTACTTAGCAATAATAAAGCAAAATGATAGAAATAATAGTGAACATTTACTAAAGCAGCATTGAGGCATGCATTGAAAAGTATCTAGCATATAATACCTACTTCACATGCATTTTAGTAATTATAAAACCCCATGAGGTCTGCATTACTAATATCATCTTTGTTTTATGGATAAGGAAATTGACACATAGCTCTGTGATCTGTGATGCAGAGAAATACAGAATGTCCTGGAAGACCAAGAAGGTGGGGAAGGAGGAGGCTCATATGACCTAATTTGATGGGAACAGATAAATATAATATAAACAATGATCTTGGAGTCATCCTTGACTCCTCTGTCTCTCATTTTCCATTTTCAATTTATGAGAAAATCCTTTCAGCTCTACCTTCAATGTATTTCTACATTCTGACCACTGTTCACTACTTTCACTGTTATTGCTCTGGTCCAAGTCACCATCCTCTCTCTCTAGATCTGCAGTAGCCTCCTAATTGGTCTCTCTGCTTCCACTCTTGCTCCTCTTTAAACTCTTCTCAACACAGCAGGCAGATCCAGCCTGTGAAAATCTAAGGCAGTTCAGACTATTCTGCACAGATCCCTCCAATGGCTTCCTGTCTCACCCAGAGTAAAATCAGTCCTCAAAATGACCGAAAGTTCTGTGCAAAATCTAACCTCCATATTTCTATTTTCTATTTTTCTGTCCTTTCGTTGCTTTTCTTCAGATACACTGGCCTCCTCTTTGTCCCATGAATAGACCAGACACACCCCTCCCTCGGAGCCCTTGCATGGCTTGTTCCCCTTCCCAGGAATGTTCCACCCACAAACACGCCTAAGCTTTGCTGCCTTCCAGTCTTTTCCAGAAAGTCCTCTACCAGTGAGGCTCTCTCTGGGACATGCTGTTTACATTTCACAGCTAATTTTTCTCCTTAGTGCCAATGACAATTTTTACCATATTTCATCATTTCTAAGATTTTTTTTTCATATACTCACATTTTTGAAATCAAGATCTATCTTAGAGTTGATGATGTGTCCTGACTTGTGTTCCCCTAAGGGCAGGCTTGGGTCTGGAGCACTAAATACCAACCCTCATATTCCAGTCATTAAACCCACTACGATTTGTGGTTATGTGTTTGCTCTGGGGTGGGCAGCCAGGCAGATCAAAAGACACCATGGTGTATACAGGAGGTAGGACACAGCAGCACTGAAACCACAAGCATCAACTTTAGCTGGCACATATTTGCTTTGTTTATCATTAAATTTCTTTCTCAGTGGCCCAAAAAATTGTAGCACATCTTACAATCACTGATATCTTTGACTTGATGAAAGATGATAATGTTCTCACTTACTGTGTTTCTCTACCCCTAGAAACTAGTCTTCATGACAGCACATAGTTCTCCAAAATGAATAAAAGCAGAGGAAGCTACCCTTTCTAGATATGCCTGGTACACAGTAGGACTTTAGTTCATCACTGTTGAACAAATGAAGCAAGCGAATAAATACTAAATGCAGATGCAGTAAAATAAATTATCATGAGGTTCTTCCCTTGAAGTTACAACCACAGGCAAGTTTAAAATCATTTTTCAGGATTGTCCAAGTGGCTTTGTGGCCAGAGCTGATTTTCTTGATGTGATTAGTGATATTGGTCTCCAGAAAAGTTCTAACACTCTTAACCCTATGTCTTCCCAAGAAGGAGTTTAGGATATAATCAAAGCCAAGGATGCCACTATGGTACCATGCTGTGGAGTGTGGGTGGCTGGCAAGATTTCTGGGATAGGAGTGGAAGAAAGGCTTTTGGAGTAAGGAGCAAGAGTCAGATGAAGGCACCTGCCTCTGTGTGGTGTATTCTTGCCTTAGAAAGCCTTATGTTCCTTTGAGATGCATTTTTCTTTCTTCTTCCACACTGGGCACTACTGCAGCAGGAAGATCCAGTAGGAGGAGGAGGCCAACTCACCCCTGAAAGGCTGAGCAAGAAAAAAAAAGCCTGGGATAGTAGGCAGCCCCTCAGCTGGCTTATATGATCTTTGGTGTCTTCTGTGGTCTAAGAAAGAAATAGCCCCTTTCCTTGGGGAGCTGGGTTTGGTCACACGAGTTATAGCTATTTCTTCTGATCCAACCCAGCCTCCCAGCACTGGGATTCCCTACAGAGATTACACACCAAAGCGAAATAGTCATAAATGGTGATTTTCTTTTCTTCAGAAAGTCCCCTGCAGTTACTTTCCATATGATAGTTTACATAAATTGGCAGCTGCATGGAGAGAAGGCAGTTTGACATTGCTTGAATATATTTTTCTCTCATTCCAAGGAAACTCTACAAACTCAATATTTATAAAGGAGCAGTAATGTAATTGTGTGTCTAAAGAGCTCCTATCATCTAGATTTCTGTATCTTCAAAATTTATTATGGTGCTACACAAATAATTGATACTCAAAAAATTTGCAAGAGAAAGTAAACTTTAATAATAGGTAAGCCAATACTCACCGAGAGTTTGCCTTGAGGTTTTTTCCCCACCACTTTAAATCAAAAAATTAATAAGCATAACATGGTTCTGTTTAACAGTGGGCAAGTCACTTCTCCTTCTAGACTTCTGTTCTCCCATCTATAAGAATGAAGCATGAGCCATACGATCCTTAATACTCTCCTACCTCTAATGTTTAATAGATCAATGGGATTCAATTTGCCAGACTTCCAATCATTGTTTGTTTTCTCCAGTAACAAACTCAATGGGCCAATGCTGTATCATGTACAATGGACTCAGAGCTGTCAATATATACCCAAATGTGAGAAGAAGTGTTTTGGAAAAGAGAAAACTTTCCAGAAATCCCCATTTGTCTTTGGCTAGGCATTTTTACTCCCCAAAGAACTCTTGTGTTTTTGAAATACCTAAATGAAACACTGCAATATTCTTTAATCTTTTAGCTTTCAGAGGCAAGAAGAATTTCCCTCCTCCTCCAAAGGTTCCAGTCTGCATCTGTTGAAATAAGTTGACAATAGACAGATGAACAGGAAAAAGGTACATAAATTTATTAATGTATACATAGACACAGGAGTCCTGCAAATATGAGATTCAAGGAAGAGCCAGAGGACTGAGGTTTCTATACCATCCTGGGATTACATAAAGAATGGGGCTTCAGGGCTTCTCAGGGGAAGTAGCATCACAGGCTATGAAAGACTCAGGGGAGGAAAGCATGGTGAGCTAAGGCTGTCTTATTAGAAAGATAAGAATCTCTCAGGTAGCTGCTCTCAGAAAGAATAGATGGTACCTGGTGATAAAATGTTTCTCTGTCAAATCTCTAAAAGCATCATACTTCTATCACCTTTTCCTGTGAGTTAAGTTCTTCCTAGATCGGGATAAAACAGATAGGGAGCTTCACAGAGAGCCTGTTTTCATTGCTGTTTACATCACTGTTTATTTCACTAAGGTAGATTTGCTCCACAGATATAAATCTCTCCCACAAAGGACAGCTTTTCAGACCTATTTCTGGGTCTGCAGCCCCTCTTAATCCATATAGAAATATGCCAAGGAAGATTATTTGGGGGTGCCATGTTTTGGTTTCCTTCAAGCTCTTTGGCCAATTACATAAACACAAACAGCTTTAAGCTCTTTAGTCTATTACCCAACCGCCAACTGCTTTACTCAATGTGCTGATTGGTGGTGTCTATACAGTGAAGAGAAAGTGGATGAGCTGTCCTGCAGCAAACTCACTATTGCTTTTGTCTGTCCAGGTTCCCTCTGTTCTGATGCAAAGCTCCTTCTGTTTCAGGACGTCGCTTCTACAACTCCCCTGTACCCACAGCATGCAACCACAACTCTTCGACTTGCATGAAATGCCCCTAGTCCTCTGGCCTAAACTTAATCACCCTGACCTCACTTTACTGCCTCCGCATACTTAATGCTTCAGCTAAACTCCCTTTCTGAAAACAAACACAAAAAGAATGACTCGTTCTGCAATTGACTGGATATGAGAGGTTAAGGGGATGGGAGATTCAGAACTGACTCCTAGAGGTGAAGCTAAATGAAGTATATAATCACCATTAATGCAGCACTACTCATGTACAAGGAAGTTAAATGGAGAGAATAACACCTCACCCCTGGAAGTACAAGATAAGATGTGATATATCGTAAACTAAGTAGTTGATTCACATGGAACATATTGAACTAACAATAGTATCTAAAATGTATTGCATGTCAACCACATACCAGGCTCTCGGCTGTCATATTCACACATTTTCTTTGGTATATATTTATCATGTTGCACTACATGATATTTTGAAATGAGTGCAGAGTGCAGCATGGCTAGAGCAAGTTAATTAACATGCATTACCACACACACTTTTTTTGTGATAAGAACACTTATATCTACTGTTTTAGCAATTTTCAAGAATACAACACATTTTTACTAGAGTCACCATGTTGCACAATAGGTCTCTTGAACTTATTCCTACTATCTAACTGGAATTTTGTACCCTTTATGTTAGCTAATTTGATCTCACAACCCTCTAGATGTAGACACTACCATTCTTATTTTATGAAAAGACTTCTAAAGCTCAGACAAGGGTAAGGCTATACAACTTATGAAGCAAAAGATCTGGGATACAAACCTAGGTATAACTTCAATGGTCTTGCTCTTTTCTTCTTATGTCATATTGCCTAAAAATAGGAATTTAAGTAGGGTCTACATGAAACAGAATAGTACATATATACATATATCCAGAACAATGGTGCATACATACGACAGACATACTTTAAATACAGAGACTTAAAGTACCACTGCTAGTGTCTGAAAAGTTAACACCATATTTCCCTCATTGGCATTTCTCAAGGTCAATTATATTTTCCTCATTCGACAGATGAGTAAATCGAGAAAGGTATACTATGATGGTTGATTTGGTCCAATCAACAGATTAGTTTTGTTTGTTTTTGCTTTTGTTATAACCTAACAGCTGCAACTTCATTGGCTGCATATGTATCTCTTTGGAATGCTTTTGTCTGACAGTAATAGAAAACCCAACTTAGAGTGGCTCTGAGCAATAAGGAAGACATTAAATTATCTCATGGAACCAGAAGACCACAGCTTTAGTTCTGGGGCTTAACTGGCACTCTTTCTAATCTTCCTGGTCAGCTACACTCAGGACTTGACCCCTTTTTTTTCATCCTTTTTCATTGCTTTGGGGTCACAGGAGAGCTTCTACAACTCCACATTCATGTTCTTTCAATAGTGTCCCTCTCAGGGTGAAGGGAAGTTGTGCTAAATGCTTTCTCTCAATAGGCTCTGTGTTTTTATTTAGAAATGAAGCTTCTTGTGGGTCTTCGTCCTGTGTCTTATTGGGAAGAATTGGGTTATGTAGTAAACCAAACACTAGAAAAGAATATGAGATTTCCATAGCAGCTTTAGGTCAAAGAAAGTTAATTTTTTTAGGGGATGAGGTGGGGCTTTCTTTCATAAAAACAATCATGCAAATGCCTACCAGTCAGGCTGAGATTAGAACTTGGGTCCCCTAAGTTTCTGTCAAGAATGACTGGAGAATTAGTTCCTGATATCTAAGCCTGACCATGAAGAACGACCAGCAAATCAACCATTCAACTTTGAAGGCTGCTTTCATTATTCAGTAAGGTATATTTTGATGCCCATGTTTTAATGCACAAATAAGAGTGTAATGTTAGTCCCAACATGTTTTCCAAAGCCAAACACTATCAACAGATCTCTCTTCAGATGAAGAGGAAAACAGTTATTTGGAACAAAGCTCTTGGCCTGAATGCCATTTCACACCCAGCCTCAGACAGGCCCAACCACAAACCACTCTATCCAAATGGATCCACACTGGGTGTTGACACAAGAACAGTTGATGTGGAGTGAAGAGCCTGCATCTGGAACCAGGATTGGATTTAAGGCCAGGCTCTGGCACTTACACCCTCTGTGAACCTTAGCTGTTCTGTATGGAGACAGGGAAACCCTTCAGGGCAGGGACTGTGCTATGATCACCCCTCCAGTTTCAGTTCTTACCAAATGGCCAGCACACTGCTGGCACTCAATAAATACATTCATTCACACACTCATTCATTCTTTCATTAGGGCCAAGTCCTATCTAGGTGGTGGAATACAATAATGAATAAAACAGATACATCTCATGTTCTCATAGCCTTAGTCTAGCTAACAAGTGATACAGACAAGGAGATGAACAGGTACAGAAAGGCATGATAGATGTCTCTACAGGATAGAGGGGTGTCCTGTGGGAACACATTGGAGACAGGTTAGAAGGCCATGGCATGCTACTTATGAGATGATGTATAAGCTGGGTTTTGAAGTACAAGTAGAAATTATCCACATGAGGAGGGAAGAGAGAGGAAAAGCACCCCACGGGGATGAAACAGAGACCTGGAAGCAAGAGACAACTATATGTCTTTGAGAAAGTAAGAGTAATTTCAATTGACTGGATTGTAAAGTACACATGAGTTTGCAACTGGCAGTAGGGTGGGGTGGTGATTGGTGTTGGGGTAGTGAGAGTAACAAGAGATGGGGCTGAAGAAGCAGATGAAAGTCAGACCTTAAGTCCTGAAAAAACATTTTGTTCAATATCCCAAATGAATGAAAGGGCTTTAAGCAGATGAATAAAATGATCATATTTGCATTATTTTACATATTGATTTGGCTGCTGTGTAAAGAATGAATCAGAGGAGGCAAAGACTGGTGATACGGAGGTTGATTAAAAGGCTACTAAGATAGGCCAGGCTAGAGATGATAGGATAAAAGTAGACAATGAAAATGGCATTACCTGACCCATCTTTGTCACAGGCATGTTTATTCTTTCATCCCTTTATTCATTGACTAACTCATCCAACTGTAATTAACTAAGCCAGGCACCCTGCTACAGGTATGGGTTGGTCTCCATCACAGCTATCAAGGGTTACAGTCTAGCAGAAAAGACAGACTGGTGAGTCAACCATTACATTGTTGTAATGCTGTAAGAGTAGAGTGGTAATATGGGTGTTTTCTGTTTGTTTTTGTTTATTTACTTTACCTTTTCCCCTTTCTCCTGATAACACAGGCTCTCTTTTTTATGGGAAATCCCATAGAATTCTACACGGTTTGAGCAACCAAGCAAATCTGTTCCCATGACCACACAGACGATTTAAGTTGGGGCATATAAATCTACCAGAGACAGGCAAGACCCCACCATCATATTTAGCATATATGCACCGAGAGAGAGAAGGTCTGTCTACTTTAGAATTTTGACTTGTAAGGAGAATGAAGACAGCATTGCCAAGGGTCATGTTGCCTCCACACTCAAATTGTCTGTTGAAATTAAAGTTGGGGTAAGCAGAGCTGAAAGGTAGAAAGAAAAAGTACACCAATGCCCAGATTATAACATTTAAACCTTCAGATTATCCCCTTCATCTCTTTATCCTAGTTATATGAGCCAACATTCCCCTTTTAGGACTATGCAAGTTTGAACTGGGTTTCTGTTGCTTACATCTAGAAGAATTTGAATATAAATGGACCCATAGGTATACAAAGGATGAGAAGTATAAAGTTGCTTGTGGAAAAAGAATAAGTTTCCCAGAAGAGGTGATCTTGAGCTGAATCTTAAAGCATAAGGTGATAGCATCGTCTAGGTGACAGGAGTAGAAGACAGAGGCATTCCAGGCACAGAGAACTGAATATACAAAACTTGAAGGCATAAAAGACAAGGGAGTGAACAGGGAAGCCTAAGTTTTCTAATATTGTAGAACACATGAATATAAATGGACGAGTGCATATGTGTATTAAGCTGTGGGAGGAGGGGGAGGCTGGAGCCATAGGAAAGAAAGATCCAAAGAAGTCCCCTTTTTCTCCTGTGTACACATCTCCCCAAACTCATATATAACTGGATTAGGGAGAGGATATGTGCTGAGCTGTTCTCTCTGGATGAACTTTAGGATCATCTTGGATCTGTTGCCCTCTTATTTTCACATCAAAATCTGTTTTTGTGTCTCCAAGACTTGTTCATGATAGCCCCTGTTTTCAGTTTTTCTTATTCCTCCTATTCTCTAAAATCCTTTAAGAATTTACACAAACACTACTGCCTTTAAGAAGCCTTCCCTGATTTTTCCAGACAGAATTGTGCCTTTTCCTCTGGGATCCCATACTCTTGGCCTGTGCCTTTGTTAAACGCACATTTCGTTATGTGTCACATGAAACTAATTTTTATATGTTTTCAGTATTGTGGGGTCTTTGAGAGTACAAACCTTGATTTTTCATCTTTGGGGAGCCTAGCATAGTGTCTAGATACTAGAATTGTCAAAGAAGTGCTTTTAAAGGTGATGTAAGTGCTGACAATAAAACTTTAACCAGCTCCAAGAGTTTCAGTTTGAGCTCAACAGCAATACCAACAATGAAAATCCAAAGCCTAAGAATATCGTTTGAACTTTCTGGGTTGGGAGATAGTTATAAATCTTTAACTTCCAAAGCTTTTCATTAAAACTGGAAGAAAATGTGAGACCAGTTGTGCTCACAGTATTTCAGCTTGACAGTTTCTGGGCTTAGCTGGAGTCAATGAATGAACTTAAATAATGGAGAAAACCCACCCACAAGGCCTTTTGAAGCAAAAAGAAGAGAAGTGAGGGAATCTGACCACCTCACTTCTGTGCTTCTGGGACATTTTTCAAAGTGCCAAACAGGTTAAAAGGGAAAAAATCCACTCATCCTATTCCAGATTTGCAAATAATACATGTTGTTATGGCATCATAAGGACAATCATTTGAAAAATTGGTGATTTTTTATCTTTTATACAGATGTCTTAGTGTCAGGCAGATTCAACTTATGGGAGGTCTTTCTGCCAATATGGCTCGTTTACTGACCATTCAGCAGGTGGAAAGCATGAAACAGATTTCTTGGTTGTAAAGGAGTCTGAAAATACACGTACTTAAGCCTGAAAGATTAGAAGATTTGTCCTGTGTCCCTTTTCTGCAAGATGCAAAATCATACAGATTCATTGAGCACCTTGATAATCAACCAGTCCTTCAGGGTGGTCCAAAGGGTAGATACCCCTGAGCTGTAGAAACTGTGCTCACCAGGCCCACCCTTGTGGGCAACTTCCAGAGCTAAGCTAGAGAGGCCAGAGCATCAAACTTTATGAAGTGAAACTCAGAATTTACAAATAAGGTCCATAAAACTTTAACACAAATATAAGCCATGCTTATGTTGCAAAGTTAAGTTTAAAGAAATGACTCAAGTGCACTTAGCATAAGAAACCACCTACACACACAAACACATATATTCATGTGTGCAGATATGTGCCTGTGTGTGTGTGTGTGTGTGTGTATATGTATATATATATTTGCATATTTTGTGGGTGCAGGCTGTGGCCACTGTCACTAGAGAAAGACTCTTGGCACATTTACTGCAGCCTAGGAGCTAGACCACAGCCTTGCTGATCCAGAAGAAAAATATTCTCAATCTACTCAGAGATGGCCAAACCTGAGGGTTAGCCTGACACTAACTAAATTAACAGGGAAATAACAGTGCATTATTCCACAGTAAACATTTTATTTTAGCAGGCAGAATCCTTATGTATCCTACCAAGACATTCTGCTTTCCCAAGCTTGAGATACATGGAAAGCCACTATAATAATCAGAAGGTTGCTGAGTATCTCAGTTAGGACTCTTAGTTGCAAATGGCAGAATTCCTGATCCAAAAGGACTAAAGCAATTGTCTCGTGTAACTAAATATTAATACTTCAGAAGAGTATCTTCAGGCACAACTTGATCAGGTCAGGGCCCAGTCACTTGCTTTCCGTCGCTCAGCTCTGCCTCCCGCTACGTTGGCTCCTTCCTCAGACAAGATCTCTTCCTGGGACATGAGAAGCATGCAGCAGATTCAGATCTTGAATCCTCTCAAATTTAACACTGTGGATAAACAGTGAGCTCCTTTTCCAGAAATCCATCCCAAATTGTGCCTGTGTATCATGTGCCAGACAAGGTAATGAGAGAAAGATGATGCCCAGCTGTGCTTGGTCCCAAGAGTTGGAAAATTAAGTCCCACGAAAACCACTGGAATAAGAATACATTAATATACCACAGGTATACCTCACAGATCTTACAGGCTTGGTTCCAGACCACCACAATAAGGCAAGCCATATAAGTCTTTTGGTTTCCCAGTGCATAGAAAAGATATGTTTATACTATACTTGTAGTCTATTAAGTCTGCAATAGCATTATGTCTAAGAAAAACAATGTGCATACCTTAATTTAAAAATAATATATTGCTAAAAAATACTAATGGTTTTCTGAGCCTTCAGCACATTGTGATCTTTATACTGGTAGAGGGTCTTGCCTTGATGTTGATGGCTGATGACTGATCAGGGTAGTGATTGCTGAAGGTTAGCGTGACTGTGGCAATTTCTTTTTTTTTTTTTTTTTTTTTTTTTTTTTGAGACGGAGTCTTGCTCTGTCGCCCAGGCCGGACTGCGGACTGCAGTGGCGCAATCTCGGCTCACTGCAAGCTCCGCTTCCCGGGTTCACGCCATTCTCCTGCCTCAGCCTCCCGAGTAGCTGGGACTACAGGCGCCCGCCACCGCGCCCGGCTAATTTTTTGTATTTTTAGTAGAGACGGGGTTTCACCTTGTTAGCCAGGATGGTCTCGATCTCTTGACCTCATGATCCACCCGCCTCGGCCTCCCAAAGTGCTGGGATTACAGGCGTGAGCCACCGCGCCCGGCCGGCAATTTCTTAAAATAATATCACTGGGAAGTTTGTCACATAGATTGACTCTTCTTTTCACATACACACACACACACACAAATTTCTGTATTATGTGATGCTGTTTGATAGTATTTTATCCACTGTAGAACTTCTTTTAAAATTGGAGTCAACTCTCTAAAATCCTGCTTTACCAATTAAGTTTATAAGCCTTAGTTTGTAATTTTTTATAATATTTGTAATATTCTAAATTCTTTGTTGTCATTTCAACAATGTTCACAGTGTCTTCCCCAGAAGTAGATTCCAGCTCAAGAAACCACGTTGTTAATCTCATAAGAACAACTCCTCATTTGTTAAGGTTTTATCATGAGATTGCAACAGTTCAGTCACATCTTCAGGCTCCACTTCTAATTCCAATTCTTTTGCTATTTCCGCCAAATCTGCAGTTACTTCCTCCAATGAAGTCTTGAATCCCTCAAGTCATTCATGAGAATTGGAATCAACTTCTTCCAAACTTGTGTTAATGTTGATATTTTGACCTCCTCCTATGAATCATAAATGCTCTTAATAGTATCCAGAGTGGTGAATCCTTTCCAGAAGGTTTTCAACTTATTTTGCTTAGCTACCTTAGAGGAATTACTATCTATGGCAGCCATAGTCTTACAAAATGTATCTATTAAACAGTAAGACTTGAAAGTCAAAATTAATCTTTGATCATGGGCTGCAGAATAGATGTATTAGCAGGCAACACTAATCTCATTATACATTTCCACCAGAGTTTTTGGGGTGACCATTATCGCTAATGAGCAGTAATATTTTTAAAAAGATTTTTTTCTATTAATAAATCTGTAGGTCTTTATAATGAACTTAAAATATTCAGTAAACCATGCCATAAACAAGTATACTATCATCCAGGCTCTGTTATTACATTTATAGAACACAGGAAGAGTAGATTTAGCATAATTCTTAAGGACTCTGGGATTTTCAGAATGGTAAATTAGCACTGGCTTCAATTTAACATCACCAGCTGCATGTCTGACCCCTAAGAAGAGAGTCAGCCTATCCTTTGAAGTTTTGAAGACAGGCATTGACTTCTCCTCTCTAGCTATAAAATCCTAAATATCATTTTCTTCCCATTTTATCTATGTTTTATCTACTCTGAAAATATGTTGTCTAGCACAGCCACCTTCCTCAATGATCTTAGTGAGATGCTCTGGATAGCTTGCTATAGCATCTATATCATAACTTGCTGTTTCAGCTTACACTTTTATGTTATGGAGATGGCTTTTTTCCTTAATCCTCATGAAAAAAAAAAAACTCTGCTAGCTTCCAAAAATTTTTCTGCAGCTTCCACACTTCTTTTAGTCTTCATAGAATTGAAGAGAGTTAAAGTTTTGCTCTGAATTAGGTTTTGGCTTAAGACAGTGTTTTGGCTGGTTTGATCCTCTATCCAGACTATTATAACTTTCTACATATCAGAAATAAAGTTGCTTCACTTTTTATCACTCATGTGTTCATTACAGTAGCACTTTTTATTTCCTTCAAGAACTTTTCCTTTGTATTCACGACTTGGCTGTTTGGTGAAAGAGTTCTAGCTTTCAACCTATCTCAGCTTTGTATGTTCTTTCTTCACTAAGCTTAATCATTTCTAGCTTGTGATTTAAAATGGGAGATGTGTGACTCTTCCTTTCACTTGAACACTTAAAAGCCATTGTAAGGTTATTAATTGGCCCAATTTCAATATTGTGTCTCAGGGAATAGGGAGGCGCAAGAAGAGGGAGAGAGATGGAAGAAGGGTTGGTTGGTGGAGTGGTAATAACACACACAATTATTAAGTTCCTCATCGTATATGGTCATAGTTTGTGGCACCCAAAACCAATTACAATAGTAACATAAAAGATCACTGATCGTAGATCACTAAAACACACATAATAATAACAGAAAAGTTTAAAATACTGTGACATTCACTAAACTGCGACCCAGAGACAAAGTGAGCACATGCCATTGGAAAAATGGTACCGACAGACTTGCTCAACCCAGGGTTGCCACAATATCTGTGAAGTGCAATAAAGCAAAGCACAATTCAACAAGGTATGCCTTTATTTTGATAAGGCATTTAGGAGATCAAAGATGCATAAACCACACTGCAAAAGCCTAAAAGCACAGATGGTCACTAAATGATCTTTGCAGAAGAATAGAGTTAGGTACCCATAGAGCTCATTCTGCAGAGTGAGACACTGTGTCAGGATGGGGCTGATTTTCCAGTGGCCCTAACAAAGAATCTGAACTCTACATCAGTAGGCCTTTTTCTCCACCTTTCCTCCATGCAAGACTTTTCCTGATATTGCTTAATAATTGCCATTGTTAAGATAGAGTTGCTTAATAATTCTTAGGTATATGTTCAGTAAATATCAGCTCGAATGGCTGCCAAGTCATAAGTCTGAAGAGAGGGGCACACATCTAGGCCTAGTCCAGTGACAGTCTTTTTTGTGTAGGAAAAATGCTTAGTTCTTTCACCTCTTTGGCTGATTCATCCCCACAAGTAACTTTTAGAAGGTACAAATAATAGATCAGTTTTCCCAGAGGAGGAAACTGAAGTCCAGAAATGAGAAGCATCAGATCTAACACTTGAACTCTTTGTTGCTGAATCAACTAAGCAATCTTTTCATACTCTTCACTCAGGAGCCCTTGCCCCATGACACCTTTCTCTGCCTGGTTCTTCCTCAGTCAAAAGCACTAATTATCTTAACCTTTCCTTCCTCAGAGAGATCGGTGAGAATTCCACCTGCCATCAGGGCGGACATTCTCTAGGTTATGGTCCTAATAATTAGCTGTGAGACCTCCTGAAGGCTGTATTAAAGCACATGGAAACCAACACCAGCATTCTCCTACTTGCCTGTCTCTCCTTGGGGTTTCACAGTGCCGCCACTAGCCATGGTGATTAA
This sequence comes from Homo sapiens, assembly GCF_000001405.40. Lineage (NCBI taxonomy): Eukaryota > Metazoa > Chordata > Mammalia > Primates > Hominidae > Homo > Homo sapiens. The sequence goes on along the minus strand of NC_000008.11, from coordinate 135,956,792 downwards.
TGAGTTAATAATAAAGATGAGTTTTTGGATGCTTGAGCAGAGGGTAGCTGTCCACCAAAATGGATTAGCCTGGTCCACCGGGTGTGGCCCTGGAGGGACAGCTGCTCTATGTTCCTCCAGGAACCTTGTTTAGCACCAATCACCTTGTCATAAGGATATATTAAGGGGAAAGCAATTCTGGCTGCCTGCTCAGAAATGCTGACCGCTCCGGCTGCTTGATGATTCTGAATTTACAGAGCTGGTCCTGCCCCAGGGGAAACAGCACAGAAGGGGAGCCGAAGGTCTGGCTTCTTAGCCTGCTCTAGGGTTAATTTAATATGTGACTTTGGAGAAGTCACTTCCCTTTGAGCCTCAGTTTCCTCACCTAGAAGATTGTAGGACGAGGTGATTCCCAAGACTCTTTAAAAGAGAATCCATAATCCTATTACTTAACTTACTAAGTACACCATCAGTAACAGCAACTCACCATCCTCTTTAGGAGTATTTGCTGTAAAAATCCAGTCAAAGCCTTTCAGTACAGGCTATTTCCCAGTTTGACACAACAGAAGAATCACCTGAATTCAGTGTTAAACTCTCAGTCTCCAGTGCCACCCCACACAGAAAGGATCATCACCTCCTGGGAAAGACTCTGAAATCTGTGTTTTTAACAAACATCTCTGGTGAGTCTCTAATGGCTCAAGTTTGGAAAACACTGAGATAGACTCAATGGTATGCATGTGGCATCTGCAGAGATCCCAGACTCATGGATCTCAAGCTTGTCTGCACAAAGGAATCATCCGGGAGCTTTAAAAGCCCTGCCACCCTGGTGCCATCTCCAGAAATTCAGACTTAATTGGGCTGGAGTGCAGCCTGGGCTTTCAGGGTTTTAAAGACTCCTCAGTTGATCCTGATACGCAGTTAGAACACGAATCTCTGCCTTAAACCCTAACTGTGTGTGATTCCTATGTCTTCAACATTCCTCCTCCACCACCACTGGGGTAAGTGGCAGTCCAACAGAGCTCAGATGTTCCTGTAAGGACAACACTGTCATCCAGCACCTGGTAGAGACTCCAAAGACAGAAGGACCGATTCTTATTTTCCATGCACCAGTGTGGCAGCAAGGGATGGAGGTCTTCTTATGCAAATGGGAGCATCAATTGCTCCCTCAGTGTTCCTGGTAAAGTGGGACTCACACTATGCCTATTCACATCACAAGTGTTCAATGAACACTACTTGTATTGAGGATCAAGAGAGGTTTTAGGAGATCACAGGAATCTTTTGACAGTCCCAAGATACTTGGCAAATAATTGCCACTGGACATATTTATCACTTTCATTCAATTTTTTTTTTTTTTTAATTTTTTTTTTTTTTTATTATACTCTAAGTTTTAGGGTACATGTGCACATTGTGCAGGTTAGTTACATATGTATACATGTGCCATGCTGGTGCGCTGCACCCACTAACGTGTCATCTAGCATTAGGTATATCTCCCAATGCTATCCCTCCCCCCTCCCCCAACCCCACCACAGTCCCCAGAGTGTGATATTCCCCTTCCTGTGTCCATGTGATCTCATTGTTCAATTCCCACCTATGAGTGAGAATATGCGGTGTTTGGTTTTTTGTTCTTGCGATAGTTTACTGAGAATGATGGTTTCCAATTTCATCCATGTCCCTACAAAGGACATGAACTCATCATTTTTTATGGCTGCATAGTATTCCATGGTGTATATGTGCCACATTTTCTTAATCCAGTCTATCATTGTTGGACATTTGGGTTGGTTCCAAGTCTTTGCTATTGTGAATAGTGCCGCAATAAACATACGTGTGCATGTGTCTTTAGAGCAGCATGATTTATAGTCCTTTGGGTATATACCCAGTAATGGGATGGCTGGGTCAAATGGTATTTCTAGTTCTAGATCCCTGAGGAATCGCCACACTGACTTCCACAATGGTTGAACTAGTTTACAGTCCCACCAACAGTGTAAAAGTGTTCCTATTTCTCCACATCCTCTCCAGCACCTGTTGTTTCCTGACTTTTTAATGATTGCCATTCTAACTGGTGTGAGATGATATCTCATAGTGGTTTTGATTTGCATTTCTCTGATGGCCAGTGATGATGAGCATTTCTTCATGTGTTTTTTGGCTACATAAATGTCTTCTTTTGAGAAGTGTCTGTTCATGTCCTTCGCCCACTTTTTGATGGGGTTGTTTGTTTTTTTCTTGTAAATTTGTTTGAGTTCATTGTAGATTCTGGATATTAGGTTTCGCAACCTACTCATTCAATTTTTTAAAAAGCAGAAATAGTGGTAACTTTAGCTATCATTTTCTGAGCTCCAATCATATCCTCTGTACTGGGCCAGACCCAACAACCACTATCACTCACCCTCACCCCATCTGCAGAAAGGAGGAGTCTCCCTGCTTGTTTCTTCCCAGGCTAGGAAATTCAACTTCAGAGACTTGAAGGTCATTCTGCTGGCACAAAACAGAGGTCCAAGTCCTCATCTGTCACACTGCAGGCCAGCCCCAGCCCCCACGCCACACCACCCTGCAATTTATTTGGTAGATTGTTTTATTTCTGAGTAATAAAGTCTCTCCCTCTGCCCACCATCTAATTCCATATAATTTACATGAAAACCCTGTCACCAAAGTATTCTCTCTGTGGGAGACATCAGCTCCTGTCAGCCTTTTGAAATGTCTGGAGCAAAAGCTGGAAGCTTGTCTTGCAGCATTTAAGCCATCAGCATATGTCTATTAACGGAGAAGCACCCATTTTGAGAGTGACTTGACATTTTAAAAATGTCTATTTGTTACCAACAATATCCTTTCAAACCTTTCAAAATCCCCTAAAACCAACAAAATCAGCTAGCATGCAGGTGAGCCTATCTTCCCTGTCACTGTCTGAGCAGTGATATTTCAGCACTGAAAGGAGATGTGTGTGTGTGCATATGTGTGTGCCTGTATGTGTGTGTGCATGTATGTATGTGTATACGTGCAAGTATATGTGGAAGGCACATGCCTGTGCATATATCTGTATGTGTGTGTGCATGCATGCACTCGTGTGCAGACAAAACAGAGCACTCTAACAATGAGGTAGATGTAGGACAGAGACAAGAAGAAGCTGAGTGCACCCATTTCTTTCATCAAGCAAAATGAAGGATCTGAAGCCATCACCAGCCCTTAAATCTCTGCTCTCCTTCAGTAACTAATCAACCAGCTTGGGACTCATGCTTCTCCTCTGTAAAAAGACAAAACAATTATTTATGGAATTGATTTCCCCCTTGATCACTTACAACTCTCAGCAAGTCATTTAATTTCTCAGTTTCCTCATAGAATTATTATGAGGAATAAATGAGCTAATAAATGTAAAACAAAATATACGGAATATAATGAGCATTGTTGTTATTGTCATTCCTAACTCAAAAATATTATTGGTTTGTTCCACTTCACTATCTTGGGGAACAGATTAATGACATATTTCCTTTAATTGTCAAATTAGAAAACCATCCACCCCCATATTATAGATCAACAGAATATCTAGTCTTCCTCCTAGGATTTTCCTCTTTCCAAAATTTTGATGACCTCCCAAACATTGTTGATAGGCTCTGTTAATCCACTCTGGTTTCAGGCTTGTCTTTCTCCAGGTATTCTTTGCTCCTGAGTTTCTTTTACAAAAAGCACCACAATTTTTTATAAGCTTGGACACAGACTTCTTCCTTAACATCTCCCCAAGAAATCTGTGTTGCTTGGGGTCCATGCATGAGGAATAGGAAAGAATAAAGCAAAGAGTGGCTCATACCACTTCCAAGGTTGTACATGGGCCTTACAAACTATTAACCCATCTTGGATTTGCATTCTGCAGCTGGAAAGCTTCCTAATGGGTGAGGCATCCAACCCTCACCAATAAAAAAGTCTCTGGCAACTTCCTCCTCTAGAGACTAGATGACCATTTCTTGGTACCCAGAAAGAAGGAGGTTTCTTCCATGATCTCTGCCTATATCCAGCATAGGCTGGCTTCCTTTCTGACCCAGAGTGAGATAAAGCAGGGACATCCATTCTTCAGGAAATACTCTGGTCTTCCTTCCACCCACAGGGCAGTCTGATCACCAGAAACAGACAGGGCAATAGCTGTCTTGCCATTTGTTTAGCAAAGTCTGAGTTGATCAATTTTAAATAGCACTTCCTGAACACATTAAGACTACAGCATAAATTCACATTCAGGAGAAATAGTTCTTCCAGGACCATTCTAGAGAGATACACACTCAACTCAAATTAAAAAGCCAAACTGTCAGTTTGGCAGAATAAGTGGTGTCTGTTTTACTGATATGTAACAAAAGGGATTCAGGAGGAATTTTCCAAAAGATAATTAGTGTTCCTCAGATGCAGGAAGCAAACATAGTCAGTGACCCTAAAATGTCCATACTCCAATGAACGAAAAAAAGAATTAAAAAATCCTCTTTTTTCGGCACCCCATACACAGGGTTGTTATAAAGGCAAAATAAAATGCATTTTCTGAACTTTAAGAGGCTATAAAAACATTGGTCATAATTAATATGCTTCAGCCCCCATTTTCCCATCTGAAAAAAATGGAATGATAATAATAGCTACCACACAAGTTTTTGTGATAATTAAACAGGATTTAATGTGTGACAATCTTACATGATTGTTAGGCACTATTTTTTATTTCCAAGCTCTGGTAGAAATTAATTATGTGTTGTGGCTATGTCACTTCAACACTCACCATTTATTAATTAATTTATTCATTTATTTTATTTTATTTTTGAGATGGAGTTTCACCCTTTTTGCCCAGGCTGGAGTGCAATGCGCGATCTCGGTACAACGCAACCTCCACCTCCCAGGTTCAAGCGATTCTCCTACCTCAGCCTCCCGAATAGCTGGGATTATAGGCATGCACCACCATGTCCAGCTAATTTTGTATTTTTAGTAGAGATGGGGTTTCTCCATGTTGGTCAGGTTGGTCTCGAACCCCAACCTCAGGTGATCCACCCGCCTCGGCCTCCCAAAGTTCTGGGATTACAGGCATGAGCCACCACGCCTGGCCAACACTCATCCTTTGTTACCTGAAAATAAGGTTATTCCAGGTCTGATTCTCTGCAGGGATGCAGATTCCTCCACACAACCACACCTAGGATGTCCCTCCTGGGTGTGCTTTGCTATTAAATATGATTCATTCTGCAACCCAACTGGATTCTCAGCTTCTCACTGAAGTACTCCCTGACCAGCACAGGAATCCCATTTCTCAATGCTTACAGTTCTATAGTAATATTGAACACTGTCTAATTTTGTTTGCCAGTCTTTAAGGTAATATTTCTAACTCTGAAATCAACCCATAACTTCCTCAAGGATGACTACTGCACCTCATTATTTATCTAGACAGTCTAAGTTATAATAAAAAGAGTAGGTGCATTTATTTCAGAGAATCTTGAATTCAAATCCTGCTTCTGTCACTTGTTAGTGGTCATATTTGGGGCCAGTTACTTTAGATTTCTGAGTATCAATCTCTTCATCATAAACTTGTGTATAAAGAGAAAGCACGAGAAGAGAACTTCAAAAATAACTCCGGTTGCCTGTCTGTGCAGGTAGAGGCAGCAAAGCAATATATAGGAGATATCACCTGAGAGGGGACCTATATTCAAGTAGATTGCCACTGGCAGGGAAAAAGGATGACCAAAACCTTCCATAGCTCCTTGAGGTCCACCCCTCACTTAGACACCTTGGCATACACAAGACCCTGGAGAAGGTTGGATCAACTTTTGAAAGGAGCCAAAAACCTTTTGGAAAAAGCTAAGACCACAACACAAGTATCCTGGAATTAAAATATGGGAAAAGATTTCAGAATGGATCAGGTGTCCCTGACATAGACTACCACAAGAGAATGGAGCAAGGGCTTCAAAGGGATATTTAGCAGAAGGAAAGAGAATCTGGGTGGAACACAAAAGTCCAGGTGCTTGAGTGGTGGCTGTTCAGGTACAGTAAAGAACTGAGTCTTAGAGACCTTCAACACACCACCACTGTCTCAGAAACTCTGCCTGGGACCAATGGCTAGTCATGCCAACAGGAACTAAGCCATCCTAAGCATTGGTAGCCTTGCTGTGAGCAATCTTGACATCAGTAATTACCACATTGTCAGAAAAAAAAAAAAAAAAAAGATCCATGTACCTATGAGAAACCAAGTTGTCTCACTATCTTTGTAGGGCAAAGATACCTATGAGAAACCAAGTTGTCTCACTATCTTTGTAGGGCAAAGATACCTATGAGAAACCAAGTTGTCTCACTATCTTTGTAGGGCAAAGATACCTATGAGAAACCAAGTTGTCTCACTATCTTTGTAGGGCAAAGATATCTATGAGAAATCAAGTTGTCTCACTGTCTTTGTAGGGCAGTTGACTGTGTATACAAGTAAATGGATCTTACTTTCCACTCTCTAATGACAACATCTGCAGGCAGGGCTCACCCTGCTAGATGCAGAACATTTAGCAAATTAGGACACAGGAAGACCTCAAGAGGATGATATAGACTCTTCTGCAATAGAGGTAGATAGATCCTACAACAATCATTCAAAAAATGGAAGAAGTACCAATGTGTTTGTGCCCCAAGCTGGGGCATCAAGCTGAGTGCCAAGCTGATGTGGCACCAGCCACATCAGGAGCATGAGGGTAGTAGCCTACTACATAAGTTGTTGTGTGGATTAAATAAAATAACAAATGTGAAATCTCAGCATAAACATTGATTCTCTTTCTATCACCTTCCTGATTTCTGCAATGCTCAAGACTGCACCTTATTATGCATCGGAAAGCCTCAGGCACTTTCTGTACAGTAAGTGATACAAATATAAAGCTGGAGTCTGTCGAGAACGTGGATGACACCCTTCTGCTACCCCAGTGTCAAAGAAGATCTGGGCTTAAAGAGACCTCAAAGATCATGCCATACAATTGTCCTGCTCTACAGATGGAGAAACAGATGTCTGGAGTGGTTAAAGAGACTGCCCATGGCCAAACAACAAGTGGCCTCATTCATAGATGCGCTGTCACTCTACAACATCACATGGCCTCTTCTCACTCTTCTTATACCTAACACACACAACCTTTAGCTTCTAACGCCTTGCACCAGCACAGAGTGCTAGCACCTAGTTTTCTACCTGTTGGTCCATGCCTATTCGAATACATTAAATTGCCGTCTTCACTGAGTTATTCCCAGGAACAGTTGTGTGGGCCAGTGAGTGGAGAGAGAGTTCTTATAAGAACTAAGTGGGGTTAAAGATACATTTTACAATTTATCAAAGTCATGACCACTGACATCTCATATTTCACAATAAAAATGCTGTTTATATAAACTACAAATATGTATGTATGTTTGAAAATGGGGAAAAAAGATAAAATATCTCAGGTTTCTGTAGCCATGGAGACACATATGCACCTCAACTTACAATGGGGTTACATCCCAATCATCCCATCATAAATAGAAGTACCATAAGTTGAAAAAGCATTTAATACACTTCATCTACAGAATATCATAGCTTAGCCTGGCCTAGCTTAAACGTGCTCAGAACACTTATACTAGTCTGCAGTTGGGCAAAATCATCTAACCCAAAGCCTACTTTATAATAAAGTGTTGATATTTCATGTAACTTATCGAATGCTATACTGACCATGACAAAGAGAATGCTTGTATGGGTACTCAAAGTGCTATTTCCATTGAATGCATATTGCTTTTGCACCATCGTGAAGTCAACAAAATTATAAGTCAAACCATTGTAAGTCGGGGACAAATGAATACCAATCTCAGGTCATTCCAAATGTCTTTTGTTGACCCCTTCACACAGAGTGCTCTAAATGAATAGAGAAAATTGCATAACCATGCATATTGGTACTACTATGAATTAATGATCATTAGGCTCAAATAAGTTTAGTCCATATTTTGCATCCTGAAAGAGAGCAACACAAAACACTACCATGATTTCCAAGTGGGCACCTCATTATTTTCTAGTGTCTAATTTCAAATAACACCAACATATGGAGCTGACACACCCATGAATCAAGCCAGAGTAGTTTTGTCCTTTATGTTTGTTGTAGGAAAGCACCCAAGAATGAGGCCATAGGTGTGAGCTAAGGGGAGAAGTGCTGGTACAGTAGAGCAAGCAATTAGGATCTGGACCACCGCTTCTCATAACTTCCTTTTGCGCTTTGAGCCTACTCATTTCTGATCCCAGTTGTAGCATTTCCAAATAATGGTGGAATGCTGATGTGCCCACCTGACTTTATGATTAGGTGGGTCTGACAGTGACCAGCTTATAATGGGCATCTCTGGTTGCATGTTTTCAAGCCCTGTGATGTCCCATTATTAAACTAATTCTCCAGCAGAGCCCAGGAGTCCATCTAAAGTCATTGGCTCTGTGTCTCTGAAGGCACTGTCTTTCTCCACATTCTAGGGGTCTGTACCATGGCTGTATATATACCATAAACCTAGGGGTCTATACCATGATAAGAGTATTGGGAGACTCTGAAGAATCTTGAACCACCATAGCTATCTCTGACATCTTAGGATCACCTGTGTTCTGTGCACCAAGTGGCTGGGAGGCTTGCACAGCAGTCTGGATCTTCAGCCATGTGGACATTTCAAGAACTTGGAAAGAGGATTCTAGATCCCATTCTGTCACTGAAATACTGAAGATTCAAGGAAAATCTTCACACTGCTCTAGGTCTTCATGTCTTCTAAATAAGGAATTCCTATCCAAGAGTCATATTTTGTACCTGGAACCAGTGTTGTCCATTTGAGAGAGGCATATGGCAAGGGTGGGGGCATGGGTTTGGAGACTGTGGACCACTTGAAAGAACTGTTGCCATGCCATTAATTAGTAAGTGTATTGTTCCAGGAGGGAGAGCCCCTCCTCAAAGATCAGGAAACTGTGCTGGCTTTTCATGTGTCCACTTGGCGAGTTTGAACTAGAGGCCCCAGATTCTTCTTTCTAGCATGTTTTGGTTGGGATGAAGCAGAAGGACAGTCTCTTCTCAGAGCTGGAGGTCAGGAGAGGGGCCATGGGCATATTTTAGCAGACACGTCCCTCTCCCTGTGAGTCAATCAAATTCAACACCAGGTGCTGCCAAGTATGGATCTTACAGCAGAGGTAATTAATACCCCTAATTGGTTGATTTTAAGTTAATCAGCAGAGAGATTATCCTTGGTGGGACTGAAGGAATTGGCTATAAAACTTTAAAAGAGGGTGTAAAAGAGTTCAGAAACATCCACTTGTCCCCAAGAAACTTCAGGTCTGCCTATAGGATTATGTATAATCATCTTCTTCCCTTTGACTTCCCCACTGCCTGTCCTATGAACTTCAGACTTGCATAGCCAGCCCCACAATTGCACAGGCTAATTCCTTCTAATACTGGTCTGCCCCTTTTATACAGAAACAAAACAGAAAGGTTGATTGCAAGAAAGAGAGGTTAATTGGAGATGTTGGGCTGGATATGAATAAGAAAGAAAGGAGTTAAAGGGTAGGGGAAATATTACAGTGTTTGTCCAGAGACAACATGTAATATGGACTGATCCAGAGTAGGATGGTGGGGAAGGAATTTGCTGCTTCCATGATGAACTTAATTCAAGCAGCCTAGGGTAGACACTATTGGTATCCCCACCCAGACCACCTCAAATTCTCTTGCCAGTGCTGAGTGCCCATCCATCAGTTTCTGTGTGCCATGATGTTCTCTGTTTGCCACTACAACCTTCTTCAAAGAACGATCTTTAGGCTATGGTAAGTGATTTATGTATAAAAAGAGGAAGAAATGTCTAGGAGTTTTTATACCCCTAGATGATCTGTAACTGGTTAACTGGTTTTAGACTATAAAAGTCCAGCCTCCTTGACCCAAAATAAACTCCAGAGATCCTTATGGATTAGGCTGGAAACCTCATCTGAAATTTCAATCTTGTTTGCCTTCTTCCCCTTCCCTATCTTGCTTCTCTCTCTCTCTCTCTCTGTCTCTCTCTCTCTCTCTCTCTCTGTCTCTCTCTCTCTCTCTCTCTCTCTCTCTCCAGTTCCTTGGAGACTTTCCTTGGAAAAGTCTTTGCACTCAGATCGTTGGCTTGGGGTTTATTTCTGGGAGACCCTGACCTAAGATATATCCTCCCATCCTAGGACCCCTCTAATGTCCTGTAAACATGCTCTGCAGGTTCAGGAAATATCTGTAACAAAGCTACTCATAATATTTTCAACAAAATCAGTGGTTTCCAAGCTTTCTTCAGAAGCAAAGCTATTTTTCAGATGAAACAAAACCTCACTCAAAACCACAGTATATAAAACAGGTACTAGTCACCTCCTCGGGTGACAGATGGCAGATCCTTTTGAAGCCCCTTCTGTCTGCATTCCCTTTACCCCACAACTGTCCCAACGCACCTCTTGGGAACCTAAAGACTCAGCAAAATACTATTAGCAAATAGGCATATTGGATGATTTATATGATCCTTCGACTCAACTCTGATAATCCGTGATGTAGTTCTTACATCGATTTCTGTTGCAGAAGAAAAGCAAACAGAGGTCTTGTTGTACTTCCTGGTCTCAGCAGGTGAACACTGCTGCTTTTTCCCCACCCTTGCCATCTCCAGGCCCCTGGCTGCCTCCCAGCCCACTGCCTTGTCATGCTCCACTATTAACTTCAGGTGGCCAAGAAAGCTGCAATCTTCTTTCTTTTTATTGCAGTTTGGGGTCTCATGCCTCATAACTGCCAAACGCAACCAGAAGTCATAGCAATCAAATGGCGATTGACATTTATAGTGTGAATTCAGAAGTAGTGAGCAAACTTTCCTGGGACAATCCTGCCTTTCTGTGAACCAGAATCCATCTCCCATTTTACTAACCAGCCCACTTTGAAAAATACATTGGAAGCCTCAAAGAAAAGTAATTTAACCCATCAGTGGATTGTCATAGAGCAACATTTGGAAAGGACTGTAAATAATCAGAATTTTGTCCTCAGGAATAAAAAGGACTTGCTCTCCCACCATTTGTAAAATAATTTAACGTTCATTGTCTCTGTTCTTATTTTCTGTCTGAAATATTTATATCTCTGGTTCTTTCTTAACTTCAAAACCTAAATGTGGCACTTGAGATATTTAGCTAGTCAGGATGAACCAGGGAGAATATGACCCAAAAAAGATTTCATGGAGAAGAACATTTCAGTAACGGGTTGCTCTGGCTGAGAGGTATTTTCTTACCTCAAAAGTCAGGGATACTGAAACACCCTTTCCATTCCATCAATTCAGAGAAGAGGGGATGGTGTGGCTTTAAGACAGGAAGGTGCAGAAGACCTTGTAAAAAAGTGAATGAGCACCACCTCTCCAGCATTTGTGTACGTCAGCAGTTTCTCAAATAGAAACAGAAATAGAACCTTTGAAATATGGAAGAGGCAGACACAAAAGCTTCCATCACTGCCAAGTAAGAAGAATTTTAAGTTCTTGGGGCTTCAGCCCAGTTATAAGGAAGCTCACATGTGCTAGATGGATGAGAGCAACTTCAGATGAGAGCCAGGAGGATTCATGGAAAATCCAAGAGAAGATGGGGCTAGCCTTACAAAGCTAGGACCTGCCAGGACCAGTGGCCCCCTCTCAAGACTTTTTTAGAACTCTAGTAAGGAATGATTATTCTTTAATGCCTGCATGACACCTAGAAGAAGCTGTGATCTAAGAGAGAGGCTTCAGGGATACGACAAACCTAGGCTTGCCCCATTGCCTGCTATGTATGGCCTCGGGGAAGTTACTTACCATTTCTAGCATTCACCTCTGGAAATGAAAAGAGTGTTCAATTCACAGGGTGGTTGTAAGAATAAAACATTGTATATAATTTTCCTGACATAATTCTCTCCCATAAAACAGGTGGTTAAAAGTGTCAGTTCCTGTATTTGTCAGCTTGGCCTACTGTAACAAAATAACCATAAGCTGGGTGGCTTAAACAATAGGCATTTATTGCTCACAGTTGTGGAGGCTGAAAAGTCCAAGGTCAAGGTGCCCATTGATTCTCTTCCTGATGACAGCCCTCTTGCCAGATTATAGATGGCTGCCTTCTCGCTCTGTCCTCAAATGGAGAGAGAGATCAAGCTTTCTACCTCTTCTTATATAATTATTAATTCCATCATGAAGGCCCAACCCTCATGCCTTTATCTAACTCTAATTACCTCCCAAAGGCCCCATCTCCGAAAACCATCACATCGAAGGTTAGAGATTTAACATATGAACTTGGGGAAGGCATGCAATTCAGTCCACAGAAGTTCCTTTTATCTCCTCCTTGCATATAATGCAACTTATAAATTTGTATATGCACATGTATGTATATAAATGTATATATATATGATCTTTCACATGATAATATCTGCATGGGGTTTATCTTCTATCTTTGGGTGGCATATGACACATACTCTAATTACATAACAATTATTTAAATTATTGAACAAATTATCTTAACAAATTACATAATATGCACATATTATACAACAATCAAATAATTGCTCAAATTATCTTTTGACTTCATGGAACACCAATTTCATTCGTTTAGTGAGACCTCTGGGTTGACTAAGCGTTTTGGATGACTGGGTCTGTACACTTGCATTTTTATGCCCAGTTCTGCAACTAACAGCCTAGAAGATTTCAGACAAGTTAATTAAAAAATCAGAGCTTCAGTTTGCAACTGTGAAATAAACATTTAACTAAATAACTTTTCCTTTCCTTTCCAGCCCATTACCAAAAACAGTGACACAGTCACCAAGTGTAAAGGGCATGCTGGAGGGGATGAAGATGTGGCCTGGAGTAGTAACGGAACAATTCCTGTTGGAGACGAGTATTCAGACATCACTACTGTACCATTGATGGGTACTAACTCCCGAAAATTTAACAGCTACTTGTGAAAGTCAAGCATTTTGACAAAAAGTAATCTTTAAAAGTGCATGTGCAAATTTATCACCTACAAGGATATACTCAAAGTGTACTGAGAAAGAAAGATCAGTAGTTATTAAGGTAAACTTATTTTGGCATGGTTTAATCAATAAATCTAAAGAAAACTCTTCACTCTACTCTCAGACTGACTCGTCATCATGATTTTTCTATGCTTACTCTCAGTTCCAAGCAACATGACCATCTCCCAGACCATTCCCAGACCAAAGTCCTGTATAGCAGCTTTCCACATGACGGCCTCCTTCCTGCTGTCCCTGCACCACCATGGCTCTTTTCTCTGGACAACTGGACCCATACACCCTACATTTAATTTTACATATAAATGGTACCAAATTCTGCTGCCCATGATACTTTTAAAAAACACACAAAACCAGGCTGGCACAATGGCTCATATCTATAATCCTAGCCACTGGGAGGCCAAGGTGAGAGGATCACTTGAGGCCAGGAGTTCAAGACAAGCCAGGGCAACACAGGAAACTCTGTCTCTACAAAAAAAAAAAAAAAAAAAATTAAATAGCTGGGCATGGTGGTGCATGCCTATAGTCCCAGCTACTCTGGAGGCCAAGGCAGGAGGATCCTTCGAGTCCAGGAGTTTGAGGCTGCAGTGAGCTATGATTGTGTCACTGCACTCCAGCCTGTGTGAAAAAGCTAGACTCTGTCTCAAAAAAAGAAAAAAAAAAAAACCTTTGGTACCTTTGAGTGCTCACCATTGCCTACCGAATGCAAAATAAATTCTGCCTGCTTTTCATGGTCCTCCTTTGAGTCCTTGAGCAGCAGTTTGTACCAGGAACTACACCAATTAGAGAATAAAGGGGTCAGTGGAGTCTGGTTTCGGCTCTCATGGAGCAAAAATTCTGTATGAGGATATGAAGAAGTAAACAAGTAAACAGAGAATATTAATATTGTGCCGTAAGTGGTGCAGCAGAAGAAATGCCTTGTGGAAGGAAGTGCTGTGGGAGGCAAAGGGACAGAATGACCCACCCTAACAGTGTCACTGGGGAGGCAGTCTGCAAAGCCACCTTCAACTGGCCTTGAGGATGAGTCCCAATAACCCATGGCTGGGTTCTGAGCCAGCATCCTGACTTTGGCCTTCTGTTCATGTTGTTTCCTCTGCCTGGAATCCATCCCCTCCCCTCCTTCCAGACACGACCTGCCCAACACAGGTCAAACAACATCCTCTTTTATGAGCTTCGCCTAAGGTACCTAGTCAGAATTAAAGTGTTCCTCCTGAAGGAGAGCTCACAGCAGGCTGCTGGTTGCTCTATTTAGCTCTCATTTGATTTTCTCTTGTGTTAGAGTCTGTCGTTTACATGTGTAAGTGGACTCCTGCCTCGTCCATTTCCTTAGTTCCTACAGCCCTAGGTAAGAATCATTGCATCTAGTGAGCAATCAATTAATAGCCACTGAATTAAATTATATTCACAGTCAATCCTTGCTCAAAGACTGCAGCTGACGTTCCCTCTTAGACTATGCACAGAGAGGATTCTAGGATGTAATACATGATTCTTTTGGTGCCCCACAACCTCAGGCTTTCTACTCATGCCCCTCCATACTTCCTTCAATTGCTCCTCAGGCCTCTGTAAGCCTGACTATTTCATACCCTCGAAATGTGTACTGCTGGGATCCCCTTTACTCGCACACTGATTCTATTCCTTACGTTGCCTGTGACTATTCTATTCTTTGCTTTTCTCTTATCTTTTCAAGCAAGTTACTTCTACTTCTTTCCCACTGCTCTTCTTACCTGTATCGCCCTCCTCTTGTTGTGGTCTGGATTCGTTTCACTTCTTCCTGTTCAGTTTACAGCACTCTACTTCCTTCTTCTGGTGATTTTTCTCTAAAAAATAATTGGGTTTTTTTTTCCCCCTAGATCTGTATTTTACTGTCTTCTTTTTTCCTGGACGCTACTCAGATGAAGCAACAGAACCCTAACCCTCATCGATGCTGTTACCAGAGAGGATGTGATCCTCTGAAATGGCCCTTCTCCATTCTGAGGAGTCCAGTGGGACTAGCCAAGCCCTTCCCCTTCTTCCCAGAATCTCCTGGTCCATGCGTCTCAACTTGAACACCCCAAGGGTTCTTGTTGAAATCCTTATCATGCAGATCCTATGTGTGAGCAGCTGACATTCTATCTACTCACAGATTAGGATTTTGCCTTACTCTATACTCTATCTAGAATGACAGCCTGGTGTTTCTCCAAAATAGCTGCAGTTTGTTATATATTCCTGCAATTTTCTCTCATGAGTCTACCTCCTTAATGATCTTTGAAATTTCACAGCCATCTCCATTCCTCCAGATGCAACCCACCTCACTTGAATCTGAAACACTCTCCAATCTATTCACTACAGCAGGTGCCTGCATTCTGATTGAACTTCCACAGGAAAAAATATTTCAGCATGCCCTTTCACCCTCATTATCTACCTATCATCTATCTATCTGTAAATCTACCTACAATCACTTATGGTTATATAAATATAGACATCATTATCATTTCTTAATATCCCAAGGCAGAATGTATATTTAGACAAGGTTTATCATTAATGATTATGAATATTAAGTGCATGCTTTACTTACATTTACTCCACAGTGTCACTTACTTACCCTTTCAGGACATTAGGGAACTCCTACATGGCTCGGAGTCAAACTGGATTCAATTACTAACTTAGAGATGGCCGATTGGTAAGGTGTATTTCTATCCCTCCTACTTCCAGCATTCCTAAGCCATGGGTTGGAGTTCAAGTTCTCTCCCTGCTCCTCCTCCTATCACTCCAGCAAAGTGTGGACATGCTCCAGGAATTCACATCATCTGCACTGGGAGACACTTCACTGAGACAACCACGAAGGACCTCATAATCCTCAGCTCGCTGACTGCCAGATTTCTGCAGAATTCTACAAGCCAGTGTGATTGGATATGGAGCCTGGGCTCATTAGAGCAGTACCTGATCCATGCCTTACTGTTGCAGTGTTTCTGAATCTGAGAGACACCTTGATGCTGGTCTCATTCACTCCCTCATTTTAGAGGGGAACCCACTGGGCTGCTCCTCCTCAGGGTCCCCTACTGGGTCTTTCTGCTCTGTTCCTCGAGGCACCCCAGGGATCCATCTTCAGGCTCATTCTTTTCTCATCACACTCACTCTTTAGCCAACCTCCTCCATTCTATGACTTCAAAAGACATCTATTTTTAAATGAGTTTTATTAAGGTAAAAGTTACACAAAGTGAAATGCACATATTTTAAGTGTAGAGTTAGATGATTTTTGACAAATGCATATACTTGTGTAGCCAGTGTCCCAGTCAAGATATGAAACATTTCCATCATACCAGAAACTTCTCTCACTCTCTCTTCCAGTCAATTCCTGACCTTCCCTCAGAGGCAGCCACTGTTCTGACTTCTACCAACACTGATTAGTTTTGCCTGTTGGTAAACTTCATAAAACTTGAATCATACATTTTCATCTTAGTGTCTATCTTACTTTGCTCAGAAAAATGTATTCAAGATTCACTCTATAATGTTTAATGTGTTAGTTGTTCATTATTTTTTATTGCTGAGTGTAATTCCATTGCACAAATGTAGCACAATTGGACTTTGGCCCAACATATAAAGAGCTTGAGAGTAGTCTCTTTCATCCTTACAACAAAACAAAGTTGAACTATGAAAATCAATGACTTCTGTTAGACCTATTAGAGAACTGAGGTTACAGGAAAACTGCCACCCCAGAATCTGCAAAGACAGGTGAATAGAGAATCACAGCTGAGATCTGCTTACCTAGAGCAGAAGTGGCTAAAGCCATAAACTGGCAGAAGCAGCTCAATGGTAATTTTTACAAATTTCTGGAGGCCAAGTGAGACTAATATAAAGTTTTAGGCAAGCCCACATACTTTTGTGGGTTTTACTTCCAGAAACCCCAGTGGGTTCCAATGGTGAAGACCTGAGAAAGAGCACCTTGTAATCCTGGCAGGGGAAAGGAAAGATTATTCCTTGTACCTTGCCCATGGGCAAACATTATTCCTTGCCCTGGGGCATTATCCACAGAAAAATCTTCTAGTTCAGGTTGGGAAGGGATTTTACTAGAGTTTATCCCACTTGAGAGAAAACATTTCACCCACTTAAATCCCTCTAGTCTTCCTGACTCAACTAAGGGTGTTGAATGGGGAAAGCTCAGAAACACTGAAAATCAAAGCCCAGAAATACAGGCCAATAAAAGATCGAGATTTACTCATAAGATTTATAGAACACTTCTCCTTTCTCTCAGTTTACCACCATATCAACAGGGCTCTGGTATACTAATAGTAGATTTCAGCTGAAAGAACTGTAAGATGCAAATTCTCTCTGAGGAGGAGTATTTAGGGAAACCTAATGTCAACAAGGAAGACAAAAGCAAGGATGCTAGAGGAATGTGAAGACTCTGGTACCTACAGATACAGCAAACATTAAACAAAGCACAACTCCTAGCAAGATTAACCAATAACCTCATACTAAAGTGCCACTGACCTCACTTCCCATTATGTGATATATCATGCCCATATTTTGGCAAAATATTACAAAGCATGCTAAATAAAAGTCAAAAAAATACTCTGAAGAAACAAAGCAAATATCATAATCAGCTATAACGTAGATGTTAGAATCATCAGATAAGAAATTTAAAATGGGCCGGGTGTGGTGGCTCACACCTGTAATCCCAGCGCTTTGGGAGGCCGAGGCAAGTGGATCATGAGATCAGGAGATGAGACCATCCTGGCTAACACGGTGAAACCCTGTCTCTACTAAAAATACAAAAAAAAATTACCCAGGCATGGTGGCAGGCGCCAGTAGTCCCAGCTACTTGGGAGGCTGAGGCAGGAGAATGGCATGAACCTAGGAGGCAGAGCTTGCAGTGAGCCAAGATCATGCCACTGCACTCCAGCCTGGTCAATAGAGTGAGACTCCATCTCAAAAAAAAAAAAAAAAAAAAAAAGAGAGAAAAAAAGAAAAGAAATTTAAAATAACTATGTAACTATGATTAATGTCTTAAGAACTCTAATGTAAAAAAAGTAGACAACAGGCAAAAAAAAGAGTAATGTAAAGATAAATATGGAAATTCTAAGAAAGAATCAAAAGAAAACACTGGAAATAAAAAACATCAATAAAAATTAAAAATGCATTTGATGGGCTTATCACTAGACTTGACATGAATTAGGAAATAACCAGTGATCTTGAGAATTGGGCAATAATAACTTACCAAACTGAAATGCAAAGAGAAATAAGAGAAATAAAATAAGAACAGAACAATATCCAAGAATTATGGGACAATTTTAAACGATGTAACATACAGTACTTCCTCCTTGTTCACAAGAGATACATTCCAAGACCCCCAGTAAATGCTTGAAACTGAAAATATTCCCAACCTGATTGCTGTCAATCAGACCATGTTTTTGTTTGTGTCTTCCACCCACAAATTAAATGCCTTTTCTATCTTAACTAAGCACATACCATGCCTTGTGGCAATAACTTTTGCAGTTTGAGGTATGACAGCAAAACTACAATTTTTTTTCTTTCTTCTCAGTTTCACAGAGAGATTTGTTCTTACCATAGATTTTAGCAACCCCAGCATTGATTTTTTTTTGTTTACTTACTAAGTCATAAACTTTTGCCTTTTCACTTAAATGAAGCATTTTATAGCTTCTTTTTGGTGTATACAAATTGCCAGCATAATTACTCTTGTGTTTTGTGGCCATTCTTAAGTAAAATCAGGTTTATTTGAATATAAGCACTGTGATGTCACAGTAGCAGATAACTGAGATGGCTAAGTGACTAACTAGCAGATAGTGTACACAGTGCAGATATGCTGGACAAAGGGATGAATCACGTTTCGGGCAAGAGATTTCATCACACAGCTCTCATGGCAAGAGATATCATCACCCTACTCAAAATGGTGCACAATCTAAAATTTTAATTTTTTATTTTTGGAATTTTCTATTTACTATTTTAGAACTGTGATTGATCATGGGCAACTGAAACTACAGAAAGCAAAGATGAAGATAAGAGTGGCTACTGCATGTATAATTCAAATATCAGAAGGAAAAAAAGTAGTGCAGAAGAAATATTTGGAGCAATATAGCCAATAATTTATCAAAAATTAATGACATGCACCAAACTACAAATGCAGGAAGCTCAGAGAACTAACAGAAATAAATACAAAAAAAAATAGCTACACCTATCCTATTCTAACTGCAGAAAGAAAATAACAAAAAAAAAAAAGAGAGAGAGAGAGAGAGAAACTTGAAAGAAGGCTGGAAGGGAAAACACAAAACACCTTGCTTTCTGAGGAACAAAGATGAGAATCACAGCAGGTTTCTCATAAGAAGTCATACTAGAATACAACAGTGAACTGAAATATTTAAAGTGTCAAAATAGTAAAAAACATGTATCTAGATTCCAAGGTTTGGCAAAATTATCCTTCAAAAGTAAAGGAGAAATAAGGACTTTCTCAGACAAACAAAAACTGAGAAAACTTAGGGTCAGTAAACCTGCTCCAAAAGAAATGCCAAAAGAAGTTCTTCAGGGAGAAGAAAAAAATACAGTCATATGCTGTATAAGATGTTTTGGTCAATGATGAACCTCATACATGACAGCCATCCCTTGAGATTATAATGAAGCTGAGAAATCCCTACCACCTAGTGACTGTAGCCATCATGTTGTAGCACAACCTATTACTTGCCTGTCTGTGGTGGTGATGCTGCTCTAATATGGTTTGGTTGTGTCCCCACCCAAATCTCATTTTGAATTATAGTTCCCACGATCCCCATGTGTTGTGGGAGGGACAAGGTAGAGGTAATTGAATCATGGGGGTGGTTTCCCCCATCTTGTTCTCATGATAGTGAGTTTTCATGAGGTCTGATGGTTTTATAAGGGGCTTCCCTCTTCGCTGAGCACTTCTCTCTCCTGCTGCCCTTTGAAGAGGTGCCATCTGCCATGATTGTAAGTTTCCTGAGGCCTCCCCAGCCATGCAGAACTGTGAGTCAATTAAATCTCTTTCTTTTATCAATTACCCAGTCTTGGGTGTGTCCTTATAGCAGTGTGAGAACAGACTAATACATGGTGTAAATAAACCCACTGTACTGCCAGCCATATAAAAGTATAGCACATACAGTTACAAATAGTACATAATACTAGATAATAATAATAAATGACTATGTTAATGGTTATATATTTACTACATTCTACTTTTCATCTTT
This sequence comes from Homo sapiens, assembly GCF_000001405.40. Classification (NCBI taxonomy): domain Eukaryota; kingdom Metazoa; phylum Chordata; class Mammalia; order Primates; family Hominidae; genus Homo; species Homo sapiens. The sequence goes on along the minus strand of NC_000008.11, from coordinate 135,936,652 downwards.
ATTTTAGAGTATACTCCTTCTGCTTATTTGTTTAAGTTAACTGTAAAACAGTCTCAGGCAGGTTCTTCAAGAGGTATTCCAGAAGAAAGCCTTGTTATCCTAGGAGATGACAGCTCCATGTCTGTTATTGCCCCTGAAGACCTTCCAGTGGGACAAGATGTGTTTTCCTATTCTCCCATTAATGTGCATTTGGGTTGATTTCAGTTTGGAGCTATTACAGATCGAGCTGTTCTAAATATTCTCACATAAGCGTCTGTGTAGATGTGTATTTTCTTCTTTCTTTGGTAAATACCTAGTAGCATAATCTCTACATCAGAGGGTAAGTATACTGTTAACTTTAAAAGAAACTACCAGCTGTTCCATTTTACCCTCTCAGTGGTGTAAGGAATTAACCAGATGCTCAAAACTTCACCAACATTTGGCATTGTCAGTTTTTTCTTTAAAACCATTCTAGTGCCTTTAAAGTGGTGTCTCCTGAAGTTTTTAATTGTATGTCCATGGTGACAAATGATGTTGAGCGTCTTCTTTATGTGTTTATTAGTCATTTCTATATTTTCCTTAGTGTTGCATCTCTTAAAGTCTTTATAGTTTTTGGTTTGCTGTCTGTCACCCCTATTAGAATGCAGTCTCCATGAGGAAATTGACTTGATTTTATTCACATGTTCACATCTACATTCTAGTGTTTAGAACAGAGGTCATCAAACCATGGTTCATGGACTAAATACAGCTGACTGCCTATTTCTATGGGCTTGCAAGATAAAAATTGCTTTTAGAGATCAATAATTGTAATCAATTCGATGATAGGGAACACTAACTTTGCACCTCAACTAAGTGAAATGTTATCATCCAGTGTGTTAGTCCATTCAGGTTGCTATAAAAAAAATACCTTAGACTGGGTAACTTACAAACAATAGTTCTGGAGGCTGGTAAGGCCAAGATCAAGGCACCAGCAGATTTGGGGTCTGATGAGAATTTACTCTTTGCTTTAAAAATGACACCTTGCTGCACTGTCAAATAGTGGAAGGGGCCAACAAGCTCCCTCAGGCCTCTTTTGTAAGCGCACTAATCCCATTTGTGAGGGTGCAGTCCTTAGGACATAATCATCTCTCAAAGACCCCACTTCTTAATTCCATTGCATTGGAGATTAGGTTCCAACATATGAATGTCTGAAGGTCACAAACATTCATACCATAGCATCCAAAAGATTAATTCCTTTTTTTTAATTAGTAGGCCGATTTTTGTATGTAGTCAAATATTATTATAGTTTAATTTCATCAGTTAAAAAATTTTAGAAACTTGTTTTCTTTCTTCTTATGTAGTACCTTGATATAATATATTTGATTATGTGTTTTAGCCTACAAAGACTAAAATGTTTATTTTCTTGCCCTTTTAATCAAATTTTTGCTGATCCATGCTTAGAAATAAAGCCGGTCACATAATAAGTGTTAAATAAATATGTGACAAATGGATGAATAGATAAAAGAGTGGAAATCCAAGAGTGGGGTTGACAAGGATCTTATCTAACATGTCACAGAAAGTTACTACTGACTGAGTCCTGGGATCCATGCCCCGGTCATGAGCTGTGAGCAGCACGCTGCATCCACCACACACAGAACACTGGTGCACACAGCTGATTCTCCTCTTGGCAAAAGTGTCATATCCAGTCATTGATTATGCTCTGGATATCTAAACTAGATTAACAAACACCAATAATTCTGTGTGCATTTCCCATTCTTAATCACAAAATAGACAGATTTCACAGAGAACAAGGAATTACTCAGAGTAAATCCAAGAAAGATAAACATGCAATGATCCATTGTCAGTAATGATTTCTGCAAATTTGAGGTGCAAGTCCAGGCTTATCCCCTGTCTAGGAAGACTGCTATAAGCCCCCACAGTGGGCACCAAGCACTCCTCCCGCAGCCCCTGACACAGCCTTGTCTCTGCAGTGATAATATTATATTTAAAAGATCTACTCACATGTCACCCTCTCTAGTGGAATACAGTCCCCAAGGGCAGAGACAATGCCTCGTCCATCTCTGAGTCTCCAGGGCCACAACAGGACTTCCACTTGGAAATAGGAATAGATCATTAAAGGGTGAATGTGTTAATTAGATAATTAGAAATAAAGGGTTATCTTCATGGTGAGGGGTAAAATGACCATCAAAATTTGTTTCAATTCAAGAAATCCATGATATATCTCAGAAACACAGTTCTGTATGTCTTGGACCAGCTCTCTAAGTCTTCTCATCACCTAGAATTTATAACCATTGACACTTCCTCCCATCTCATTTATTTCATATTGTGTATCACTCTTCTAGGCACTGCAATGACTTCTAAAGCTTGAGCTTTTATGTGCCAAGCGCAAAAGTAGGAAGTTCGCAAAGTAAAAATATAAATGAGTAACAATTATATAAAAAATACTTTATTGCACTAATTATAAAAATGAATTTATATCACAATGTTAAAATATTTTAGCTATCAAATTAACAAAGTTGTATTAAGTTAATGCTCACAGCTTATCTTAGGCCATTTTCTGTTGCTTATAACAGAAAGCCTGAAACTGGGTAATTCATAAAAAAATTTATTTCTTACAGTTATGGAGGCTAAGTACAATGCTGAGGGGGCACATCTGGTGAGGACCCTCCTGCTGGCAGGGACTCTGTGAGGTCGCAAGGTGGCACAGGGCTTCACATGGTGAGGGGGTGAGCATGTTAGCTCAGGTCTTTCTTCCTCTCCTTAAAAAGACACCAGTTCCACTCCCATGATAACCCATTAATCCATCAACCCATTAAACCATTAAGTCATGAATGTAAAAATTCATTCACGAGGGCAGAGCCCTCATCACACAAGCACCTCTTAAAAGTCCCACCTCTCCCCTTCTAGCTTGAAAAGTAAAAAAAATAAAATAAAATAAATGAGCAACAACAACAAAAAAGTCCCACCTCTCAATACTGCCACATTGAGAATTAAATTCCAACATGAGTTTTGGAGGGGACAAACACTCAAACCACAGCACAGATGCTGTTATTCAGTGAAACAATCTCCAATGCATTAGAATCTCAATGCCGGCAATGACCCTGTGAGATAGATGCTGTTTCTATTTCATATTCAGGGAAAATGAAAGTACAAGAATACAAAGCCTCTCTCTGTTTAAATTGTCTCACCCCCAAACTCATTCTCTTTATCCCTTGAGACTGTGTTCAGGTATTATCTGTCTCAGGAAATCTTCTGGAAACATACAATCTTCAGGAGGGCTTGGTGTACTCCATAATCTGCAGAGTATCCCTCCATCTCTGAACTTGTACATCATTTTACATGCCTGCGTTTATGGCTCTTACTTTTCTTACGTTTTTGTTTTATTTTGTTTTTTTGTTTTGAGATAGAGTCTCACTGGGTTTCCCACTGGAGTGCAGTGGAGTGATCACGGCTCACTGTAGCCTCAACTTCCCTGGGCTCAGGTGATCTTCCCACTTCAGCCTCTGGAGTAGCTGGGACCACAGGCACGTGCCTCTTACTTTTCTAATGGACTAAGATTATCATGAAGGTATTGATTGCTGTAATCAATTTCTGCATATAACCCCCCAACCTTGGCTCCCCGCATACCTTTAACTGGGCCAGCTTCAATAAATGTATGTTAATTAAAGACTCAAAAATGATGAGCCAGATACAAACCTCTGCCTTTATGACTTCAGAACTCAGACTTTTTCTAATACATGATGGGGCCTTGCTGAATTAGTTGAAGTCTAACTTCTGATGGGTTTGAAAACAAAGCATAAAGGTCAAACATGCCTTTACCAGGCATGTGTGATGCACCTTATTTAAAAAGAGCTTGTTGTACATTTCTCAAAGTAGATGACAATCTATTGATGGGCATTATATTCCCAAGGGAATGGGCACCCTTCAGGAACCAACTAGTCTTTAATTGGCAGGGAACTAGAGACTATTAAGACAAACCTGTACCCAACTAGACTCTTATCCTACTCTCTCCCAGTTTCTTAATTCCCAGAGTCCAGGCTCCCACAATGAATGAACTCGAAAATGAGTGATTGCTTGAGCATTTCCCATGCTCCAGGCAATGAGCAATTTTGCTTGCTTTATTGCATTTACCCTCACACTAATACTGCAAGGTAGACTTGAGACTTTATTTTCCAACCGAGGAAATTGTGGTTCACAAAGGTGAGAAAATTGGCTCCAGGTCACCCAGAGAGTGGGCATCAGAGTTAGAATTTAAGCTGGGCCTGTCTGACTCCAAAGCCAGTCTCCTAACCACTGTGCTGCATGCTGCGTCAGCTCCCTGCTTCTCCCTCACACTCTGTGACTGGGTTCAGCAAAGCTGTCTCCAAAGCGTGGCCCACCGAAGTCAGGGATGACAGTAGCAGTGTTTTGTGCACACCACTTCCAAGGCCAGTCATTCACATGGTCATGCCACTGATACTAGCGACCTCTGCCCCTCAAAGCAGCGCTGCCCCTCCTCCTACTACTACTTACAACTTTTCTGGGCCTCTTTTTTTTTTTTTAAACCGGATTCAGCACAATCAAATTTTCCTATTATAGTAGCCAGCTACAGGTCACCACCTCTCTCAAATTGAAAATTATTATAGATAGCTTTTTTTCTTCCTCTGTGTATATATGTTTCAGAAAATAGAGATGTTTTATTTCTCTAATGTCTCATCTTCTTGGTCAGCTTTGGTGGACAAGTTGAAGCTCAGCTATAACTTTTCCTGCATTTTCTTCGAAGAAGCATTGTTTCCTACGGTGACTTTTATTCAATTGAATTTAAAACCCCAGATGAAAGTGAATACATGTCACTCAGCAGGCAATTCACATACACACACATACACAAAAGGAAGGCTTCCAGGCAGATGAGATAGTTACAGTAAATTTAATTCAATCCAACCAGCCTTTGTCAGATATCTTTAGGAAGAGGAGAGAGAGAAAGAAAATTTTGCTTCCTGAGCATCTACTATGTGCCAGGCCAGTGCTAGGTGCTTCATAACTCTGCTGTAGGATATTTTCCTCATTTTAAAAATAATCCTGACACCACTCCAACATGTGAGGTGTAAAAGGATGTATGAGAAATGAGGTTCATAGCCAATGATGAATACCAGTTAAAGAAATCTGAAATTCCTTCAGTCATAGGGAGCCATCTAGTCACAGACTTTAACAGGCTCCACCGTCAGACTTAGGTCCCCAAAGCTCCAGGCGGCATGAGCAGCACATCAGCAGCCTCTTCCCAGCTGCAGGTGTGTGTGGGGATGTGGGAAGTGTCTGGAGACTGTGGGCCTCAGGCTGCGTGACTATTTGGATCCACCCTGCCTTTTTGGCTCAGTATCTGTGATTGGACTCCTTGGTCCCTATTAATAATTTGAACCCACCATGCACACACCTGGCCGGATCCCAGTTCTCTTCCCTGACCTCCTGTCCTGCCCCTTCTTCCCTGGCACCAGCCTGGGCTTGGCCAGGAATGAACAGTCTGCAGGAGCACAGAACATAACAGTGAGAGTTTCCTCCCTCTGCCAGGGCATTCCTAAGTCTCCCAGGTGTGGTCTTCCCATGTTCTGAAGAAACCCATAATGTGGGCATCTGTGTGCTCCTCAGCTTGGAAGAGAACATTGGGCTCTGCTTCCCCATCCCATTGCCATACCAGCCTGTGTTCCTTTTGTCCATTCTTGTTGCCCAACACCAGGTAGCTGATGTGTGAACTGTGCAATAATCTCTCAGGGATAAGGCTACAGACATTTCTCCTGAGCCTCTTGGCCCTTCTTTTGATTCTCTGAGGCTGGGACACTGAGGTCCTTAGTTTCCCCAACTCTTTTTGGAGAGTGAGACTGAGTAGAATGGTTTCCAGCCTAGGCTTACCCCAGGGTATCTGCCAAGTAGGTTGGATTCTGTAGCTAGTACCATTTCCTCTGCTAGTGAGTGTTGCAGGAAGTCAGGGACCCCAAACAGAGGGACTTGCTGGAGCCACAGCAGAGGAACATAAATTGTGAAGATTTCATTTTAATATGGACACATCAGTTCCCAAAATTAATACTTTCATAATTTCTTACGCCTGTCTTTACTGCAATCTCTGAACATAAATTGTGAAGATTTCATGGACATTTATCAGTTCCCAAATAATACTCATAATTTCTTACACCTGTCTTACTTTAATCTCTTAATCCTGTTATCTTTGTAAGCTGAGGATGTATGTCACCTCAGGACCACTATAACTGTATCTAACTGTACAAATTGATTGTAAAGCATGTGTGTTTGAACAATATGAAATCAGTGCACCTTGAAAAAGAACAGAATAACAGCGATTTTCAGGGAACAAGGGAAGACAACCATAAGGTCTGACTGCCTGTGGGGTTGGGCAGAATAGAGCCATATTTTTCTTCTTGCAGAGAGCCTATAAAAGGACATGCAAGTAGGGAAGATATCACTGAATTCTTTTTCTAGCAAGGAATATTAATAATTAAGACCCTGGGAAAGGAATGCATTCCTGGGGGGAGGTCTGTAAATGGCTTCTCTGGTAGTGTCTGTCTTATGCAGTTGAGATAAGGGCTGAAATACGCCCTGGTCTCCTGCAGTACCCTCAGGCTTATTAGGGTGGGGATAAAAACACTCCCTGGTAAGTTTGAGGTCAGACCTGTTCTCTGCTCTCAAACCCTGTTTTCTGTTGTTTAAGATGTTTATCAAGACAATACGTGCACAGCTGAACATAGACCCTTGTCAGGAGTTTTTGATTTCACCCTTTGCCTTGTGATCTTTGCTTTGCCCTTTGCCTTGTGATCTTTACTGGCCTCAGAAGCATGTGATCTTTGTTCTCCTTTTTGCCCTTTGAAGCATGTGATCTTTGTGACCTACTCCCTGTTCGTATACCCCCTACCTTTTTGAAGTCCTTAATAAAAACCTGCTGGTTTTGCAGCTCAGGTGGGCATCACAGTCCTACCGATATGTGATGTCACCCCTGGAGGCCCAGCTGCAAAATTGCTCTCTTTGTACTCTTTATTTATCAGCCAGCCAACACTTAGGGAAAATAGAAAGAACGTACATTGAAATATTGGGGGCAGGTTCCCCCAATAAGTGAGAAGTCACCAATGTTGGTTGAGTACTGCTCTGGGGTTCTTTATTATCTGTGAGTATTGGTAACCCTCAAAGAAGTTTGAAGTGGATGAGGATTAGCTGTTCCCCCTACTCTTGTCACTAGGTTATATTAAAAGCATGTTTTAGACCAAAATCTATCACAAGATGGGATATCATGAAATAACCATTCACTGGGAAAGATGACACAAATAGTTTATACAACCTTCTCTGACAGCCTGAGAAAAAGCCAGCCTTTTTCTTCCAGGGACCACAAACATTTCTTGAAAGCTCAAAAGGGGCAAACATCAAAATTCCAGGTGCAGGGTTCTATTTATATGCAACTTAGAATCCAGCATTCACAGTGGAACATGAGATGCTTAGGGGGTTAGCCCAAGGTACCCCTAAAAGTGAAGGGAACAGGCCTTACTGGGCTTCATAATCTATTCATCAAAGGCAGAATGTTTCTAAGAGTCAGACACAAATTCCAAATATCTTCGCTTTGATCAAAAAGAGCTCTTTTTACATATTTATCAGACTAATTAACAAGTCACTGGTCTTACCCATAGGAATTCCTTTCTGACATTTGGTATGTGTATTATTCACTCCTCCTTTGAGGTAGGAGAGATCAGATAACAAAGTGCTTTAGCAGTTGCCTCTGGGATTTCAGCTCTTCCATACATAGGGTTAAAACTCCTTACCCCATGCTAAAATCCAAAAAATTCTGAAAGCTGAAAGATTTGATAACACGTTTGAAGGCAAAATATGACCCTGTATGAACTTCTTGTGTAGCAAAACCTCACCTGAACCATAGTAAAGTCATTTATGGCCTTACAAACTCCATTTCACTTGACCATTATCATATGTTACAGCAAAATATTAATAGGTTTTATTACTGGGTCCTGCCACAGGTCCTAGTGAGCCACACATAATATCCAGTCCAGGCACATCATTTCTTTTCTAAAATACAAAAAACCTCTGAATTCTTAAATATATCTCCCCTCAATGGAGTCACATAAGAGACCACATAGACCAGTGAAATCCAAGGTGATTACTCCTAGATCTGCTTGAGTAAGGAGTTGACAAATAGATGTGCAGACTGCATAGCCTCTGGCACTTACTCCTCCATCTCTCTCTTATCTAATTCCCAGGACTGATGGATTACAGCCTAAGAGCCCATGTCAAATCACTTTTTCCTGTGCGTTTAGAAGTGAAACACTGACCTGAAAAGTGCCTGCAGGGAAAGAAAGCATGAGTAATTAAAGTAAATCCACAGTACTTATGCTCCTCACACTAGGGATTATCCCCTCCCCTCTCCTTCAACTCCTCAAAACTGAGAGAACCAGACCAGGGTCTGCCTTCAGACCCATCTCAAATACCTATTACCAGACAGAGAATCAAATACCTCCATGGGAGTTTGAGCTCAAAATGATAAGTCTCCTGTAACTACCTCAAATACAAGACCAGAACCTTGGAAGGTGCACAAAAGCTAAAGGTGAAGAAGCACTGAATAAAGAATTTAAAATAAGCATACTCAATACACATAAAGAGCTAAGGAAGGATATTAACTATGTAAAACAAAGACAGGACAAGATGTTTTAAATAATAATAAAAGAAAAACAAAAGGAAAGATTAGGTATGGAATAGATAATAGTTGAAAGAAGGAAAACAGTATGGAATAGATGGCTAAATAATAGAATAAAATAAGCTCCAGAATTAAATTGTGAATTATAAAGCAAATTGAGAAACTTTTCAAGAAGGCATGAGTTAGAAGGTGTCTTAGTTCATATACTGCTATAACAGAATACCTGAGACTGGAAATTTATAAAGAATAGAAATTTTATTTATTCCAGTTCTACAGACTGGGAAGTCTAAGGTCAAGGGCCTTCATCTGGTGAGGGCCTTCTTGCTATGTCATCCATTAGTGGAAGGTGGAGAGGGAAGAGATTATACACAAGTGAGACAGGATGGGGACAAACTCATCCTTTTATTAGGAACTCATGTGCAAAATAACAGCATTAATTCATTCATGAGGACAAAGCCCTCATGACCTAATCACCTCTTAAAAGACCCACATTTCAACACTGTCACATTGGGGATTAAGTTTCCAACACATAAACTTTGGGGAACGTAGTCAAACCATAGCATTAGGCATCAAGGGATGGGAAACAGTAAATATCAAATATTTTCTCCTTCATTTTATCAAATATGAATTTAATTGAAGTTTTTCCTGATATTAAACCATCCTTGCCTTATATTTTATTAGTTTCTTAAAACTATGAGCTAGGTTAATAACATTTTTTAATATACTCGTCAATGATTTTTTTTAAAATTAATGTTTTACTAGCCTTTTAAAAATAATTGAGTAAGTTTTCCTCTTTTTTCCTCTGGAAGACAGTGTAAATTATCTTTTTCTTTAAAACTCATTTATAAAAGTATTTGGTTCCAGTAATTCATATATAACTATGTTATATTTATACTAAATCTCTCCATGCTACCTCCTAATTCACTAATTCTCCTTTCAACTGCATACTAAACTAGAGGACTCCCCCCTCCTTTACTTTCTCTTTGTCTTCTTTCTTTTGTCCCTTGCCACCATCAGACAATGTTTCAGATATTTCAGCGTGCTTTTACCACATTTTGTCATCAAGGATCCCAGTAGGAAACAAATGACACATTCAAAATGTTAAAGGGGTTTAATAAAGGGTCTATTTCCAGAGGTGAGGGCAGGGTATGAGCAGACCACAAGAATAGTGAAATACACTGGGCTATAAACAGAGGGGCTATAACTTACCCATAGGCCCATACCATAGGATAGGACTAGGGAAAGGAGAGATGATCAGAATCTGGAAGTCTTATGGAGACTACCTTGGCCTTCTGTTTGAAGGTACAGCCCAAATGAGTTGCGAGCCTACAGCAAGAGCGTAAATACTATAAACACCTTGATCTCACTTTCACTCCTCCTGTAGCAATCAAATTGGAGAGCAAACCTGGAAAGGTCAACAAACTTTATTCAGCACGCTGATCTTCACCCAAATCATGAAACGCATGAATGTCCAATAACTCAGTGTTTCACAGCCAACTTGACATAGATACAATGCATGATAGGAAGCAGTTGAAGACAATTTAGTGCTCTTGTAATCACACATTTTCTCATTTGTTTCTGTCAGTTCCCAAGGAAGCAAGACTGTTTTGGTCATCTTCCCACCACCAGCACACAAACCAAAACCCAGAATACAGCATGTGCTCAGTAAATTGTAGATGAATGACAGTAATAACACAGTGCGACCTTATATGAGTCCCATGACTTTTTAGCCCTAGTTTTATTTAATTTTTTGAGAATGAGAAGCTGGATTGGAGGATCTCTAAATTTCTTGAGAACAATGGTAGTCCTTATATCTATGACTCTAAGAACTTCCATTCATCCTTGTTAATGAACGTTGAAAACATCCTTTGTTATTCAGAGGCCTGGGTATTCCGGTTGACCTCCAAATACTATAACAGAAACTAGAGTCTTTGGACAAAGTTAACAAGTGAGCCCAGATTCTCCACTGTCTAAATACCCTCACAGTTGAATAGCTTATTCATGTTGTTGTTTATTCATGACTCCCTTATCCCATCTGTCCTGCTGTGGCCTCCAAGGACAAATTTCCAGCTATTCAGAAAGCCACAGCTGCCTCGGCTGCATGACTACAATGACTTCTTGAGAAGCCAAGGATATTATAAGAGAAAGACTTTTGGATTTATCTCATCTCATGCTTTATTGGCACAAAAGGTATTCTGTGCACACACCTAATATAGAGAAAAGAACTAGCATTCGCGAAGCACCTGTTCTTTTACTTCATTGGATCCTTACAAGAGTCCCATGTAAGAAGGAGACAGGATTGCCTGGTCTGTACATGAAGCTCTAAGCAGCTAATTCATTGCCAATGTTACCTAACAAATGAGCGGCAGAGCAGAGAAGGAGAAAAAAATTCCAGCTTTCTTGAGCCCAATCTAGCATTGTTTCTGAAAGTGTTTGTTGGATGATTCACGGCGTCACACCTCTGTTGGGCTGATTTGGTGTTTTGAACATGCCTGCCCTAACCAAAGATGGTTCAAAACCCTCTGCTCTTGCTGCTTGGTGGCTGACAGAATTTACCACACCATCTATAATAGTAATAATAATGATAGTAATATTATTTAATTCAATTTAAATTGAATTGAAGAGTAATGACAATAATTGCAGTTAATATTTTGGTAGAGTCACTCTATGTCTGGCCCCCGTACTCAGAACTTTACCAAAATCAACTCCTTCTAATCTCACAGTAACCTTCTGTTGTAGATATTAATATTATCCCAATTCTGCCAATAAGAAAACTGAGACACAAGTCAAATCACTTGGCTAAGGTCATACAGGCAATAAGTGGCCAAGCCGAGCTTCAGCACAGACAGTCTGGTTTCTGAGCCCATGTATTCTACCACTACTCTATCATCTCTCTCAACCACCTTGCAGAAAAATAGGGCAGTACGGCATTAATAGCACATAATAAATAAGAAAACCAAGGCTTGGAAGGTGGAAGTGACTTCTTGATAAACAACATACTGTGTAAGTTATTAATAAACAGGTCTAACCTGCCTACAGAGCCAAGATTCTTACCCAGGTCCGGCATCCTGAGAATATACATCTATTTCTACTTCTTTGGGTACTTGTGGGACTAAACAAAATGATGGACAGGGAATTTACTGTAAAGATAGTATCTTGGCTATCACTGGTTTCTTTACCTTTTTTTTTCTCACTTTTAATGCATCATGACCTTTTAGTAACTGGTAGAGCCAGGACTCAAACATAGTTTTTGCAACTCAGCCCCCAAGTTCTACTGTGTATATACATAACTATTGTCAGTGCTCTGCCAGCTGCTTTCAGCTGTATGTGAATGAGTTGATGAGCTTCTCTACAAGGTGTAAGCTACAGAATAGACTTCTGGAAGTGGAAATAGAGCAGCTACCGCAAAGGCAGCCTTGATTGGTGGTTTCATATAGTTCAAGCTAAACTGAAAGCCCAGATGCTACCAAGACATGGGATCAAGTATCAGATGAAGGTGGGAGGACCCCAGGAAAAATCCAGATGGCAGCCTTGTAGTGGCATTAGAGAAATACGTCAGTCTTCATCACTCATCATCCTTTCAACAGATGACTATGGGGCACCCATATGTGCCAGCTTATATGAATCTGAGACAGTAGACTTATTAATCCTACACTCTGAGAATTTACAGTTTAAGGGAAGATGTGCATAAGTAAGGAGGAACTTGCAATGTGAGGTGAGAAGGGCTGCAGTTGGAGCAGTGTGCCCACTATTAGAAGCACTGGAAAATCAATTGGGCAGCTTCTTTCTTTCTTTCTTTCTTTCTTTCTTTTTTTTTTTTTTTTTTTTTTTTTGACGGATTCTCGCTCTTTTCCCAGACTGGAATGCAATGGCACAATCTTGGCTCACTGCAACCTTCCCATTCCGGGTTCCAGCAATTCTCCACCTCAGCCTCCCGAGTAGCTGGGACTACAGGCGCATGCCACCACACCCGGCTAACTTTTGTGTTTTTAGTAGAGACAGGGTTTCACCAGGTTGGCCAGAATGGTCTTGATCTCTTGACCTTTGATCCTCCCACTTCAGCCTCCCAAAGTGCTGGGATTACAGGCTTGAGCCACCACCAGCTTTTTAAAATTGGTGATGCCCAAGGGCTATTCCAGACTACTGGAATGGGAATCTCTAGTGGTGGGATCTAAAAATTATCATTTCTTAAAAGCTCCCAGGTGAGTGTGTGGCTGGTGTTGACAAGCACCACCAGAGCAGGAAGCACAGGATGCCATGTGGGGCCTTGGAGGAGTCCCCAGCACCACCTTAGAGAAGAGGGGAGGCTGCTGGCAGGAAGGGGTAGATGAGCTGAGACCTGAAGGGGGAAAAAGCCAGGCTCAGGGGAGGTGGACAAAAGGGAAAGGAGTGTTAAGAATCTTTTAAGAGAAACTTGAATTCCTGGAATAATTTCAATTCCTGTTTTAACTTGACTACTTGTTCTCGTCTCTCACACTACACTGGCCCCAGTGTCTCTGCCTAATGAGATGCAGTCTGACCATATTACAATGGAAACCACTCCTCACACAATCTGAGAATCAGTCTCTTGGCAGCTCTCCTATTCCTTTATGGAGAGTAGCTGACGAAGGCCAGAGAGAGACTTCAGACCCACTAGAACATTCCAACACTCAGTTCCTCAAATGCAAGTTATCTGAGGAATGAAATGACTAAAGGGGAACTCTGAGGGGAAGTTGGTTCAGTCAACTGAGACTCACTAGCAGATCTCAGTGTCAATACCACTTCCTCTGAGAAGCTGTCCCTGATCTACCAAATGGTAGATCTTCGTCATTGCACTGCTGCATCATTGCATCATTCCACACCTGCACTGTTCTTTGTAGCATTCATTATATTTGCAGTTATTTGGTCAACATCTGTCCTCCTTGAAGGTCTTTGTATTAGTCAGGGTTCTCTAGAGGGACAGGATTAATAGGATATATGTACATATGGAAGGGAGTTTATTAAGGAGAATTGACTCACACAATCACAAGATAAAGTCCCACAATAGGACATGTGCAAATTGAGGAGCAAGGAAGTCAGTGGTAGATCAGTTTGAGTCCCAAAACCTCAAAAGTAAGGAAACTGAAAGTGCAGCTTTTGGTCTGTGGCCAAAGGCTCAAGAGCCCCTGGTAAGTAAGTTCAAGAGTCCAATAGCTGAAGAACTTGGAGTCTGATATTTGAGAGCAGAAAACATCCAGTATGGGAGAAAAATGAAGGCCAGAGACTTAACCAGCATAGTCCTTCCATATTATCTTGCCTGCTTTTATCCTAGCTGTTCTGGCAACTGATTAGATGGCACCCACCAAGACTGAGGGTGGGTCTGCCTCTCCCAGTCCACTGACGCAAATGTTAATCTTCTTTGGCAACAGCCTCACAGACACACCCAAGAACAATACTTTGCATCCTTCAATCCAATCAAGTTGATACTCAGTATTAACCATCACAATCTTTAAGGCCATGAAAGCAGGAATCTATATATCTTAGTTACAGCTGTATTCCAAGAACTTAACATCATGCCTGGCACATAGTTGGTGCTCAATAAATATTGGTTAAGTAAATAAGTAGGTGGATTTATAAATAAATGGATAGGTGGAGATTGGAGTGATAGAGCAGCACCATTTATAGGATTCTCTTCTCCTTTAGGTACCCGTAAGGCCTGACATCAAGCCCTCCAGGAGAACAGGGGGCTATTTTCATTTCACAATACCTTTGTCCTTACCTGGGGTTAACAAACCAGCTACAGACAGATAAGGATAGCTACAGGCAGACTTGCATTTCTTTGTATCTTCAGCAACTTGCATAAAACCACAGAGCCTCAATTTCCCATCTTTTAAATTGAAAATAGTAACACCTGCTTTACAGGGATTTTTCTAAGAGAAAATTTTAAAAGCTCCAGATATTCTGCTGGGCACTTGGTTGAGATGCAAGTGAGAAATGTTCCCTCCTCATCCTATTTCTCTGTTCAGTTTTTTCACCAAAATATCTGGCTTTGAGGAGATGAGCATATAGCACTCTTTTCTTCCTTTCCTGAGTTCAGAACCTTTTAAGAAATGGAAGCCAGAGAAATGAAGACCAAAATAACAGCTTAATTATTGATCCGCCTATATCAGAGGATGTGGCTTAGATGTGTGACCTCATGGGGCTTGCTAATTAGACACAGCCATTTGCCCACCATTGGCTTGGCTGAGCCACTGTAAGACCTCACGTTCCAAGTCCAGCACACTGCATGCACTGTCAAAAATGATTCTGGGCCTGAGAGAGGATTATAATTTCCTACCTCTTTGACCTCAGGCTTGGTCATATAACTTCTGAGAGCAATAAAAATGCAAGCAAAAGTGATGACTAAAACTTCTGAGTAGAAGCTCTTGAAGTCAGAGGGTGTTTGTCTTGTCTTTTAATCCCTCTGCTATAAGACCAGTGTCTTAGCTTGAGCCACTGTAATAAAATGCCATAGACTGGGTGGCTCAAACAACAGAAATATACTTTCTTGTAGTTCTGGAACCTGGAAGTCTGAGATCAGAGTGCCAGCATGGTCAGGTTCTGGTGAGGTTCTCTTTCCTGGCTGCTTACTAATCATGTCCTCACATGGCCAGAAAGAGAGACAGAGAGACAGAGACAGAGAGATCCCTGTAGTCTCTGTAGTCTCTTCTTATAAGGGTACTAATCCTGAGGGTCCCACCCTCATAACTATATCTAAACTATATCTAAACTATATCTATAACTATATCTAAACATGATTATTCCTAAGGCCACATCTCCAAACTCCCATTGTGAGTTAAGACTTTAACATATGAATTTTGGGGCAATGTAATTCATTCCATAGTATCCAGCAATGTTCCAGAAATAGACTCTTTATAAGCCTGGACCAGGAGTGAAGACCCTGTGGGATGAAGACAACAGCTGATTCATGAACGGCAGGTATCCTGGTACTCTTAAGCCGCCGAAGCTTTGAGGTTATTAGTATGGCAGCATGCCCTAGCCCGTCCTAACTGCAATACCACCCTAGTCTCTACCATATTCCCAGGTGAACTTACCCCATGGATGTTGTAGGCCATTTTCTCATTGCTATAAAGAAACACCTGAAACTGGGCAATTTATAGGAAAAGAGGTTTAATTGGCTCATGGTTCTGCAGGCTATATAGGAAGCATAGCACTTGCATCTGCTTCTGGGAAGGCCTCGGGAAGCTTTTGCTCACTGCAGAAAGTGAAGTGGGAGCAGGCACATCACACGGCCAGAGCAGGAGCAAGAGAGAAAGAAGTGCCATGTGCATTTAAATGACCAGATTTCACGAGAACGGACTATTACAAGAACAGCATCAAGGGGGTGACGGTAAAACACTCAAGAGAAATTCGCCACCATGATCTAATCAGCTCCCACCAGGCCCCACCCCCAACACTGGGGATTACAATTCAACATGAGATTTGGGTGGGGACAAATATACTGACTATATCAATGGGTGAATGGAAAAATTCACCCTCTCTATGGACAAGCAGTTTTGAAAGAGGAGAGAGAAGAGACAGAGTTGGACATGCTCTTTATCTCTCCCCAAATTCAGCCATTAGTGAAGTTATTTCTGCTTCAGTCATGGATTGTTCAGTTTATATCTTCCCCTCCTGCAGGGAGGAGTAAAAATTCCCTTCTAATTATGGAAACCTATTCAGTGGCAAATAAAGTGAACTTATTTTCATGCAGGTATGAATAGAGCAGGACACTGATGCTGAGCAGAGGTGTGGCATGATATCTTTAAATAGCCATACAAACTATCTGTGTAATAGGGATTTTAGTATTCTAATTTGTAACCCAGAGTTTGGAGTGTTCTACAACATATCCTATCCTAAGCATTGATTCCCAGTGCTGCATTTTTGCTCACTCTGGTTATTACCATAAGGTCTCTTAAAGGATGGTACCAGGTCTAATTTAGATCATATTCCTCACACAACCTCTTACCATTCCAGCCACACATGATCAGCTCTTGGCATTCACAAGTTCTCAGTAAATAATTGTTCTGTATGCTTTTCAACTTGAGATGTGGCTCCCAGCACCTGCTCCCTTCTTTTTGTGCTTCTCTAGAACAAATTCCAAGAGCCCTGGGGCCAGTGAGAAGGCATCATCCAATCCTTTTCTACAGCATCCAGCATTTCTGACAGTCCTGAATCTTTTATCATTGTGCTCCCTCCTGGCCAGGGATCCACCAGCTCACTGTCGCAGCTGCTCCTGCCAAATCCTATCCTTGGGAGTGTACTTGGCTTTTCTGCAGCATTATCTCCAATCCCCCTGCCAAGAACAGAGGAAGGTAAATGACACTGTGCACAAATGAAATGAAGCCCAACTACAAAAATTGTGCTGTATTTTTTTTTTAGACCTAGATTCAATAAATAGACAAGTCAGGAAGAATCTTACATAACATTTGGCCAAACCTCCTAACTTCCCCCATTGAGAAAAACAAGACTGAAAGAGTTTGTGGGATTTGTTCATGGCGCCCAGTAGGAGAGTCATGAGTCTTTCCACGTTGCCCTGAAGAGCACTGATCACTTATAGTGCTGCACGTCTCATGAATATTCTCATACTATAAAGATGTATGTAAATACTTCAATTCACCTCCACAGTTAGCAAACCAAACATCTCAGTCAATAAATATTTTCCTTATGTCAGATCATCTAGTAGAGAAAAGCTTTGCTATATTCTGCACCAATGAAGCATAGGCCTTAAGAAGCCTTTCATGTTTCAGTTTGCTCTGTCATCTTCATGGCTAGCAGAGGACAGGCCACCAGTCCCAGATAGAGGATGAGATACATGTGGAACAGAACTGCCCAAACCAAGCCCAACCTAGGTCAGCCAATCTCCAGCAGAGCCATAGACACATAAGAGAGCCCAGCCAAGCCAAGTCTGCATCAGCTGCACCCCAGCCAACTTGCAGTCATATGAGCAGTAATGAATAATTGCTGTTTTAACCACCGTTTACTTGGGTAGCTTGATGTGATCATTAATTTTATGTGTCAGTTTGACTAAGCCATGAGATGCCCAGATATTTGGGCAAATATTATTTCTGGGTGTGCCTGCAAGGGGATTTCTGGATAAGATAAATATTTGAATCAGGAGACTGAGTGAGCAGATTGCCCTTCCCAATGTGGGTGGGCCTCATCCAATCTGTTGAAGACCTAACTAGGATAAAAAGCTGAGAAGGAAAGAATTCTCTTCTCTGCCCGACTGACTTTGAGCTGGGACATCAGTCTTCTCCGGCCTTCAAACTCGAACTCAAACTGAAACTTACACCATTGGATCTTTGGATTCTTAGACCTTTAAGCTGGGAACTTCAACTGGAAATATACCACTGGCTCTCACAGATCTCCAGCTTGCTGACTGCAGATCTTGGACTTTTCAGCCTCCATAATCATGTGAGCCAATTTCTTACAGTAAATCTTTCTTTAGATGGATAGATAGATAAATAGATAGATAGATAAGATAGACAGATGATAGAGATATTTCTTACTGCTCTGTTTCTCTGGAGAACTCAGACTAACACAATACCCCAACTAATGAGGTAGCTTGATACTCCAGTTAATGAGGGAATTATTATCTAGCCTCTTCTCTTCCATCCCTATCACCTCTGACAAACTTGAGAGCTGCATTTTTCTTTCCCCCAAACTTTTGCCACCTCTTATTAATGGCCTACCTTCTTCTTTTCCCATCCTTTTCTAATCCATCTTCCACATTATTATAAAATTGTTTTCTAGAAGACCATCTGTCTAACTTTCCCTCCTGCTAAAAGTCCATGAGTCATAACAACAGTAGCAACACTCATAAAGCCACACAAAGTTAAAAGCACAATTTTCAATGTTTTACATAATTCAACTCATTAAATTCTCCCAACAACCCTATAAAGTGGATACTTATATTTTTCCCATTTTGCACACGAGGAAACAGCAGAGTGATGAAGTCACTTGTCTAACACCAGTGGAACATGGATCCGTACCTAGTAGTCCAGTCTCCAAGGCTCTACTCTATGGCACATCTCAGTCCCTTTTGTCTTCAGGAAAAAAACCCATGCTCCTTAGCACAGAGACCCTTCCTGAGGTAACCTTCAGGCCACCACACTGAACAACTCCAAAGAAATCACGCATAGTCTAATGCACCTTGCCTGCCTCTTGAATTCTCATGACTCCATATCTGAAACTATTGTATATTCTGTCCTCCACCCATGAAAAATGACTTAAAATTCTGAAACACATGATAGAATTTCTAACCTCATTGTGTTTATACAGGCATCTCTCTCCATCTGCATGCCCTTCCTCCCAGGCCACTTGGAAAGCTGCTCTCTTGAGCCTCCACCATCTTGCCAGTTCTGCAATTCCCCTTTTGAGACTCCAGGCAGCAGGCATGGCTTCCACATGCCCATCGAGGCTGGAGTTCACTCTGTCATGGCACTACTTCACTTAACTGGACTGACTTATTCAACACTTCTGCCTCTCTTAGGTCTACAGCTATGTATAAAATCTTGTAGGACCTTAATATATACTAACTGAATAAACTGAATTAGTGATTCAATAAATACGTCCTTAGGGTTTATTGAAACAAAGAGAGTGTTAGAGATTCCAGAAGATCAACAAGAACCACAGGAATGGCCTAATTCTTGGGTATAGATACAGTGCAGAGTACTCTCCTGCTGATTAGCTAATGCTTCTAATTCCCCCATTAGCATTTGACTCTTAGCTTAAAGTCATGACCAAAGAAAGGAGCAAGTCCCCCTGGGAGGGGTTACACTGAAGCTGGAATCATTAAAATGAACATCAGTGAGGAAAAATCAGTTTAGCACTTCCTGGAACGCAGGCCTCAGAAGGGTCAGAACCTCTGGAGAAGGGGATGGAGGTGGCGGGCAGGAACACTGGGCTACTGAGACACTTCTCAGAGCTTGTCAGACTAAGATCTGGAATAAACAGCCCTGAACTCCTTCCCAGCTCAATATTCAGTTATTTTATGGCGACCTTTTCTTCTCACAGACACATCCCTCCTCCAGCCACCCTTTTCCCCAGGCTGTGGAAACCACGCAAATGAGTTGCAGTGTTTTTGTAATTGTTGATTCTGTGAGGCTAAGGCGGGTAATAGAAAGAGCACTGATTTGGAGTCAAAGACTCCATATCCAAGCCCTGGCTTTGCCATTTCCAAACCGTGTGTTTCTGGACAAATTGCTTTAATGGTCATATATTATAAGTTCTTCCTCTGTGCCAGGCCCTCTGCCCAGGATTTTACATCTAGTGCTTCCAGTCCCTCAGCTCTGTGAAGGAGGCAGCACTGTCGGCATTTCATCCATGAAGACACAGGGGACCATGGCCACCGAGCGCATGCCCAAGTCCATCAGCCCAGCAAGTGAATGGATGAAAACCCCAGCACAGCTCAGTTCGCTCCAACTCCAGCTCTTCCTATGTGCCATGAGTCTCAGTTGGTTCATCTGTAAAATGAAGGGGCTGGAACAGTTGCCCTCCCGGCTCTTTTGTTTTATGACTTGATATTTGCTTGTGATTGGGGCAGGTTTGAAATTACTTCAGAGACCCAGCTTCTGCCAAATCGTAATCAAGTTGGCTGCCTGGTCTGAGGCCCGATGAACAATACTGCGTCTGTGGCTCAGCCCTGCTTCATGATGGCCATGGCACATTTCCTGCGGTGTCGAGAGCCCTTTCGGGGGGCGGGGGAGGGGGAGGGGGAAGGGGGGGCGGTGCTGGCCCCGCATCCCTTCATTTCCCATGCTCCATTGCAATAAGTCACCAGCCTTTCAAAACACATCAGTGTGTTCCTTTTTATTGCCATCAAACCCTCTGCTCATATGATGGCTCAATCACTGTGATTTATTTTAATTGAAAAGCCTACCGGCCACCCTCTGCCAATGCAACTGGCCAGCTCCTGTGTCATTTCCTACCAGAACATCCCCTGCCAACCCACAGCATCTGCACAGGCCAGTGAAGGGGAGGAGGTGAGCTCTGAATGGCCATTTGGCCTCAACCTGACATCCAAGAAGATCCTCAAATGTACATTTTAACCTTTTCTCCCCAAATGATAATAGATATAAACTGCATGTATTTTGTAAGTTTTAAAAGCAATCATTTATAATGGCATTTGCAGTAACCTGGATGGAATTGGAGACCATTATTCTAAGTGAAGTAACTCAGGAATGGGAACCCAAACACCCCATGTTCTCACTTATAAGCAAGAGATAAGCTATGAGGATGCAAAGGCATAAGAATGACACAATGGACTTTGGGGACTCAGGGAAAGGGTGGGAGTCAGGTGAGGGATAAAAGACTACACATTGTGTACAGTGTACACTGCTCTGGTGATGGGTGCACCCAATTCTCAGCAATCACCACTAAAGAACTTACTCATGTAACCAAACACCACCTGTTGCCCAAAAAACCTACTGAAATAAAAATAAATAAATAAATAAAAGCAGTCATTTATGAATAGACTGTATTTGTTAAACCCTATTTTGATGTTTTCCTTCCTTTTTAATTTGGTAAAAACATCAAAGAAATGAGAGTAGCCAGCATCTCCTTTAGTCCCTGCGATCTGGGGTTGGTCCAGGTTTTACTCTTGTCTGTCCTGCCCTACAACTTCTCTCTTTTTGTTGTTCAGTTTTTATTTTAATTTTTTTTAACTTATCTTAGGTTCAGGGGTACATGTGCAGGTTTGTTATACAGGTAAACTGTGTGTCATGGAGGTTTGGTATACAGGTTATTTTCTTTCCCAGGTAATAAGCATAGTACACAATGGGTATTTGCTTCTGATCCTCTCCCTCCTCCCACCCTCCACCTTCAAACAGGCCCCAGGGCCTGTTGTTCCCCTCTTTGCGACCATGTGTTCTCGTTGTTTAGCTTCCACTTACAAGTGAGAGCACGTGGTATTTGGTTTTCTGTTCCTGTGTTAGTTTGCTTAGGATAATGGCCTCCAATTCCATCCATGTTGCTGCAAAGGACATGATCTCATTCTTTGTTATGGCTTCATAGTATTCCATGGTGTACATGTACTACATTATTTCTATCAAGTCTTCCACTGATTGCCCTATATCTTTAGCCAAATTATTTCATTTCTCTTGGTCTCAGTTTTCTCAACTGTAAAGCTAAAACGATACTACCTGCCTCACAGGAGTGATTTTTGTTTGCTTTCTTTTGTTTTCTTTTCTTTCTTTCTACTCTTTACAAACTTCTTTATTTTTTGGTGAAGGCCAACTGAGAAAGTATAAGAACGTATATTTACAAATTTGAAATGACCAGACAAAAGCAGAAGATTGTTGTTAGCATTAGGGAAAGAGAAGGAAAAGGAAAATCACCTAAGGAAAAAAGTAAGAAACAAAATTAAGGAGAGAAGTTCTAAGAAGAAAGGGAAGAAGGAAGAGGAAAAAAGGAAAGGCAAGGGCTAAGCGCAGTGGCTCACGCCTGTAATCCCAGCACTTTGCGGGGGCCAAGGTGGGCAGATCACGAGGTCAAGAGATGAGACCATCCGGGCTAACACGGTGAAACCTCATCTCTATTAAAAATACAAAAATTAGTCGGGTGTGGTGGTGGGCACCTGTAGCCCCAGCTACTCAGGATGCTGAGGCAGGAGAATCCCTTGAACCTGGGAGGCAGAGGTTGCAGTGAGCTGAGATCATGCCATTGCACTCCAGCCTGGCGACAGAGTAAGACTCCATCTCAAAATAAAAAAAATAAAAAAAAAAAAAGGAAAGGCAGGAACCCTTTATGTGCAAGGCATTGTTCTTTCATATTTTCCCAGTGGCTCTCTATGTCATTCTCCTAAGAAGCCCATGATAAATCATTTCTCATTCATATTTTACAGAGAAGAAAAACCAAGCTTTTTAAAAAACTTGTCATAGGTTATGTTTACTCTCTTTTCCATAAAGTGGTCAAGATCTAAATGTAGCATTTCCTATTTCAGAGTCCAGGCTGTTTCCTCTGCATTGTACTGATGGAAACACTGATGAAGAACTCACCCTGGTATGGCAAAGAGTTGCACCCAGAACCACTTAGGGCACCACGAGGTTATTATACTCTTATGTGTGGGGTTGGGCAACAGAGAAAGGTACCAAAAACAAACGTAACTTTTTTGTGTGTGTGTGATGGAGTCTCACTCTGTCACCCAGGCTGGAGTGCAGTGGCACCATCTCAACTCACTGCAACCTCCGCCTCCCAGGTTCAAGGGCTTCTTCCATCTCAGCCTCTTGAGTAGCTGGGATTACAGGCACCTGCCACCACCCCCAGGGAATTTTTGTGTTTGTACTAGAAATGGGGTTTCACCATGTTGGCCAGGCTGGTCTTGAACTCCTGACCTCAGGTGATCCACCCGCCTTGGCCTCCCAAAGTGCTGGGACTATAGGCATGAGCTACTGCACCCGGCCAAACATCACATTTTAAATTCTGGTAGGAATCAGGTGTGGTTGTGGAAGTTCCTAGGAAGATACAAAGGAAAAAAAAATTTATTTCTGGTATTTCATGAACTCATTGCATCACAAGGATGGAAAAGAACCAGTCCAACCTCCACCCAATACAGAAATTTTTCCTGCAAGCTAATGGGAAAAGGGTCTCCTATCCTTGGCTAGATTACCTATAGACAATGAGGAGCTCACTACCTCACAAGGCAGCATCCTCCACAGATGCATCCTTTCCTAGGTGAAACTGACAATGTCTGTTCACTGGCTATGGCTCAGCCCTCTAATCCTAACCACTCTTGGACACAAGGAACCTTAAGATATATTCTCAGGTATCTTCTGAAGATTCCTATTCAGAAAAAACAAAACTTTTTATGACAATTTCTCTTTCAATATGGCCATCGCAGGATTGTTAAACTAATATTCATTACCCACTATGGCAATAAATAGCAAGGGCATTTGATGTCTTGCTTGTCAGAGGTTCTGTCTGTCAGGCTCTGCCCCTCTCTCTTTTTTAATATTGATTAGGTTTTCTTCTGATTAATGAAGTGATACATATTAATTGTAGACACCTTAGAAAATAATATGAATAAACAGATCATTCTTAACTTCTAATTCTGGACCAGGCACTGTGCTATATAGACTTTAATATACATTATCTCATTTAAAATTCACAACAGCCCTGCAAGGTCACCTTTATTCCCATTTTAGAGAGAAGACTCATGGTATTTAGGTCGTTTTCTTACGATCACACCCAGGAAGAGAGGATTCAAACCTAACTATCTGCTATAACCCAACAAAGACAATGAAAACCACCAGTAATCTGGAGCAGCATACTCTAGTACATCTTTCCTGTCTTTATTCCACCCACAGAGAGCCATGGTTTTCTTCATCTAATAGGAATCATACTGTATGTGCATACTGTGTAAAGGTGGTGCCATTCCGTGAACGTGATTCTGATCAATGTAATCTTTTCCCTGTTAATAGACATCTAGTCAGTTTCCTACTTGTTTGCCAACATAAATGATACTGTGGAAAACATTCTAAAAAATAGATATTTGTGCAATCTTTTTTTTTCTTAAAATAAATTCCTGAGAACAGAATTATCTCTCAAAAGTACCTGTAGGTGAGCACAATCCTCCCGATAGGGGTACTATTTCATGTAATATAAAAACAACCATGCCCAAAAAGTTCTTTACCTCTTTCCCAGTAATTCTATGAAGGCAGTAACCTTGATTGACTCATTATGCCTTGTTCTCAGGGCTTAAAACATTATCTAGCATATATTAGGCACTCATGAGTATTTGTCAAATGATTTAATGAATGAATGAAATGAAAGTGACTTCATTGAGCCTCATTTGGGAAGAAAGTTTTCATATTCCTTGAAGCTCTTGGGAAATGAATAATTGTATTTATAAAACAAATGCAGCTACATTTACCCAAATGTTTGACACTAGGATGCTTTGTCTTTTCCTGTTCTTCCCTGATTTCCTATACCAGTGGTTATCCTAGGACATACGGGGAAAAAGTCTTTAGACTCCAAAAGACCTGGAGTACAGCCTCAGTTCTTCTACGTATCAGCTATACATGAACTAGGTGTGTGTGTACCAGCTGTGTGTGTACTATCTGTGCATATTCCAGCTGGAGAAAACAAGTCAGTTGACCTACATGGTAGTCTCTCATTTTGTTAAGGTCATACACATGAAAAGAGAATTCAAACCCAAGTATCTTCCATAGCCCAACAAAGACAATGCAAACCACTAGTTACCTGGACCTGCATGGTGTATTTTAGTACATCTTTCCTGTCTTTATTCTACCCACAGAGGGCCATAGTTTGACTCAATGATCTCTGGATAAAATTCACTAACTCTGAGTTAAGAAGAGGAGAATTGATTTGCCTTTGAAGGTAGGATTTGGGAAACAAAGAAGAAAAAGGATCTGACATTCCTCAAGGAAGAAGCTAAAAGTTCAGCTAGTTGATCATCTGACTTCCATTTCTATAGCACTTTAGCGTGTATATACAACTTCTTCACCAACGAGTGGTAACATAACCTCACAAGAGACGTTGTTACTTCTCTTTTACATATTAGACAGTTTCTGAAATTCATTTCCTTAACTAACCAAGGATCACATAGGTAGTAAGTGACAGTGTGAGAAGGTGAAGTTGTGCTTTGGAAAACCAAGGTGGCATTCTCTCTACTATCCCACTCTGCTGACCCTGCTGCCTGCCTCCCTAACTCAATTTCCCCATCCAATAGCTCACCCTTTACTTCCTATGTCCCTGAGGTCTCCAGTCACATGTGGACATTCTCAGACCCATCAAAGGTCTCAGGCCACCTCTCTGCATGATGAGCTCCTACCCTCCACCTCAGGGACCATGCCCACGGAGAAGAAAGGCACAGGTTAGGTTTTGAGTCTGTCCCCACCATAGCAAGTAGAAACAATTATTCACCACGACCTGGCCTGAAAGAAAACATCATTTCTTAGACATGCTGTACCCCATCTGTCAAACAGAAGCACTTTTTATCACCAGAAATCTGGGTTGTTTTCAAATCAGTGACTCAAGGTAAAAAGATGCAGCCAAGTAACTCGTTAGCAAGCCAGAAAACATTTGAAGCCAGCCATTCTGCCCCAACTAGCTTGCCCAAATGTGGAATCATTTAGGAGGATGCAGCAGCAGGTGCCATCTGCAGTGATGAATCTAACCCATGTCATCTTTATTTCCCAGAGGGGAGTTCTGTGCATTCCAAGTAGGAAGCAGAGATTTCCTTGCCCAGCCTTAGAATAGATTAAAGACAGCAGCTGGAATCTTGGCTTTCATGGAAGTGCTAATATTTTGAAACAAAGGATACTACTTTGATCCCTTGGAGACAAGGAATAGCCAGTGACATTTTGAACTGCTTAGGAGGGGCCAGTCCTGAGTGTGACAAGATGGTGGTCTGTAGGCAGAGCCTGAGAGCTGGGGTGTCCGGCAAGGAGATGAGGAGGTAGATAAAGTTACGAGAGGACTGTTTGGCAGAAATTAATCAAAGGGGAGAAAATGTCATTGCACAAATTAAGTTCAAGAGCAAAGGCTGAAGAGCAATGGATCCATCTCAGGAAATTCATCCATTCACTCATGTATTCATTTATTAGCCAAATATTTATTGAGCATCTATTACACAACAGGCACCATTCTAGGTCATTGAAATAGATGTTTATCACTGAAAAAAATTGAAAGAGAATCGCTGTGTTCATACAGGTTAAATCTTGGTGAGGGGAAACAGACAAAAGACAATAAACCTAAGAAATAGGTAAATTATGTAATATGTTACCATAGACAAAAGAGCTAAATCCCAAGGAAGGATCCAGAAATGAAGACAGGATGAAAGGTGAATGCAGTTGCACCTATGAAAGGTAAGAATTCAGAGGTAAGGCCAGATGGACCAGGGCCAGGAGTTGAAGAGACTCCATGGAGCACACAGGGGAAGATCTTATCATTTGTTCTGATGCCACTCAGGCACTGTCATCCACTTACTCACTCGGTGAATGATCTTGAATTAATAGCCTATCTCCTGCATAAGAGTCATTGTACCAAGCACACATGCTGATGAGAGATTCCCTGGTCCCCAGGAACTTACAATCCAATGAAGTGGTTCTAAATGTGTATGATATCACTTGGGGAAGTTATCAAAATTCAGACTCCCTGACTTTATGTCATTGGCAGTTTCAGCAAGATTTCCATGTGTCTCTCAGGGAGGCAGGGAGATTTGACACATAAATAATTACAAATGGTGAAAGCAGTGATAGACATGTGTACCGTGAGAGTTGTTTAATTCAAACTAAAGGGGCAATGAGCAAAGCTTTCTGGCAGAGGACCCCTGATCTAATTCCTTAGGGTCAGGTAGAAGTTAGCCAGGCAGGTGTGGAGAAGGGGTGTAGAGTAGCCAGAGGGAGAGCAAAGGCAACAGTACAGAGGTCAGATACAGGATGGGTTGCACTGGGAATGCATAGTAGTTAGTGTTGAAATCCAAAGGGATTAGAAAGAAGGAATAATTAGGCAAGTACTGTTGAATAAAGCAACTAGCTATTAAGTCCATCGGTTCTCCATGGGCTCAACTTTTTCTTCTTGAAAAATACATAGGGAGGATTTTTAAGGTGGATTTTGCTGACCCTTGGCCATTATGCTCTGCCCTGATTTCCTTTGTTCCAGCATAGTGTTCCTCTACCCTCAAGTACTGGTCTCAGAACTTTGGGCTGTTCCTGAAACAGAGTAGCTGGTCCGTAAGTGTTTTTTATTAAATTCATTGCACAAGCAGTTGCTGGGTTTCAAAGAGGCTATATAGAGATAATATTTAAGCTGTATCTTAAAAGTTTACCAAGGGTACCCTTAGCAAATGCACAGAATGAGTCCACGCCTGCTCAGGAAACTATGTAGGCTTCAATATTATTGTTCAGTAATTGTCAGGAGATAGTAGGAAATGCAGCCAGTAAAAAAGGTTAAGTGCAGATTGTAAGTATCTTGAATGTCACGCAAAAGAGCCCAAACTTTATCCTGAAGATAAAGGGGGTTATTTGTTATTCAGACAAATATTTATTAAACATTTGTTTTGTACCGTTTATTGTGCTAGAAACTAAGGATACAACAATGATCAATGCAAAGGTGCTCTGTCTTCTTGGACATAACCTGTAGAAGAAAGGAGAAACAATAGGCCAGTGCATTGGGGTAAGCATCTGCTACCATCCCAGCTAAATGGAAGATCCCAAATCGGCCACCATGGTGAAATATGAAAACCTTCTCTTCATGTCACCAATATCCATCTAGAAGTTTCAGTCCCATCCTCTATTCCCACGCAAAGACAAGTGTCCTAAGAAACTGAACAAGATATTGACTAAACAAGCAGATCCGATTGAGAGCTGAGCAGTGTGTTGATGATAGACATCTCCTTTGTGGTTGACATTCAACAGGCAAAACACTGGCTACAGACAAGAGGTAACAAGACTCGTTGGTAACAAGAAAGAAAACTGGGCGCTGCCTTGATTTTTACATTGCTCTGGCTCTATCACGCTAGTGATAGAGATTCTGTTCAGTCCAGGGGTAGGAACAGACTCTTCACAACAGTCTAGGAGTTACCAAGATGATGTCTTGGCATCTTTCTTCTCTATATCAGAAACAGTGCTTTTAAGTCTTAAAGGAAAACTACGCCAAACAAATGCAAACACAAAATACCAAGCAGCAAAACCCAATAAATAAATGATCATTTTCTTCCTCACCGCTTTCTGAAAGCTCATTATACTTGAACTCACTAAACAAGATTTCATAGACTGTATTTGTCTAGTTTGTAATTAAAGTGCTAGTTTTCCCCAGCCTGAAGTCAAGTAGAGGGAAAAAAACTTTGGCAAATTGTTCTCAAAATGGCATTCTTTCTAAATTAGTCATAAATTTGCATTGCAACATACTCCTCGTTAATAGAGTGTGTATTTTAAATTTGTGTTACCTTGTTACTTTAACTTAATTAGCTATTTTTTTTAAAGGTAATCAGGAAGGCAGGGGATGGAAAATGTACCACGTCTATGTTCAATAACTGCTTAATGATTGCATTACAACTGCCATGTTGAAACAACTGCAGCACTGCAAAGTCCAGGCATGCTAGATTTTCTGTACTGGAGGATCTATCTTCAGAACAGTCTCTTGGATTTCTTAGAAGAGTAAGAGGTGGTAGGTTGTAAACTTTGTTTTCAACAGTATTAAATGGTGAAATAGAGCAAGGCAAAAACTACAATTAGAAGAAGATAAAAACTACAAATAGAAGTTAAGATAAAGCCTCTTTGAGGATGACAGAGTATCTAACACTTTAAAAAGATACAAAAAGGCCGGGTGTGGTGGCTCACACCTGTAATCCCAGCACTTTGGGAGGCCGAGGTGGGTGGATCAACTGAGGTCAGGAGTTTGAGACCAGCCTGGCCAATATGGCAAAATCCCATCTCTACTAAAAATACAAAAATTAGCCAGGCATGATGGTGCGCACCTGTGATACCAGTTATTCAGGAGGCTGAGGCAGGAGAATTGCTTGAGCCTGGGAGGCGGAGGTTGCAGTGAGCTGAGATCACACCGCTGCACTCTAGCCTGGACTACAGAGCAAGACTCTGTCTCCAAAAAAATAATAATAATAAAAAGATACAAATATATTCCTTTAATACCCACAACACAGGCACAGAGATTGGCAGTGTAGGGCAGGTAGGGGTGTTTGTTACACTTGTCAGGCCCCAGGCCCCTCCTACCTTGCTGTTCTGCCATTCTCACCATACAGCTTCTACCTCAGAGTCCCAGGTGGCTGTTTCAGTATCAGCCATCACATCTCGCAACAACAAGGAAGAGGATGAACAAACACTCACTCCTGTTGGGAACATTTCCTCCAAAGCACAGGTGAACTTCTATTTACATACTGCTGGCCAGAAATATGGTCATTTGGCCATCCTAGACTACATGGGAGAATAAAAAATATAGTTTTATTCAGGAAAAGCTCCCACTTATCTCAAATTTGATGATTGGAAGTGGTTACAAATGAAGACCATATGAATAGATATTCAAGGTCAAATATTTGTCTCTGCTGGGGACAGTGAAATGGTTATAACTTCTCAGCCCGAGAGGGGCACTCATCATGGGGACCTCAGGGCAACTAGCTTAAGCATTTGCCGGGGACAGAAAACCTTAGTGCTTATAGAATCGTTAACTGCTTCTTTTTTTTTTTTTTTTTTTTTTTTTTTTTTGAGACAGTCTTGCTCTGTCGCCCAGGCTGGAGTGCAATGCCACCATCTCGGCTCGCTGCAATCTCTGCTCCCGGGTTCAAGCAATTCTCCTGCCTCAGCCTCCCAAGTAGCTGGGACTACTGGCGCGTGCCACCACGCATGGCTCATTTTTGTATTTGTAGTAGAGACGGGGTTTCACCACGTTGGCCAGGCTAGTCTTAAACTCCTGACCTTGTGATCCACCTGCCTCGGCCTCCCAAAGTGCTGGGATTACAGGTGTGAGCCACCACACCTGGCTGAATCGTAAACTTCTTTTCTCAGAGGTCATGGAGTCCTCTAACCTGGTTTTTATTCTCCTCTCTGAAAAAGAAAGAATTGCACATAAACTGTTTGCACATCTGTGCAGGAGCTTTCTGGCTCCACGCTAGCTGTTGAAAGCTTCTCTTGTTCAATGAGAAAGAACTCAAATCATATCATATTTTGGAAGGAATTTTCTAAAAAAGAAAAAAGTTCACGTTGATCCGATTAAGAGACACGCCTGGTATAGCTATTTATGCTCCTTCAAGTGACGTTGGCAGGCTGTGGGCAGGCGAGGAAAAAGGAAGAAGGAGTTAGTGTTTGTGGTGAGGCACCAAGGCGTTTGCCCGGAGAGAAGAGCCAAGCATGCCAGAAATCCCGCTCCTGGGAAACCACCCAAAGCCTGGCTGCCTGCTTGTCCTGCTGTTCAGAGGAAACAGCCCGTCTATTTAAAGAAGTTCCATCCCTTTGTTCTTACAAACTCTTCGGTAAATACAAATTCTTCAGAGGGGGTAAAAAAGAAACAACCGAGAATGTCAAATGTCATCCCAGATTCAGGGGATGGAGATAAGCGGGAAATCAGGGTCAAGTGCCGCCTTGTTCATGCATAAAAATCCAAGCGCATCAGAGGAGTGGTGTCAGAAACAGAAGTAAAGGGCAGAAACGCACAGCACCTCCCAGCCTCGTGGATCCCCCTCTTTGCCCGATGTTTGTGTCTATGATGTTAAATCAGTTTTCATAATTTCAGAAATAATTTTTGTTCATTTCATATACTATAAAAAATAAAGTAATACAAAAAATAAATAATAAAATAAAAATCCCCTAATTTTGCAGGAGGTGCTTATTTAACTACCCTTTACAAGGCATCTCTGAATACCGAGTAATGTTTTCTACTATTTTTCAGGTGGGATTTAAACACTGTGATCATTTCCTGCTGCTTCTAAGCAAGATATTCTAAGGTCTACATGAACACTCTGTAATCCCTGGAACTCCACTAAATTTTAGAGATGCTTCCAGCAATCTAGCAAGTCTAAAATGATACAGATAAGCCCCCTCCTGTTATTAAAATCATATACATGTTGAGAAAATATAACAAACTGTTTGACACGAAAATGAACTCAAAAGAAAGAATGAGAATTTGTAGGTTCCAGACATAAAAAGAGAAGTAATGCCAGCAAGATAAACCTGAGCTGATTCTGGAAAGGCCCTTGGGGTTTTAGACTAAGATGTGTATTGTAGGCGGTACAAACTAAGGTTCTGCTCTTCAAGAGATACAGGAAATACGGGTTTAGGTCCATGAAAGCAGAGGCCTTGCATAAATTCCAGATTCCTAAAGAGTTTCCCCTTCCATGAAAACCCTGGTCACTGGTCTGGACACTCACAAGGAAGCTCGACTTTGCCAAGGACATTGGAAGTGAGCAAAAGGCACCAGTGAGAAAATGAGACCCAGGATTAAGCTATTAGCTCATAAATTGAAATTAAAAAAAAAAAAAAAAGAGGCCGGGCACGGTGGCTCACACCTGTAATCCCAGCACTTTCGGAGGCCGAGGTGGGTGGATCGCGAGGTCAGGAGATTGAGACCATCCTGGCTAACACAGTGAAACTCCGTCTCTACTAAATGTACGAATTAGCCGGGCATGGTGGCGGGCGCCTGTAATCCCAGCTACTCGGGAGTTTGAGGCAGGAGAATGGCGTGAACCTGGGAGGCGGAGCTTGCAGTGAGCAGAGATGGTGCCACTGCACTCCAGCCTGGGCGACAGAGTGAGACTCTGTTTCAAAAAAAAGAAAAAAGAAAAAAACAAATCTAATACCATTGAAAACTCCAGGCAGGCTCCTATAGAAGCAATTAGGAAATTCCTTACAATAGCCCCCATGGCCGGGAGGGGGTACTGATTAAAAATTTTGAACGCCCAATAAGAATTACAGCCACATAACAAAATAAGCTATTATGATAGGATTATCAGGTACAATGAATATGAGAATTAGTGTCTCAAGAATTGTAAATAACAGCAACAACAACAACAAAACTTTTAAATAAATATATTTAAAGTGATAAAGAAAATTAAAGTAGGAACTTTTATGTTTAATTCAAAAGTAACAATATAATCTAAAAAAGAACAAGCAAATTTAAAAATGTCCAAAAGTAAAACTTTCAGTAACAAAAAATACTTACGTTTAAACAGAATAAATATAAGCCAAATGTTATTTCAATTTTGAAAGATCTTTTAAACAAAAAGATCTGATGATACCATCACGACTGTAGAAAAGATAGAAATGAAACATCAGAAACAAAAAGAAAGAGACGGAGATTAAGAAAGTCCAACATACATCTAAGAGCAGATCAAAGGAATATAATAGAGAATTCAAGAAGCTCATACTTGATAAAACTTAAATGAGAAGTTTTTCAGTATTGAAAAAAGATATGAGTCTCCAGCTTGATAAGTGACAAGTTCTTCGTAAGATAAATATAAAGAAATTCTACTTTTACCTTGAAAAACATTAAAAGTGAAACAAAAGTGCAGAACATTCAAGAAAAACAACCAAAAATAGATGTAGATACAGATATAGATATCCCACTGGCAGTGTATCTGTTGTTCCCAGAATTAAATGGTTATCATTTAATATCATATCTGTATATGTATATATATAATCTGTGTGTATATGTGTATATATATATATATATATATATATATATACAGATTAATTCTGGGTACAACAAATAGCACTGTTAGTGGGCTTTTCATCAGCAACAGCAGATGCCAGAAGACAACAAAATAATATCTTAATATCGTCACAATTCTGAGGAAAATAACTGTCAACCCAGAATTCTAGAGCCAGATATATTACCTTTCAAAAGTGAGAGCGGCATAAAGATATTTTTGGATCAATTTTCACAGGCTCTTACTAAAATATGTTGCATTAAAAATGCATTTTAGAATAACAGGATTGGAAGGCAGGAAGAGTAAAATTCAGTAAGCACAGATAAACAAACAAAATGGATAAATCTATGGGTTTAAAAACATTATTTTGCATTAGGCTACCATACATTCTTCCTCTCTCTAGTGGAAAAATAAACTACAAATTCATGTCTTGTTTTAGGAAAACATTTGAATCTAGGTTTGTATTTGTTGGCCTAGAAGTGTTTTTTGTTTGTTTGTTTGCCTGCTTTACAGACAATTGTACTTTTTTTTAAAAAGCCCATTGTCTCATATCAGATAACAAATTTGAATAAGCGTTAACTGTAAGAATAAAAATTATGAGCATAATCATTTGGAACTTGTATAGTAGATTGTATTATGAGAGAGGAGAATATAATTATTGATTAATGTTGAATTTTGTAAGGATGCTATTATAATTGAAGGGAGCTATGACATGATTACAATAAATAATTAACTTCTAAACAAGTAAAAGGGAAATAGATTTAGATAAAATTCAATTTTTCTAACAGAAAGTGAAAAAAGGAAGG
Source organism: Homo sapiens (assembly GCF_000001405.40). NCBI lineage: Eukaryota > Metazoa > Chordata > Mammalia > Primates > Hominidae > Homo > Homo sapiens. Next base: position 135,903,075 of record NC_000008.11, on the reverse strand, counting down.
TAACATAAACAAAAACATTAAATATAAAATGCAAAATGAGATGCAGAAATAACCCCAAACATCTTGGAATTTGGATCTTCAAAATTGTTTTGGATCTTCAAATTTGTTTTTCTAAATATGTTATTTACATTATATGTAAAACAGAGTTTCTTAGTGTGGCAGATATTGATTATTCATCCACAAAGCATTGTGGATATACCAAAGAACCGAAGAGATTAATTCTTACCCTTGCAGAGTTAACATTTTAGTAGGGTGAAACAAACAAATACATACACACATAACATCAAATATAAACAAGTCTGTGGTGGTTGAACAGTGTCCAGAATTCACATCCACGTGGTGCCCCATAATGTGATCTTGTTGGGAAATAAGGTCTTTGCAGATGTAATTAGTTAAGGTGAAGTATGACAGACCCTAAATCAGAGTCCCAGTGTTCTTATAGGAAGAGGCAAGGAGACACACACACACAAACACACACACACACACAGGGAAGAAGGTCATGTGAAGATGGAGATGTGGAAACAAGCCAAGGAACACCAAGAATTGCCCACAACCTCCTGAAGCTAGGAAGACGCAGGAAGGCGTCCTCTTTAGAGTCCTCAGAAGGAGCACGGCTCTAATAACACTGGTCTCCAGAACTGTCAGAGAATCCATTTCTGTTGTTTTAAGCTACCCGGTTGTGGTACTTTGTTACAGCAGCCCTAGGAAATCAACACAAAGTCCTTTTGAAAAATAAAGCTGGGTAAATGTGTGGTAAGTGATTGTGGGGCAGAGGTCCTAGGTTAGATGGGAATGCTGAGGGTGTTCTATCAGAGGAACTAGAATATGGACAGAGAGCTGGACTATACAAGAGAGGGAGCCTTGAGAACAAGTGGGGGAAAGATGTCCACATCAGAGGACAAAGCAAGTGCAAAGCCCCTGAGGAAAAACATTCCTGGCATGTTCTATAAGCATGACGGAGGCCAGTAGTTGAGCAGACAAAGTGAGAAGGAGATGTGTAGGAAAGAAAATCTGCTGGTGGGAATGTAAACTAGTACAGCCACTGTGGGAAACAGTGTGGTGATTCCTTAAAGAACTAAGAGTAGAACTACCATTTGATCCAGCAATCCCACTACTGGGTATCTACCCAGAGGAAAAGAAGTCATTATTTGAAAAAGATACTTGCTCACACGTGTTTATAGCAGCACAATTCACAATTGCAAAATCGTGGAACCAACCCAAATGCCCATCAATCAACGAGTGGATAAAGAAACTGCAGTATACACACATGATGGAATACTATGCAGAAAAAGGAATGAACTAACAGCATTTGCAGTGACCTGGATGAGATTGGAGACTATTATTCTAAGTGAAGTAACTCAGGAATGGAAAACCAAACATTGTATGTTCTCACTGATGCGTGGGAGCTAAGCTATGAAGATGCAAAGGCATAAGAATGATACAATGGACTTTGGCAACTTGTGGGGAAAAGTGGGAGGGGGATGAGGAATAAGACTACAAATACAGTGCAGTGTATACTGCTTGAGTGATGAGTGCACCAAAATTTCAGTATCACCACCAAAAAACTTACTCGTAACCAAATACCACCAGTACCCACAATAACTTATGAAAAAATTAAAAATAAATAAGTAAAATTAAAAGGAAATCTGAAAAATAGCCAGGGGCCTATTATGCTGGGATTCGTAATCCAAATTAAGGTTAACACCTGGTAGGTCATTATCATAGGTCTTGCATGGCTTAAAATACATTACTTATTATTAATTATTATGAATTAATTAATAATTGCATTAATTATTACCAATTATTTAATAATTGCATTAATTATTACTAATTAATTAATCGCATTAATGGTTACTAATTAATAATTACATTACTTATTACTAATTAATTAATAATTACATTGGTTATTACTAATCAATTAATAATTACATTAGTTATTTATTAGGATAAATTCTCATGCCCCTCTCTGCCAGGTTCCATGATCCAACTTTTTTCACTCTACCTTGGGCAATTTCTAAATTCCCATTCATTCTAACTACTCTTTATATACTGCTGAATCTCATCTTTCCCCAGATGCCCTTGCTAAGGACCATAAACTTCTGCCACGCCCTCGCCATCCACCCATGATAGACCTCTCAGTCTTGTCCATTCCATCTCCTTAAACTATATCTCCATTCAGTATCATTTTAATTATGTTGGGTCAAGGGCCTCACATGGAGAATATTTGTGGATTGTTTCTCCTCTGCTTTGTCCTCACTACCACTGACCTCTTTGAATTGCCTATTATTCCTCATACCAACTATTTCAGCATCCTTCTGACAAGGGGTTAAGAGGGAGATGCATTCAGCCAGCCACTTTCCAATCTACTAGCTCAATTTAATTTTACAAATTATCTAATTTTTATAATATTAGTTTATTTAATATTTTTATCATAATTTAATTCAATATTTATCTAATTTATTCAATACGTCTAGAAAGACTTATCATAGTATAATGTAAATTTAATCACCTCACTTTCCTGCTTTCAAATATATCAGCCATTCCCCATTGCAAATAAACTCAAGCCTCTTGAATGGTGTACACGGTCCCCCAGCAGGTTCCTAAGAACCAAATAGAATTACTTTTGAGTTCCTTAAAGGGGGCATCCATGCCTTTGAAGACAGTCATCACTCTGCCTAAAATGGTTTTTCCTTCCTCATCTGTCTATATGGATAAAATTATTAAAATGACATTACACATACTGTAGTTCTCTTATCTTTTCTACTAAGTTGTGTCTGACTTTTTGCATAATATTCATTCAACATGGTTTATAAAAATATAATGTGTGTTAAATTTATATTTTTGTGACTTTTTATAGAGAAAGGTCCACAAATTAGAAAATAACTTATTGATAGATCTCCAATGTCTCAACGTGGGGTTTGTGCAACCTGGTCAATGGTAAGTTTGAGATCGTTCTGAAGTGGGTGGGATAATTACGTCATCTCTAAGGAGGCGGTCCCAAACCTTTTTGGCACCAAGGACTGGTTTCGTGGAAGACAATTTTATCATGGACGGGGCCAGGGGATGGTTTCAGGGTAAAACTGTTTCACCTCAGATCATAAGGCATGAAATTCTCATAAGGAGCATGCAACCTAGATCATTTGCATACACAGTTAACAATAGGGTTCACTCTCCTATGAGAATCTAATGCTCCCGCTAATCTGACAAGAGGCGGAGCTCAGGCGGTAATGCTCGCTGGCCTGACCACCACTTATCTCCTGCTGTGTGGCCAGTTCCTCACAGGCCACAGGCAGGTCCTCAGCCTGGGAGTTGGGGACCCCTTCTCTAGAGGATTATTCTGAGAGTTATGGATAGTTTGTTTCAAATTCAAACCTCAGGGGACTCTGATTTTGCTACTTGAGCTTGTCTATGACCACATAATTTAATATCCTAGCCTGAAGAAAAGAATTATCCAACCAGCTTTTTCTCAAAGCATAATTGGAGAGTGAATAAATAAACAAATAAAAATTTTGGCTAACCTTTTCTTAGTAGTGCCCACATGTCTAAAGACATTACAATGATTTTTTAAAGGAAGAATAAAAAATTAAAAGTAAAAATCTCTCCATCTAATGTTTGCAGTAATGATAAAATTGAATAGCTGTGTGTTCAGGAATCACAAAATAATTAAACTTATCTAATACACACCAGACATGTTTATCCAAAATAAACGAAACCCAGAGATTCAAATAGTAAGGGCCTTCCTATATAACACAAGCTAAGGTGATCAGAATGGAACCTAGCCTTATGTGTTATTCACATGGAGAAAAGGTATGAGAAATAGGCTGTAGTCACTATGGTTAAGCCTCTAGTAGGTGCCAGAAACCATACAATGCATTGTGCATAGATCAACCCTGCAAGAATAGCAATGCTATCTTTATTTTACATAGGAAGATACTGGTCTTCAGAAAAGTTAAAGAACTTGATTCAAGCCTCACAGCTTGTAAATCAGTTGTTTTGTGAAAACTAAATGTAGTAATGCATATAAAGTGCTTAGAAAATTGACTAGCATATAATATGCATTCAATAATTGTGAACATTATTATAATTTGACAGTTTGTAAGGTGTTTATGACATGTGTAGTCATGTCAGTTAAATCTAGTTTCAAAATAACTTCAATGTGGGTGATTCACATCTGTAATTTCAGGACTTTGTGAGGCTGAAGTGGGAGAATCAGCTGAGGCCAGGAATTTGAGACCAGCCTGGGCAACACAGTAAGACATCACCTTTACAAAAAATAAAAGTAAAAAAAATTAGCCAGGAGTGATGGCATGCACCTATAATCCTAGCTACTAGGGATGCTGAGCAGGAAGATCACTTGAGCCCAGGAGTTCAAGGCTGTAGTTAGCTATGATCATGCCACTACACTCCAGCCTAGGTGACAGAGCGAGACCCTGTCTCTAAAAAAAAATTGCATAACATGAAATAACTTCAAAAAAGAAAAATTATGGATGGAGAAACAAGGAGCTCTTAACTGTTAATAAAAAGGTGTATCATTTCAATAGTTTAAAATTTTTAGCACATGCATGTATTATATTTTTATTTTAAAAAACCATCATATTCTTTACCTGCTATAGATTAAGATCAGAATATAGATTAGTGTTTTATCTCTAATGAAAAGGATTGACACACAGAAAAGTATGGTATCTTGAATTATCATTCAGCCTGGGGCAAGTTGTGGCCTGGAAATGAAGGTTATGCAGTGATTAATTTTAAAGTAATTATTCATCTGCCTCTGGCTACTCCCCCAAGTCCCAGATCATACATACAAGGCAGGGAAGAATCCTGTCTTCCAAGTTCTCAGTCTCTAAAATCTACTTGCCCACAGATCCATTCAACTTAAAAATGGATACACAGACCTGCTTGGCAAATGTTTATTAAATCTTAGTTCTATATATACGGAGGTCTGTTGGATTACTTTCTTATTTTGCTTCAAGTGTGAACTATTTCATAGTACTCAATGAAGTTTTATTGAATGAGAGATTCTCATTGAGGATTTTTTAACCTACGAGGTTAAACTCTTTATAGGATGGTTAACGTTATGTCAACTTGACTTTGATAAGGCGTGCACAGATAGCTAGGAAACCATTACTCTGGGTGTGTCTGTGAGAGTGTTTCTGGAAGAGCTTAGCATTTCAATCAGTAGACTGGGTAAAAATCACCCTCACCGAGGTGGGAGGGCATCATCTCATTTGTTGAGGGCCTGAATAAAACAAAAAGGTAGAGGAAGTAAAAAGTTGCTTTTGGGCTGGGACATCCCTCTTCTGTCCTTGCACATTGCTGTTCCTATTTCTTGGGCCTTTGTACTTGGAATGTGACCTATACCATCAGCTTCCATGGTTCTTAAGCCTCTGGACTCTGACGGTATTACATCACCAACTTTCTTGGATCTTCAGCTTGCAGATGGCAGACTGTGAGACTTCTTTACCTAAAATAGCATGAGCCAGTTCCTTCATTCATATCTATCCATCTGTCTATCTACATAAAATTGGTTCTGTTTCTCTGGAGAACCTTGACCAGTATTCTATTATTGCTCTCAATTTAACACCGTGAAATGGGAATTTGGGGAATTTATGTGACATATTTAAGATTTCCCAGTAAACAGAGTAGGCATGACCCAAGCCCAGTGTGCCAGACTTCCGAAGCCCATACCCTCAACATTACACAGCATTGCCACAGTAAATTAAAACTATTCTTCTTTGTGGCTGTTACCATTTTAGAGTCATTAAAATTTGATATGTGTGAAATGTTTCAAGTATCCTAACGACCGTGAAAATATTTACTTTATCTTTTTTTATTTTGCAAATATTTTACCATTGTATATGTATACACAACCCAGCACACTGACTCTTCAACCCATCTAAGCCTTTTCTCCATAGCCCCTCAGTGTAGACATAGACTCTGATTGCCTTCAGACAGGTCTCCTTCTGACTCCTTCAGGGACTCCTAGAGCCACATTTTATATGCTTTGAGTTAAAATGATGAAGAGTACTTATCTTGAAATGAGACTGATACATATGTTTCCACCCCTCTCTGTAGTATCCCCGAAATTCAGAACTCTCATGTGGAGTCTGACTAGGTCTGAAGCCTGGTGAGGTTCTTTTCTTGTTCTGTCCCCACAAAGCAGCTTAAAGCCTGGCTCTGAGCCCAAATTGTATCATATTTGCTTTCAATTGGAGTTTTGCTTTATTTCTTCCCCTTTACTATGAGAATGATTCCCTCTCAGAGCTGTGGGGCTTGGGTGTCATATAAATTAAAATTTAATATGTGTTATTACGATCACTATTATTATCATTACTGTTATTAATAATGTTCTTTTTGGCAGCATTTGGAAGCCATTCCAGCAGTGACATTTGGCTCGAGGGATAATGGATCCTTTTATGTACAGGCTTGTAGACTTGATGCCCGCTGTTTTCATTGCAGAGAGAGCAATTTCCTGACATCAGGAAGCCTGCGGGAGCCACGAAACTGTAAGTCTTGGTTGTATTTTCCAAAGTGAACTGAAAGTCTTTGGGTGACCAAGATGGAAAGACCCTGCCATAGTCACTGATGAAAACAATGAACCCTGAAACTATGTATCCATTCATTCATTTAGTAAAAGTTTGTTGTTCACTTGTGGACCATTTATTTTATTTGTTTTTAAAATAAAGTATGGACCAAGCACTATTGTAAATGCTGGGGAAAATATGGTGGGCAAAATTAGCTACTCTTTCTGTCATCAAAGAGCTAAAAGTCTTGCAGTAAAAAGTAGAATATACCTGAACCAGCACCATGAAAGACAGATTCACAAGACTGATGCAATCAGGATTTATAGGCAGTTAAAGCCATGTCTCTAAGTAAATGATGATTAGGCTAGAATCCTAAGGAAGAGTTGGAATTAACCAAACAAAGAAAGAGAAGAGAATTTCAGAGAGACACAATATGTGCAAGAGTACAGTGTAGGAAAATGAGAAGAGGTTCTAGCCCTGATTCCACTAGAGGAGGCTGTGTCAGCAAAGGCATCGGAGGAGAGCTGCCACCATGAACAGGCAGTGGGAAGATGCAGTGAGAAGATCATATACGGATCCTACCTTGTTCATCGCATAATGGGGAGATAAGACATCACTGAAAGTGTGCAAAGTTCCACATGTGAAAAACAGTGTGATTAGATTTCAAAGAGAGAGATCATTCACAACTGTAGGATAATGAGAATGTTTCTTGATGCAGTTAGAAGCAGAAAAATAAAAATGACAATCTAGCTGCTATGTTGGGTCTGGATTGGATAATACCACCAAGAGTCCAGTTTGGGCATTGAGACAGAGTGTTATGCATTAGGAGCCTGGAGAGTATGAAGCCAGGAAGAGAACAGAATCTGGGGAGAAAATGAGCTGAAAAGTGAAGCACATCACTCATCCAACTTGTGGTCTAGACAGGGGAGAACCATGGCAAGTTGTCAGGATGGAATCCAGGACACCTGCGAAAGGGAGCACATTCCAAGTAGAAGGAGGAAGGTGATGCTTGGAAAAACTTCCTGGTCAGCAAAAGTAGCTCAAGCCCCTTGTCAAGCGTTGCAGACTCAGACATGAAAAAGGATAGAGCCAAGAAAGATCCAACCAGTCTGGACGGCTTTCCCTGGGCCCAGGCTCAAGGCCACAATGCTTTTGGCAGGCAGAGCTGAGATAAGCCTCTCACCTGATTTTCAGCCTAATGTGACTTTACTGCTTTGTCGTATTTTTATTTATTTTCTTGTTTTTAACAAACACAACTTGCTTGGCCCAGAATAACTTGGCTTTTCCAACCCTGAGGCTACAAGAAAAGCAGCTGCTATAGAAGAAGTCTCTGAGGTCTAATATGCAAATGGCCACATTTTTCTTGTGCCTGAGGGCTCTTGGAATCATAACTCCCAATAGTTAAATATCCTCCAGAAAGTAGAAGAATGGGAAATTACTTTTTTCTTTGTGTGTTCAACCTAATTTATAAAGAATGAATTCACTTAAACATTTTAAACATTGTCTGATTCAGATTCACTGCCAAGTTACTTTGGAAGTTAAGCTCAAAATTGTTTGCTCGCATTTTCCTGGTAACTCAGAATCCTGAGAAGATTAACCTGATATGTCTTAACGCTGCTATGTCTGCATTCAAGAAGCGTTCGGCAGCCTTGTTCTATTCTCATTTCCTTTGTGTAGTATGAAAATGCTTTCAAAGCACTTTAATGTACTTTATCCCATTTATTACCACCATTCTATAGCAATGGAGGTGTTTCTAATCACATTATAGGTGAGATGAAGCTGAAGTTCTATGTGATTAAGGAAGCTTTCCATGTTCACAGAGCACAGAGCAGGTCTTGGGTTTAAACTCAGGTCCATCTGGTCCCAAGTCTTATGCTCCTTCTGCTTAATCATGAAGACTTTCTCTCAAGTTTGAGCCTTGGGAACCCCACCTTCTCTTGGTAGTCATGGCCTTCTTAGGGTATGAGAACTACGCAGAGATAGACATTTATTGGATGTCAAGCTTATCAAATCATACTCACCTGTGCTTTCACTCAACATAACCAAGGGGGAAAAAGGGGCATGACAAAACTTTCTGGCACTTCAGGTAACCTATAAGGCAATTAATTTGAGAGGCTCCACTTTGGTAACTATATAATTTAGCTATACCCATTTAGTCATTCATTCAAACAAATACTTATTTCCTGTCTTTCTTTCTTTAGGCAGGCACTTGTCTATCAAGTCCCTGACCCAGATTAATCTCTACTCAACTAGACCTCTAGAAGTACATTTAGTACATGCAGATTTACTTCTGCATACATTTTACATAAGATATATACTTTGGATCAAGTAAACATGCATCTGGTGCTGCACTAAATGTGAAGTCAAAATTGATAAAGTAGTTGCACCCTCCAAATATCTGTCTTGTTCTCAATAGTACAGACCTAATATATGTTTCTACCAATCACATTCTTCTGACTGGGGATCTCCATTCATTCTAAGACTCATCAAAATACATTTTTTGTTATTTATTTTTGTTTATATGTATTTTCAATGTTTATAAATATCAAAAATTTAGAGTGCCATTCTGTATAACTGCAAAATCCAGTGTAAATTAGAATACTATTACATGCAAATACTTATCCTATGAAAAAGCAGATGAATGTAGAGAACAGAGCAATGTCCATTTCTGGCACTGTTGCTAACTAAAGTGCTCTGACAGTCCCTCTCACATAAAATATTCTGAAGAGGACATACCTCTTAAAGAATTATCCTTCTCATAACATGTAATGAATCTTTCCAATTGTTTTGTCATCCAATGTAAGAAGGTGATAAAAAGAACCAGGGATAAAGTAGCATGTAGATGAAGCCAATGTTACAACAGGAAGTTGGATGATTCCCTGACAGCAGGTGCTGATAACTGCAAGCTATTTACATGGAAACCATGGGACAAAGTTGAGGTGGGAGAATAAAGCCTTGGGCATCAGAACTGAGTCAAGCCTTTTGAGGGGTGTTGAAGTGATCTGTAGCTAGTTTTAACCCCTGGAAGTCTGCATAAACATCTGTACTTTGGAGGAAGGTTTCCCCAATGTTGACCTTGAAGATTTTGACAAATTAGCATCAAACAATGATCTCAAAAATCAAAGATCAACAAATATGCAGAATACCAACCACAAGAATGTAAGTCAGCAGAAATTAGAAATAATTTAATTCACCAAGGATTGCAGTTTTTGGAATTGTAAGATAGATAATAATAAATCAATACTCATGAAAGGTTTAACAAGATAAAAGGCATTATCACAAAAATGAGCAAAATAAGACATTATTGAGAATTAAAGAGCAGATATAAAATACACTCAAACTTCTAAAAATGAATAAATTTGTGGAAAATAAAAACTTAATGAATGGTGACTTTATCATGGCCATGTGAGAGGAATTGTTATCAGACCTACCTACCTACCATAAACAACTATAAAATGCAAACAATAAGAATGAATGAAGCAACTGTTCTTAGAAACTGGATAAGAGACAGAGAAAGACTATAATTATCCTAATAAGAAGGCAAACACCTGATCAGAGGCGATGATGATGCTCACATCTCCTGACTACATGTTCTTACTCATGGAGTGGGGCCAAGAAGCCCAGGCAGATGCTGAGGTTGAGCTGGGCTGAGGGGGCATTGAATGATATTCATGAATGTTTGAATTTGAGGGAAGTCTACCAAGAGGAGGGAATCATGCACAAATGGGATCCCAGAAGTTTGTATGGGGATCATTACAGCTCTTAGCAGAAAACTGGGCTGGACATGCACAGAGACTAAAAATGCTGATCCAACAGTGGCTGCTGCAGGCTGAAAGCTGAAGCAAATCTAGAGGCCATAGAGGACCAGGAGACACTGAAGTTTCAGGCCAGCACAGTGGAGACACCTGACTGAGCACCCTGGGCATTGAGTTGAGACCCCAGAAATTTCTCACTTCAGAAGCAAAGAACATTCCCTGAAAAAAGAGTCATTCCCTAGTAATAAAAGAAATAAGACACTAACCTCTCAAGAAGTATTACCTGGTTTGGCTGTGTCCCCACCCAAATCTCCTCTTGAATTATAGCTCCCATAATTTCCAGGTGTTGTGGGAGGACCCGGTGAGAGATGATTCAATCACAGAGAAGGCTTCTTCCATACTGTTCTCATGGTAGTGAATAAGTCTGATGAGATCTGATGGTTTTTATAAGGGAAAACCTCTTTTGCTTGGTTCTGATTCTGTCTTGCCTGCTGCCAGGTAAGACATGTCTTTTGCCTTCCACCGTGATTATAAGGCCTCCCCAGCCATGTGCCACATGGAACTGTGAGCCCGTTAAAACTTTTTTTCTTTATAATTTGCGTAAGCGTTTATCAGCAGCGTGAAAATGGACTAACACAAAGTATAAAAACCAGCATGACAGGAGAGGATGCAGACAATAATATACTTGCTTTCCTTTAAAGGAAGACCTTATAATCCAGACTTCTTATAGCACATCACCCACAAGAGCCAACATACAACAAAAATGTGCAGGCTGTAATGAATCAGGAAAATTTGACAAATAACTTAAGAAAAAGAAGTTCATAGGAACAATCATGAAACAAAACAGAAGAAAAAAATACCAGAAAAGGACTTCAAAAGACTGATAAATCAAGTGCAAAGATTTAAAAGAAAATATGGACATATGAGGGAATGTATGGAAAACCTCAACAATAAAATGAAAACTACAAAAAGGTAAAAATGGAAACCATAAAAAGAAAAAGTTATCAGAAATAGAAATTTAACTGAGTAGGCTAACAGCAAATTTGAAAGAACAGATGAAAAACCTTGAACTAGAAGAAAAATCAATAAAAAGGTTAAATCTGATAAATAAAAAAGAAAATGATATTTAAAAAAAATGATTAGAGCCATGGTGAGATTTAGGATAATTTCAAATAGCCTATTATACATGAAATTCAACTCTTGGAATAGAGAAGAGAATAAATGAGACAACAAAAATAAAAAAAAATTAAATAATGGTCATAAAATTTCTCAAATTTGGTAAATAATATTAATAATTACCAAAACAGTTAATTTGCAGATCTAAAAACTTATTCAGTAAATGTACTGAGTAAAAAATAAATAATAAATAAACACAAACATAGACATTTCCAGTATCAAACTTCTGAAAATCTAAGATGAAAGTATTGTTTGCTGTGTCTGTGTAGGAATACAGTTAATTATTGTGTATTCATCCTGTATCCTGCAAACTTGCTGAACTAATTTATTAGTTTTAGTAGTTTTTAGTGGATTTTTAGCACTTTCTATATACAGACCATGTCTTCTGTAAATAGCAATAATTTTACTTCTTCTTTTCCAAACTGGATGCCTTTTCTTTTTCTTGCCTAATTTCCCTGGCTAGAACTTCCAGGAAAGAAAAAATAGAATCTTTGTCTTGTTCCTAATCTTAGCGGGAAAGCATCCAGTCTTGCACCATTCAGTATGATGTTAGCTGTGGGGTTTTTTCAGATGCCATTTTTATCATGTTGGGAAATTTTCCTTCTTGTTCCACTTTAGTGAGTGTTTTTACAAGGTGTTTTTTGTTGTTGTTGTTGTTTGTTTGGCTTGTTTTGGGCTTGTCTTTAATAATTTATGTTCTTTATTCTCTTTGTTATTGCTTATTTAATACTTCCCTTTCTCTTCCCCTTTCTTTTTCCTTTTTGTTAGCAGGGGGAAGAAGAACATGCTAAAAAAGTTGGCAATTCCTTGGGAGATGGAAAGAGAGTGCATGTACTCCCTATGTTTTTGAGTTTCTCCTGTAAAGTAAGCTGGCACTGGAGACTGAATCTTGATGATCCTAGATATTTAGATAAGAGCAGCCAAGAAAGGATGATTCCAAACCTCTAGGATAAGTGAAAACCTGGCCTGTAAGAAATAGGTAATGACCCAAACTAGGCAAACTGAATATGCCACTGATACAGGAGGTCAGCACAAGATCAGAGAGTGGAGATTAAGCTAAAATGTTTAGGAAACAGACAAGCATAGAACTGAGCCCAGGGGACAATGGGAAAGACAAGAAATAGGTAGGAGAGTTCTGGGCTGTGTCCCTGAGCCCAGCTTGAGTAGTTAAAGCTCCCTGACAGGAGGCCAACTAGGTGGCTTGTGGCAGCAAATCTGCCTGCTTCAAAGACCCAACACCACGATGCAAATGGAGAATGAAACAATGTGACCCTTCTGCAAGAATCAGTGAGGTGTGAAAAGCAAGTGGCTCATTCCCAGGCCCTGTGGAGAGTGGCCTGAAGAAAGCTAAGAAAGAGGCGGAAATGACTTCACTCTATACGTTATTGAGAGCAGCTATTTTCTTCTTTTAAATTTTGTCTTATTAACTGAGATTCATAAGGCATGCTACAAAAAATATGAATCCAGTAGACTTGCTAAAAAGTGAATTCACTCTGTAAGCCTACCAAAATTTCTTTGTATCATAATAGAAAAACAAAAGAACTAAATGGCAGTAAAAACAGAATGCTAACATGAAAATATGAAAGAGCTTTTTGTTCTCCAGGATGCTCAATTAAAATGCATTTTGCTTTGAAATCAGACAACTTTTGACATAGAGTTTGTTGAAGGCCAGATGACAGCCTGATCTGGAAATAATGGAGTATAGGCTATAAGACTGAGGAGTCCGAGCACCAGGGGTAGGGCTGAGGATTTTGAAGGGAAGGTGCAGAAGACAAAACCATCTAGCATTTTGAGGTCAGAGAACAGACACCAAAAACAATCTCAGATTATCAAGGTCAAAGGCTGAGATTTCACATAATGAATATAAAGCTCTCATCTCGATTTCAAAAATTAAATAGCAAAAGCCATCTAGTCTGGGCAGAGCTAGCATCTGAAATGCATTTTTGTGCTCTTTGCCAGTGGGGGAAAAAAAAATGTCTCGATCTGGGAAGCACTCGGGATAGAGCTCTGGGTCTCACCACTAGGCACCTAGGCACCTAACTGCCCTTCCTCCATTCATTCATTTATTCACTCAACAGATATTCACTGAACACCTACTATGTGCTGGGCACTGTTCTGAGCATTGGGAATGCAATAGTGAACAAAATGGTTAAAAATTCCTGCCTTATGTGGCTTACAGTCTAGCAAGGGAAGAGAGGCAGTAAACAAATAAATAAGTATAATATATAATGGGTCAGGTGGTGATAAATATTACAGAGGCTATAAATCAGGAAAGGAAGAGAGAGGATGTTAGAGAAACAATTTGAATAGGATGAACAAGGATGACCTCACTGAGAATGTGATACCTGAGCAAAGACCTGAAACATGTGAGGGAGCAAGCCATGGTGACAGGCAGGAAAAAGTATTCCAGGTTGAGCTAAGTTGGTCTTGCTCTATTGACAACATCTTATTCAACTATGTAGCCTCCATCAAAGCTGACAAGCAAGGTTATACTTTTCATCTTGATAGGTAATATAATGAAGAGAAAGGCTTTCAGTGAATTTTGGTCTGTCTTCACAATCGACTAGACATATGCCCCTCTGAATGCATAAAATGAAAGTGGTTATGTTTAGTATATGAGCTCAGAGTACAAGGCCACTATATACCATTTTCTCTTTGTCATGATCCTGTAATACGGCCTCCTTTCTCTCAAATGCATCTTCCAGATATGCAAACACCAAAAGCACACTGATTTTTATCAAACTTATTTCCTATTCCCCAAATAATCTAAGTTTGTTCAGTTATCCTTGGTTTGGAGAAGGATGGATACATGAGAAAAAGTTGATAGTGTGAGGGGAAGAAATCTCATTAGGAGGCATCCCATTTAAGAATTTAGGGGAAGAAATAATTTGTCTATTACAAGAAAAGATACTTGTGTTTCTGAGTGGCCTTAGGCTTTGCTTTTCTTCTGGGTGCCCATTAGCCTCAGATTTACCATGAGGAGAAGATGAACTGGCCCCAAATCAGCAAAGATAAGAGGCTTCCTGGCGAGAAGTGAACAAGAAAGACAGGAAGCAACAAAGAGGGCCGGATAAAGATTAGGAGAAAATGCTGTCCTAGCAGCAGTAAATAAATCATTTGCTAAAAAGGATATTTGGCTAAATTGCCTCCCAGTGTGTATTCCCACTGGGCATTTTTAAACAGAAAATGCAGAGCATCATGAAAACAGTTCAGAGGTGGAGACTGTGTTGCCCGAGGAACCTAGAGGAGCTTGCAACGGAGGCAGCCATGTTGCCAAAGTGTGACAGGGGCTCCAATCACATCTTGTGACTCACTAGCTGTATGTCTTTAAGCTGGAAATACATCCCACAGCCTCGGTTATGTCACCTATAATACAGAGACTCTAACTAAAGCTGGTTCTCTTCACCCTTTCTTCTGAAAATATATAAAAAGTAGCAAGTTCTTTTTCAGCATGATCCACGATATTTTCATGAAAGACCTGCCAATTAACAAGGGTAATTAGGAGATTTTGAAAGGAAGCTGATATCTTGAAACTCAGGACTTGGAATCTGATTTGCTATGATCTATGCTTGAGCCTTGTCTCCTACATCTATTAAACTGGGTCAGCATGCTCAGACTTCTGAATGCCAATTTTCTTATCTGTTATAATATAAACTGAGGAAAGAGATACCCACTGTAAAAGATTGTTGTAACTGTTAAATAGTGAATGTAAACTTTTTAAAAATAAATTACGAAGCCCTTTATCAAAACATTGTATGTGGTGTGGGGGAGGGGGCACAGTGTGTAGTTTACAAAGGATATTAGCAATACTTAAAACACATTTTTGATATAGGTATGATTATAATGGTGCCCATTTCATAGATGAGGATCAAGCTAAATAAGACTACTGTATTAGTTTGTTATCGCACTGCTATTATACAATAACTTATAAAGAAAAGAGGTTTAATTGACTCACAGTTCTGCAGGCTGTACAGGAAGCATGGCTTGGAAAGCCTCAGGAAACTTACAATCACGGTGGAAGGTATAAGAGAAGCAGTCACATTTTCACATGGTGGAGCAGGAGAGAGAGAGTGAAGGGGGAAGTGCTACACACTTTTAAACAACCAGATCTCGTGAGAACTCACTCACTATCATGAGAACAGTAAGGGGTATGTCTGCCCCTATGATCCAGTCACCTCACACTAGGTCCCTCCTCCAACACTGAGGATTACAATTCAACATGATATTTGGTTGGGAACACAGAGCCAACCTTTATCAACTACTAATTATGGAAAAAGAATAAAAATTGTAAATGATCCAAGTTGATCCACGTGGATGATGTCAGTCACTAAGCCACATGCTTTATTTGATGGACCTGAAACTAAGTAGTTTTACAAGTAAAATTATTTGTACTTCCAAATATTATAAATTCCATGGTCCTGTCTACACACACACTCTGCACCCCAAAGACAAAAGATGAAGCTGAGGCTTAAGCCCTTCATACCCAAACAATATCCAGCTCTCCCCTTTATCCCCAGTACAGACTATACCTTGTCTATACAATACATTTAAATATTGGTTGAATAAATGAGGCATTCTGAACATTGAAATAATTCCATCCCTAGGCCAGCTCCAACCACCAGCCTACAGAGTATCAATTCTGGGATCTAGAATTGAATTCTTGGACTAGACATTAGAGGAAAGAGACAAAATACTCAGACTGGTTTGGTTTAATAAGTGTGCTAAAAAAGTGTTGGCATCTAGGTATTCAGAAAAAGCATAAGTAAATGCTCTGTCCTGTTCAAACTCTGACTCTATGACTCCACTGCTTTTCTTGTTGCCATTCAGATTTTAGAAAAGTTTGTTGCTTACAAAGAAGACGGCATAGAAAGCTGAAAGTTCTACTTGTTGCAACTTACTGTTGTGTCTCCTCTCTTAAAGACCTGTTCTTTTTTTTTCTTTTCTTTTCTCCACTACCTTATGATCCTTTCTCTGACATCTGCCTTCCTATCTTCCTGTCCTCACTTTGACTCTCAGTCTTATCTGTAAAATGAAAATAATAGAGATTTTTCACATTGAAGATATTAGGATATTATGAGAATTAAATTAAATAATTACTGTGATGAGCTTACCACAATGATTGGCACAGAGTAAGACCGCACAAAAATGTCTGTCATTATTTTATTGAGGATTTTTGCATCAATGTTCATCAAGGATATTGGTCTAAAATTCTCTTTGTTGGTTGTGTCTCTGCCCGGCTTTGGTATCAGGATGATGTTGGCCTCATAAAATGAGTTAGGGAGGATTCCCTCTTTTTCTATTGATTGGAATAGTTTCAGAAGGAATGGTACCGAATCCAGCAGCACATCAAAAAGCTTATCCACCATGATCAAGTGGGCTTCATCCCTGGGATGCAAGGCTGGTTCAATATACGCAAATCAATAAATGTAATCCAGCATATAAACAGAACCAAAGACAAAAACCACATGATTATCTCAAGAGATGCAGAAAAGGCCTTTGACAAAATTCAACAATGCTTCATGCTAAAAACTCTCAATAAATTAGGTATTGATGGGATGTATCTCAAAATAATAAGAGCTATCTATGACAAACCCACAGCCAATATCATACTGAATTGGCAAAAACTGGAAGCATTCCTTTTGAAAACTGGCACAAGACAGGGATGCCCTCTCTCACCACTCCTATTCAACATAGTGTTGGAAGTTCTGGCCAGGGTAATTAGGCAGGAGAAGGAAATAAAGGGTATTCAATTAGGAAATGAGGAAGTCAAATTGTCCCTGTTTGCAGACATGATTGTACATCTAGAAAGCCCCATCGTCTCAGCCCAAAATCTCCTGAAGCTGATAAGCAACTTCAGCAAAGTCTCAGGATACAAAATCAATGTACAAAAATCACAAGCATTCTTATACACCAACAACAGACAAACAGAGAGCCAAATCATGAGTGAATTCCCATTCACAATTGCTTCAAAGAGAATAAAATACCTAGGAATCCAACTTACAAGGGATGTGAAGGACCTCTTCAAGGAGAACTACAAACCACTGCTCAAGGAAATCAAAGAGGATACAAACAAATGGAAGAACGTTCCATGCTCATGGGTAGGAAGAATCAATATTGTGAAAATGGCCATACTGCCCAAGGTAATTTACAGATTCAATGCCATCCCCATCAAGCTACCAATGACTTTCTTCACAGAATTGGAAAAAACTACTTTAAAGTTCATATGGAACAAAAAAAGAGCCCGCATTGCCAAGGCAATCCTAAGCCAAAAGAACAAAGCTGGAAGCATCCCGCTACCTGACTTCAAACTATACTACGAGGCTACAGTAACCAAAACAGCATGGTACTGGTACCAAAACAGAGATGTAGATCAATGGAACAGAACAGAGCCCTCAGAAATAATGCCACATATCTACAACTATCTGATCTTTGACAAACCTGAGAAAAACAAGCAATGGGGAAAGGATTCCCTATTTAATAAATGGTGCTGGGAAAACTGGCTAGCCATATGTAGAAAGCTGAAACTGGATCCCTTCCTTACACCTTATACAAAAATCAATTCAAGATGGATTAAAGACTTAAACGTTAGACCTAAAACCATAAAAACCCTAGAAGAAAACCTAGGCATTACCATTCAGGACATAGGCATGGGCAAGGACTCCATGTCTAAAACAACAAAAGCAATGGCAACAAAAGACAAAATTGACAAATGGGATCTAATTAAACTAAAGAGCTTCTGCACAGCAAAAGAAACTACCATCAGAGTGAACAGGCAGCCTACAAAATGGGAGAAAATTTTCACAACATACTCATCTGACAAAGGGCTAATATCCAGAATCTACAATGAACTCAAACAAATTTACAAGAAAAAAACAAACAACCCCATCAAAAAGTGGGCAAAGGACATGAACAGACACTTCTCAAAAGAAGACATTTATGCAGCCAAAAAAACACATGAAAAAATGCTCACCATCACTGGCCATCAGAGAAAGGCAAATCAAAACCACTATGAGATACCATCTCACACCAGTTAGAATGGCAATCATTAAAAAGTCAGGAAACAACAGGTGCTGGAGAGGATGTGGAGAAATAGGAACACTTTTACACTGTTGGTGGGACTGTAAACTAGTTCAACCATTGTGGAAGTCAGTGTGGCGATTCCTCAGGGATCTAGAACTAGAAATACCATTTGACCCAGCCATCCCATTACTGGGTATATACCCAAAGGACTATAAATCATGCTGCTATAAAGACACATGCACACGTATGTTTATTGCGGCATTATTCACAACAGCAAAGACTTGGAACCAACCCAAATGTCCAACAATGATAGACTGGATTAAGAAAATGTGGCACATATACACCATGGAATACTATGCAGCCATAAAGAATGATGAGTTCATGTCCTTTGTAGGGACATGGATGAAATTGGAAATCATCATTCTCAGTAAACTATCGCAAGAACAAAAAACCAAACACCGCATATTCTCACTCATAGGTGGGAATTGAACAATGAGAACACATGGACACAGGATGGGGAACATCACACTCTGGGGACTGTTGTGGGGTGGGGGGAGGGGGGAGGGATAGCATTGAGAGATATACCTAATGCTAGATGACGAGTTAGTGGGTGCAGCGCACCAGCATGGCACTTGTATACATATGTAACTAACCTGCACATTGTGCACATGTACCCTAAAACTTTAAGTATAATAATAATAAATAAATAAATAAATAAATAGCAAAAAAATAATAATAATTTTAAAAAAAAGAAAATGTCTGTCATTACTTCTATCACATTCAACACTTACAGCAACCTTAGCACATAAAAAGTGACTCACCCAGAGAAAACAGTAAAATGCAGATCTGGATATAGGTCTTCTTACTCTACAGGCCATATTGATCCATCTTCCCAAGCTGAAAGAGAAGACAGAAAAGTACCTGGAATTGCACTTTTCCACTGAGGCAGACAGAAGAAGAAGCTGGAAGGAAACAACCCAACCACGTAAAATGCAGCTCAGCTTGATAGGCAAGGCACAGGACAATGATCATAGATATATTTACAGTACAAGTGAGCAACTGACTATGGAGAGCCAAGGTGAGCAACATTTCCATTTTGTAGGAAGCATCTATACTGAGTTATACTAAAATCCAGATAGATAGGCATATCAGGGAGAGACGTCCTCAGGCTTGAAGGTTCAGAAACAACTCTGTAGGAAGGGAATGGCAAAAGCAAGCCTGGGCTGCATTTATTGACAGAAATCAGGCCCAATAACTCAAGGAAAATGATCAAGGCTAAATCTCCATTATGAAGACAGATGCTCTCCGAGGATAAGGATCAGGAGGAAGTAACCAAAGTGACTGATAATAAAAGATATATGTTATTGACCATCCAATTTTTTCCTGGTGTTCTATATGGTAATCTAATTTATTTCTCACAGTCTCTCTTTACAGAAGGTATGATTATCTCTCTTTAATATCCAAAGACGCTTAGGCTCAGAGAAGTTAATTTCTCCTAAGTTATCAGCAAGTAAATAAGAGAGCTAGAAATTCAAAGTCAGTTCTATTCTATGCCAGCGTAAGTGATCTTCCCTCTGTATCATTGACTTTGTATATTCTATTCAAGGTATTCAGAACCTCATTTCTTAGTCTAGAGAGCTTTGGGGGCAGACCTGTGTCCTCAGATGGAAAGTTGGATCATTGCAGCCACCGGAAAGAGCTGAAGTCAAGAGCCTTTCTGAATGTGGAATTTCTCTATGAGATGAATGACCATTTATCCTTTGATTCTAGTCCCACCATAGGCTTCTTCTCTTGAACAAGATTAATTGTGCAAATATCACTACAAATGTGTTTTCCTTAACACCTAAAAGAGCATGGCTGATATGGTTTGGCTGTGTCCCCACCTAAATCTCATCTTGAATAGTAGCTCCCATAATTCCCACATGTTGTGGGAGGGACCTGATGGGAGATAATGGGATCATGGATATGCTTTCCACCATACTGTTCTCGTGATAGTGAATAAGTCTCGTGATATCTGACGTTTTTATAAGGCGTTTCCCCTTTTGCTTGGTTTTCATTCCCTCTCTTGTCTGCTGCCATGTAAGACGTGCCTTTTACCATCTGCCATTATTGTTGAGGCCTCCCCAGCCACATGGAACTGTGAGTCCATTAAAGCTCTTTTTCTTTATAAATTACCCAGTCTTGGGTATGTCTTTATTAGCAGGGTGAGAACAGATTAATACAATGGCCTTGGTCTTTCAGCTCATCTCCCCTCTCACCTTGACTTCCTGCCCTCCCTTTCTATGAAAGGCAAGTCCTGCTTCCACCTGAATGCTTCTCACTGAAGACATGCCACTGGACTATGTTTCATCAAACAAACTCATCCAAGAAGAATAACAGAATGATACACTATCGGGGAAACATTCCTGTGGTAATTGTGTCAGGGTAATTCACCACCAGGAGGGGGACACAGTGGTAAGATAACCCACCTCCTCATATGCAGGACCTGCACTGCTATCTCCCCAAGCACTGCTGCTACCTGCTCTCCTATTGGATAAAGCTTCCTCCATTCACTCAAGTGGATTTTCTCAGACACAGCTAAATTGCATGCAGAAAAATGCATAGATATTGATTGAATTACGTTGGCTATGTGATCTAATGAATATAATACAAATGAACTTCTATATTAAGGCAGAATATCACAAACCAAAGTCTTTTTTTTTTTTTAATGTTTTTTTTTTTTTATTATACTCTAAGTTTTAGGGTACATGTGCACATTGTGCAGGTTAGTTACATATGTATACATGTGCCATGCTGGTGCACTGCACCCACTAACGTGTCATCTAGCATTAGGTATATCTCCCAATGTTATCCCTCCCCCCTCCCCCAACCCCACCACAGTCCCCAGAGTGTGATATTCCCCTTCCTGTGTCCATGTGATCTCATTGTTCAATTCCCACCTATGAGTGAGAATATGCAGTGTTTGGTTTTTTGTTCTTGTGATAGTTTACTGAGAATGATGGTTTCCAATTTCATCCATGTCCCTACAAAGGACATGAACTCATCATTTTTTATGGCTGCATAGTATTCCATGGTGTATATGTGCCACATTTTCTTAATCCAGTCTATCATTGTTGGACATTTGGGTTGGTTCCAAGTCTTTGCTATTGTGAATAGTGCCGCAATAAACATACGTGTGCATGTGTCTTTAGAGCAGCATGATTTATAGTCCTTTGGGTATATACCCAGTAATGGGATGGCTGGGTCAAATGGTATTTCTAGTTCTAGATCCCTGAGGAATCGCCACACTGACTTCCACAATGGTTGAACTAGTTTACAGTCCCACCAACAGTGTAAAAGTGTTCCTATTTCTCCACATCCTCTCCAGCACCTGTTGTTTCCTGACTTTTTAATGATTGCCATTCTAACTGGTGTGAGATGATATCTCATAGTGGTTTTGATTTGCCTTTCTCTGATGGCCAGTGATGATGAGCATTTCTTCATGTGTTTTTTGGCTGCATAAATGTCTTCTTTTGAGAAGTGTCTGTTCATGTCCTTTGCCCACTTTTTGATGGGGTTGTTTGTTTTTTTCTTGTAAATTTGTTTGAGTTCATTGTAGATTCTGGATATTAGCCCTTTGTCAGATGAGTAGGTTGCGAAAATTTTCTCCCATGTTGTAGGTTGCCTGTTCACTCTGATGGTAGTTTCTTTTGCTGTGCAGAAGCTCTTTAGTTTAATTAGATCCCATTTGTCAATTTTGTCTTTTGTTGCCATTGCTTTTGGTGTTTTGGACATGAAGTCCTTGCCCACGCCTATGTCCTGAATGGTAATGCCTAGGTTTTCTTCTAGGGTTTTTATGGTTTTAGGTCTAACGTTTAAATCTTTAATCCATCTTGAATTGATTTTTGTATAAGGTGTAAGGAAGGGATCCAGTTTCAGCTTTCTACATATGGCTAGCCAGTTTTCCCAGCACCATTTGTTAAATAGGGAATCCTTTCCCCATTGCTTGTTTCTCTCAGGTTTGTCAAAGATCAGATAGTTGTAGATATGCGGCATTATTTCTGAGGGCTCTGTTCTGTTGCATTGATCTATATCTCTGTTTTGGTACCAGTACCATGCTGTTTTGGTTACTGTAGCCTTGTAGTATAGTTTGAAGTCAGGTAGTGTGATGCCTCCAGCTTTGTTCTTTTGGCTTAGGATTGACTTGGCGATGCGGGCTCTTTTTTGGTTCCATATGAACTTTAAAGTAGTTTTTTCCAATTCTGTGAAGAAAGTCATTGGTAGCTTGATGGGGATGGCATTGAATCTGTAAATTACCTTGGGCAGTATGGCCATTTTCACGATATTGATTCTTCCTACCCATGAGCATGGAATGTTCTTCCATTTGTTTGTGTCCTCTTTTATTTCCTTGAGCAGTGGTTTGTAGTTCTCCTTGAAGAGGTCCTTCACATCCCTTGTAAGTTGGATTCCTAGGTATTTTATTCTCTTTGAAGCAATTGTGAATGGGAGTTCACTCATGATTTGGCTCTCTGTTTGTCTGTTGTTGGTGTATAAGAATGCTTGTGATTTTTGTACATTGATTTTGTATCCTGAGACTTTGCTGAAGTTGCTTATCAGCTTAAGGAGATTTTGGGCTGAGACGATGGGGTTTTCTAGACAAACAATCATGTCGTCTGCAAACAGGGACAATTTGACTTCCTCTTTTCCTAATTCAATACCCTTTATTTCCTTCTCCTGCCTGATTGCCCTGGCCAGAACTTCCAACACTATGTTGAATAGGAGCGGTGAGAGAGGGCATCCCTGTCTTGTGCCAGTTTTCAAAGGGAATGCTTCCAGTTTTTGCCCATTCAGTATGATATTGGCTGTGGGTTTGTCATAGATAGCTCTTATTATTTTGAAATACGTCCCATCAATACCTAATTTATTGAGAGTTTTTAGCATGAAGGGTTGTTGAATTTTGTCAAAGGCTTTTTCTGCATCTATTGAGATAATCATGTGGTTTTTGTCTTTGGCTCTGTTTATATGCTGGATTACATTTATTGATTTGCGTATATTGAACCAGCCTTGCATCCCAGGGATGAAGCCCACTTGATCATGGTGGATAAGCTTTTTGATGTGCTGCTGGATTCGGTTTGCCAGTATTTTATTGAAGATTTTTGCATCAATGTTCGTCAAAGATATTGGTCTAAAATTCTCTTTTTTGGTTGTGTCTCTGCCCGGCTTTGGTATCAGAATGATGCTGGCCTCATAAAATGAGTTAGGGAGGATTCCCTCTTTTTCTATTGATTGGAATAATTTCAGAAGGAATGGTACCAGTTCCTCCTTGTACCTCTGGTAGAATTCGGCTGTGAATCCATCTGGTCCTGGACTCTTTTTGGTTGGTAAACTATTGATTATTGCCACAATTTCAGAGCCTGTTATTGGTCTATTCAGAGATTCAACTTCTTCCTGGTTTAGTCTTGGGAGAGTGTATGTGTCGAGGAATGTATCCATTTCTTCTAGATTTTCTAGTTTATTTGCGTAGAGGTGTTTGTAGTATTCTCTGATGGTAGTTTGTATTTCTGTGGGATCGGTGGTGATATCCCCTTTATCATTTTTTATTATGTCTATTTGATTCTTCTTTTTTTCTTTATTAGTCTTGCTAGTGGTCTATCAATTTTGTTGATCCTTTCAAAAAACCAGCTCCTGGATTCATTGATTTTTTGAAGGGTTTTTTGTGTCTCTATTTCCTTCAGTTCTGCTCTGATTTTAGTTATTTCTTGCCTTCTGCTAGCTTTTGAATATGTTTGCTCTTGCTTTTCTAGTTCTTTTAATTGTGATGTTAGGGTGTCAATTTTGGATCTTTCCTGCTTTCTCTTGTAGGCATTTAGTGCTATAAATTTCCCTCTACACACTGCTTTGAATGCGTCCCAGAGATTCTGGTATGTGGTGTCTTTGTTCTCGTTGGTTTCAAAGAACATCTTTATTTCTGCCTTCATTTCGTTATGTACCCAGTAGTCATTCAGGAGCAGGTTGTTCAGTTTCCATGTAGTTGAGCGGCTTTGAGTGAGATTCTTAATCCTGAGTTCTAGTTTGATTGCACTGTGGTCTGAGAGATAGTTTGTTATAATTTCTGTTCTTTTACATTTGCTGAGGAGAGCTTTACTTCCAACTATGTGGTCAATTTTGGAATAGGTGTGGTGTGGTGCTGAAAAAAATGTATATTCTGTTGATTTGGGGTGGAGAGTTCTGTAGATGTCTATTAGGTCTGCTTGGTGCAGAGCTGAGTTCAATTCTTGGGTATCCTTGTTGACTTTCTGTCTCATTGATCTGTCTAATGTTGACAGTGGGGTGTTAAAGTCTCCCATTATTAATGTGTGGGAGTCTAAGTCTCTTTGTAGGTCACTCAGGACTTGCTTTATGAATCTGGGTGCTCCTGTATTGGGTGCATAAATATTTAGGATAGTTAGCTCCTCTTGTTGAATTGATCCCTTTACCATTATGTAATGGCCTTCTTTGTTTCTTTTGATCTTTGTTGGTTTAAAGTCTGTTTTATCAGAGACTAGGATTGCAACCCCTGCCTTTTTTTGTTTTCCATTTGCTTGGTAGATCTTCCTCCATCCTTTTATTTTGAGCCTATGTGTGTCTCTGCACGTGAGATGGGTTTCCTGAATACAGCACACTGATGGGTCTTGACTCTTTATCCAACTTGCCAGTCTGTGTCTTTTAATTGCAGAATTTAGTCCATTTATATTTAAAGTTAATATTGTTATGTGTGAATTTGATCATGTCATTATGATGTTAGCTGGTGATTTTGCTCATTAGTTGATGCAGTTTCTTCCTAGTCTCGATGGTCTTTACATTTTGGCATGATTTTGCAGCGGCTGGTACCGGTTGTTCCTTTCCATGTTTAGCGTTTCCTTCAGGAGCTCTTTTAGGGCAGGCCTGGTGGTGACAAAATCTCTCAGCATTGGCTTGTCTATAAAGTATTTTATTTCTCCTTCACTTATGAAGCTTAGTTTGGCTGGATATGAAATTCTGGGTTGAAAATTCTTTTCTTTAAGAATGTTGAATATTGGCCCCCACTCTCTTCTGGCTTGTAGGGTTTCTGCCGAGAGATCCGCTGTTAGTCTGATGGGCTTTCCTTTGAGGGTAACCCGACCTTTCTCTCTGGCTGCCCTTAACATTTTTTCCTTCATTTCAACTTTGGTGAATCTGACAATTATGTGTCTTGGAGTTGCTCTTCTCGAGGAGTATCTTTGTGGCTTTCTCTGTATTTCCTGAATCTGAATGTTGGCCTGCCTTGCTAGATTGGGGAAGTTCTCCTGGATAATATCCTGCAGAGTGTTTTCCAACTTGGTTCCATTCTCCACATCACTTTCAGGTACACCAATCAGACGTAGATTTGGTCTTTTCACATAGTCCCATATTTCTTGGAGGCTTTGCTCATTTCTTTTTATTCTTTTTTCTCTAAACTTCCCTTCTCGCTTCATTTCATTCATTTCATCTTCCATTGCTGATACCCTTTCTTCCAGTTGATCGCATCGGCTCCTGAGGCTTCTGCATTCTTCACGTAGTTCTCGAGCCTTGGTTTTCAGCTCCATCAGCTCCTTTAAGCACTTCTCTGTATTGGTTATTCTAGTTATACATTCTTCTAAATTTTTTTCAAAGTTTTCAACTTCTTTGCCTTTGGTTTGAATGTCCTCCCATAGCTCAGAGTAATTTGATCGTCTGAAGCCTTCTTCTCTCAGCTCATCAAAATCATTCTCCATCCAGCTTTGTTCCGTTGCTGGTGAGGAACTGCGTTCCTTTGGAGGAGGAGAGGCGCTCTGCGTTTTAGAGTTTCCAGTTTTTCTGTTCTGTTTTTTCCCCATCTTTGTGGTTTTATCTACTTTTGGTCTTTGATGATGGTGATGTACAGATGGGTTTTCGGTGTAGATGTCCTTTCTGGTTGTTAGTTTTCCTTCTAACAGACAGGACCCTCAGCTGCAGGTCTGTTGGAATACCCTGCCGTGTGAGGTGTCAGTGTGCCCCTGCTGGGGGGTGCCTCCCAGTTAGGCTGCTCGGGGGTCAGGGGTCAGGGACCCACTTGAGGAGGCAGTCTGCCCGTTCTCAGATCTCCAGCTGCGTGCTGGGAGAACCACTGCTCTCTTCAAAGCTGTCAGACAGGGACACTTAAGTCTGCAGAGGTTACTGCTGTCTTTTTGTTTGTCTGTGCCCTGCCCCCAGAGGTGGAGCCTACAGAGGCAGGCAGGCCTCCTTGAGCTGTGGTGGGCTCCACCCAGTTCGAGCTTCCTGGCTGCTTTGTTTACCTAAGCAAGCCTGGGCAATGGCGGGCGCCCCTCCCCCAGCCTCGTTGCCGCCTTGCAGTTTGATCTCAGACTGCTGTGCTAGCAATCAGCGAGACTCCGTGGGGTAGGACCCTCTGAGCCAGGTGTGGGATATCGTCTCGTGGTGCGCCGTTTCTTAAGCCGGTCTGAAAAGCGCAATATTCGGGTGGGAGTGACCCGATTTTCCAGGTGCCATCCGTCACCCCTTTCCCTGACTCAGAAAGGGAACTCCCTGACCCCTTGCGCTTCCCAGGTGAGGCAATGCCTCGCCCTGCTTCGGCTCGCGCACGGTGCGCACACACACTGGCCTGCGCCCACTGTCTGGCACTCCCTAGTGAGATGAACCCGGTACCTCAGATGGAAATGCAGAAATCACCCGTCTTCTGCGTCGCTCACACTGGGAGCTGTAGACCGGAGCTGTTCCTATTCGGCCATCTTGGCTCCTCCCCCCCAAAGTCTTTTAATATTTGTTGAAAGTGAGAAAGATGGAAAAAGAGGAGAAATTAATCTCATTTAAGCCTCACAGTGACCCGATGCACTCAGGATCAGTCTCCCTAATGCACTCATGATCAGTCTCCCTATTTTGAAGATAGAAACACTGAGTCACAAAGAAGTTTGTAAAGCTTGGTCAAAGTCCTAAGAGATTTGAAGTGACAGAGATGGATCTAAAAACAAGTCTAACTGACACTAGTCAATTTATTTTCACTCTACCATTTTTTATCCCAGGAGGCTAAGTCATAAAGTTAGAAAACCGCTTGATCATATTTGGGGGAAAGAGAGTTCCTTAGATGTTATGTAGTCCAGCTTCCACAAACAGTTTTTACTTTATGTCTGAAGAAACTGAGATACAGAGAGAAGCGGTCTGCTTAAGGGCTTAGACCTTGGCAGACCTAGGAACTGAATTCACAGCATGTAGTACCTGCTGTGGTGTCTCACTTTTAGGACCAAGGCACTTATTTGGTGTGGAGTGTGGGATGTTGCTGTTTAATAGCTGAGTCCCTTCCCAGGAATTACCTTTGACTGAGGGAGCCATCTTTTCCAAACAAAATCAAGTGCCCTACTTGGGGGTAGCCGGCATCCAATGACTATTCAATGACTGGCTGTAAAGTCCTGGTTCTCTTGCCTCAAAATCCCAGCTCCAAAACCCCTATAGGGTCCACTGAATTCTGGTTGCAATAGTATTACCATCCAACCTCTCCCTACATCTAATTTCCACTTTCTGACAGGTAAATTCTTGAGAGCACTTCCCAATAAACTTCCTGCATTTAAATTCTGTCTCAGAGTCTATTTCCAGTGAAGCTGATCTAAGACTGTTGACGGATGCCTGGAGTGGTGCTAGGAAGCAAACTCTAAAAAGGAATTTGGGACTGAACCACTCACTGACTGGCAATGACAACCCCATCACTGGCATTAGGTGGAGTACCAGTAACTCTTTGCATTTGTCACAGTGCAAATGTTAGAATTTCATCAGTAGAACTGGGGTGGAATGACTGTGGAGGGAAGGGCACTGTTGGAGCAATTGTTCAGATGTTTGAGCATTACAGAAGCAGCAGTAATTTCAAGGATTTTGGAATTGATGGCTGTTGCTAAGGGCTATTTATTGATGCATTAGAATAAGACAGTGAAAGGCTGATGGAAACTAATGTCTAATTTCCCAGAGTGGATAAGTTAGGGGAAACCACATAAAGGGACTTTCACCTCCTCTGGATAGTGGACGTAGTTACAGGATAGAAGAGCTCCACAGAAGGCTGAATTCTCCAACCCAGAAAGTCTGTAGTGTCAAGATCAGTTCTGAATTGAGAAGGGAGTGAGACTCTGAGATTTGGGATTTAGAATCTAGATTGATGATTTCGAAAGCCTTGAATTCCTAGGTTCTGTTGAGCTCTGTTAAAACTGTGTAAGTGGCTCACTAGAAGCTAGCATTCCGCTCTTTACTGAACAAGATACAGAGGCCCCTGACTTGCAAACACATGAGTCCACTCAAGATTTACTTCCACCTCTCCTCTTGGTTCACAGACTGATAATGAGTTGGGTGACAACATAATCTGGTTGGGGAAGTGCTGGAGTACAAAACAGGGAAAGACACTCCATGATGAAGGAACAGCAACACTAGCCAGCATATGAGAGTGTGCCTGTGAAACTGAACCCTGAAGATGCTAGATCAAGGTGGGCGGGACCAGACCAAAAAGTTAAATTTGGGAAAGTTCACACCTGTTAAATATTATGATACAAGATATCAATAACCTGGCAAGGGAATAATACTCACACACTAAGACAGCTCTTAGAAATGTAGAAATAAGTGGTAAATACTAAGTAAAATAGAGATCCCAGAACTGCTGTGGAAGATGGCAAAGAACAGGATCAAAAGGTTCAGGAGAGTGAACCTGCCGGAATTAAGATACCACATACAGAAAAAAAAAAAAAGAAAAGAAAAGAAAAGAAAAGAAAATCTCACTAGCTGGCTTTGTCCTACGTTCCAATGGAGCAATGGAGGATATATCATTTACCAAAGTGATAAGGAATGCCTTAATAAGAGTGGCACGAGTATCTCTGGGAAGCTCGGTGGCAGCTGATCTCTGCAGCATAGGGCTGCCAACCGCAGATATCATTACAAAACGGATAGCAATGGGTATGCGAGGGTTCTGATATAATAGGTTCCAAATGGAGATACTTGATCAATGGAAGTGAGGTAGGTGCAATTATTATTATTATTAGTTGGGACAGAGTCACACTGTCACGCAGCCTGGAGTGCAGTGGCACGATCTCAGCTCACTGGAACTTCAATCTGCTAGGTTCAAGCGATTCTCCTGCCTCAGCCTCCCAAATAGCTGGGACTACAAGTGTGCACCACCACACCCAGCTAACGTTTGTATTTTTAGTAGAGACAGGGTTTTGCCATGTTGGCCAGGCTGGACTTGAACTCCTTACCTCAAGTCATCCACCCGCCTCAGCTTCCCAAAGTGCTGGGATTACAGGTGTGAGCCACTGTGCGCAATCAGTAGGTGCAATTATTGCAAAAAAAGATAATGTCAGAATGGCATCCAGGTTATCCTTACCTGCAGAGGGTTATGAAGATGGTTAAAGAATAAAAGAGTCCTATAAGGAACTAAATTTTGCCAACAATATGTGTAAGTTTGGAAGCAGATTTCTCCCTAGGACTTCCATATAAGAGCCCAGCCTGGCACACATCTTAATTCCATCCTTGTGAGATTCTCAGCAGAGAACCCAGCTGAGTCCATTAAGACTTCTGCCTACAGAACTGTGAGATAGTGAGTGTTGTCTTATGCCACCAGATGTGTGATCATTTGGTATGCAGCAAAATAAAGCCAAAGCAATCATTATATGTTGCAATTTGTAGAATACATAGGTCCAGGAACTAAGGGTAGAAGTAGCCCAGCCTCCCTCACCACCGCTCCCAATGATATAGTGTGTTTCCTGTCCCCAAAACGTTAGGTTCTGTCATTCTAGAGGGTCTAGTTCCCACAGGAGAAATGAATACAGCAGGAATACAGTGAGATATCCAATCAATTTTAAGCTATGGCCACAGGTCAATGACTTCAGGGTTCCTGTGTCAAAAGGCCAGCAGGCAAGAAAAGGAGTTATCACCCTGACAGGTGTAACTGGCCCTGACTATTCAGAAGATGGGAGTTTTCTTACATACGGAAGCAGAGAAAAATATATTTGGCACCAAATTGATTCACTAGGGTGCCTATTATACTCCCCGTCCTCAATTTTGACAGTAAATGGACAAATATAGCATCCACATTTCCCAAAAGCATGGTAACCAAAGGCTTCAGGGATAAGGAACTGGGTTGTACCATTATAAGTCCTTTAGACCAGCAGGTGTGCTAACTGAGGTTGAGGGAAACTAGAGTTGGAGTTGACAGTAGAGATGGGAGACAATGCGTATCTAGCTGTAGCCTCAAGATCAGCAGTGGAGGTTAAGAGACTACAGTTTGTTCTACAAACCTTCCTCTTATAACTTTCCAAGGCAAAGAGACCAGGAATTCTGTAGGAACTGAATTGTTGCTGAACTATGATGTTGCTTCCCAGAGGAAGCAAACGTAATATACAAAGCAAAGGAATCCAAGTGCTGCAAAATATGGGCTGTAGTTGATGCTATGGTGCCCTTTCTAAATTTCATACCACCACCACCACTCCACAACACACACCTCCAGTTAGGACCAAAATGCTCCTTTTTCCAGCTACAGGAAGTATTACCTGCTGGGTTCTCACACTGAGTGCCTGTCTAAGAATTGTCCCCAACCACAGGGAGCTACCTCATCTTGCCCAAGAGTTATTCATAACCAAAAACTTGTCCCCTCAATTCTGGACATCTCTAAGGGCAAGTCTACCTCTAAAGCTCCCTCAGAAAAAGGTTGTTGTAACTGCATCAGACTTCAACCCCTTCTCTTCCCAATCCTGCTTTCCTCTCTCCTCTAGATAAGCTGTTCTCCAGCATTCCTAACAAACTTAACACACACAAAGCTCACAAACTTAACACACAAAGCCTGGAAACCCAACAAATGATGTTATGTGTCCTAATGAATGAAGTGAGACTTCAGTAGCAGATAGGCCTACATTCAAACTAACCCCAAGCAGTGTAACTTTGAGGAAATTTACTGAATTTGTCCCTCAATACAAATGAGTGGAAACAAGGCCGTCCAATTAATGTGTAATCATATTGTCAGCCATTATTCTTGTCATTTGTCATTGTTGTCAAGGAATGCAAAAGGCAGAGGCTGTAACGGAGTTTAGACTGATGCATTGAGACTTCTCACAGCATTGACAAGGAAGCTAAAAGTCTGATATGAGCCCAAGGCTTCACCATTTCATCTCAAAAAAGTAGACATGAACAGCGATCATGCTCTGAGCTTTGTTGTTTTGATTTTGGATAAAGTTACATTTTGTACCTTCCTGCTGCTGCTAAAATATTCTAATGAGCTTAACTTATCTCAAGTTAGTCCATCATCTCTTGGTAATAATTACTTTGCGATTTTTCAAAAGACCATAAATTGACTGCTAGGAAATTACCTTTGGACACCAGTTGCCCTATCCTTTGGAAGGTGAAGCAGTGAGGTTGGAGAGCCTTGAGCAGATGTCCCCCAAACATTGGCACACACTTTGGACAGCTGCTACCTGAGCATTGCAGGCTGCCTGCTCTTTACCCCCTCATCTTCGCCCCATCTACTATAGCATATTTTTGGAGACAGAGCAAGTTGTTTCAACATTGCAATAATTAAAGAGCAATCACAGAGGAAAGCAAACAAATTAAATCCAAATGCATGTAGGATGTGGCACATTAGGAGGCTGTTTGTAGTTGGCAGACAAGTATTTATTTTTAAAGTTACAAGAATGTGTTTTCCAACTTGATTCTCTCACTACCTAAAGGCCTGACAGTTTTGCAACGAAGGCCATGTTGACCCTCTTGAAGGAAATCCCTTGGGACTGATACTGGCTGCAGACTTCAAATGAACTCATCGATTTAATCATGGCACACGACCATGAGATAAACACAAGTGCAAAAATATTGCTGTGCTCTCAAGAAGTCAGACACAGCCTCAAAATGCAAGAAAGGACATATTGTCCATTGGAAAGGATATTACCAAGAAAGTCAGGAAAACTGGAGACAGCAGACTGGAGTACAAAAATCCAGAATTCAGAGTCTTCCTACCACTGAGCTTGAAACCTGACCATACTCCTCATAAAACATTTTCATTTCCTTTTTTTCTCTTTTTTTTTTTTTTTTTTTTGGTACTAAACCATTTGATTCATCTAACACTCATGATATTTGCCTGGCGAGAAACTGGCAAAAAGGATTCTAAAACTTATTTTATAAACTTTGTGAGTTACATCTAATGACAGAAGAGCAACCAAACTAATACTAATAATAAGCTTTTTCTGTTTATACTGGTTTTAGTTTGCTAAATATGTGTTCAACTATCTTTAAAACATGAAAATGAGAAGAAAAAAAATAACATTTAATAGAGGAAAACCAGAGGGATAATAAGTAATCCTCTAGTCGATGGCATTTTAATCTTCATGACTTGAATGGGTTTGAGAGGGAAGAACAGCCGTCTGATGTTAGTTGAAATTCTAATGGACCACTTTTTTTAATAAAATTCTTCCTCTAATTAAAATAGAAATGAATGCTCTAGCATTGGCAAAAGAATACTTTCAGTTACAAGTAACCAGGGACCTATTGTCAACTCATCATTGGCATCTGTTAAAAAATGACCACCAGTGACTTCTGTGAGTCAAAAGTGGAGAGTGAGTTGCAAGAAACCAGAACACCCAGGACAACCCTTCCTTTCCACTTAAGAAGTAACTTTCTCAAGGTCATGGGAGTGCACGTGTTCTCTCTCCTACTCTCTCTCTCCCTGTCTCTCTCTAACAGCATAAACAAACAGCAATTACATCAGTGATAGAGATAACCATGGCTAGGGAGATTATAATTGTTACAACTATGTAAACAGAGAAAAGGACCCTATTTTATGCTAATAAATCAATGAGGAAAAATTGCCTATTCATTTTCAGCAGCATGCCTATAAAACGTAATTGTGTTTAATGGTTTATATTTCTTCTTCACTATCATACTTTATTCTTCTAGAAATTAGAGAACTTAGCAAAGCTAATACAGACTCTAGCAGAGAGTAAACACAAAAATAATTTGAAGTATTAATACAATCTTCAAGGTGCATATTTTATTATAATAGTAAATATTGACAGCTAATAACAATAATAATAAAACAGCTCTATGTTAGGCCTTGAGCTAAGAAATTTCATGTCATTTGGGCCTTAGGACAAATTCAAATGAGGTAGTAAAAAAAAAACGTCATTTCTGCTCCCTGCTCTATAAATAAAAATAATGGGACAAAGAGTGATTAGGTAATTTCTATAAGCTCTCTCAACTCATAAATAATGGAGCAGGTATTTAGACCTATACTGGCTCATAACTTGTTGAAAACATGAGTATGAAGGTTATGAGGTGTGTCTGATTGTGTGATGTTGCTTGTGGCTGAGCTGCTGGTTGTACCTAAATTTGCACCCTTCAACTATTCCATCTGCATAAAAAACCTCTGGTTTTAGCTGGGCCCATACTCATGAAGCTGGGAAAATACATCATTTCCCAATTTCCCTTGCAGCCAAGTGTGGCCACATGATGAGTTTCTGGGCACAGAAAATCATAGAGATGATGAGTACCCTTCTACAAACCCCTGGGTAGAATGGCTACTGGAAGACTCCATCTGTAATGTCCTACATGCACATCTAAATTGAGCCTACCCAAATCAGCTTTGAGACATCCACCTAGCCCACCTCTCTTCTGTTAACCTTCCATCTGAAAGCCTCCCTGTTGAAAACACTCTTATCTTTACCCCTGGAAAAGGGCAACGCAGGAGGCAGGGAGGCCAGCCAGGAAGCTCCTGCAGCAGAAGCCTGTGTATAAGGTAATGGCTGTGAATGTGGAAGGGATGGTATGACATGCAAACTTCCCAATATAAAATTAGTCCTAGAATCCCAAATGGCAAGTGGGCTGCATTTGTGATAAGAACAATGGGTGTCTACTGGGGTTCAGTCCCAGCTCCCATAGGCAGGTCACCAAAGTCACTTGATTCCTCAGTTTGAGAGGGCTCCCTAATTATTTGTTCTACCAACTGTGAGTAGGTTGACTCCCCTCAACTGTCAGTAACCCCAGCCACTGACCTCAAAAAATGAATACGGTCTCTTATATTTATAAAATGCTTTAGCATTAAAAACAACAACAGCAATAATAGCATGTGAAGCTTTATCATTTGTGTATACCTTTTTCTTAAACCTGCTTCTGTTTCAGGCCCTTCAATGGTATCTTTTGGTGGTGTGAATTTTCAGTCATCAGACATGAATAATGCACTCATGCCCACTTAGCATTTCACTTTCTTTGCCCAAGGAAAAATATATTCTAGTGCAGATCAATGCTGTCTTTCCTGAGCTGATACCCTCATTGGTGCTCCATGCATCAGATGAGTGGATGTTGTTAACAACAGAAAACAAATTGACAACATTTGCAGAAATGTTATCTCATTGGTTCACGTGATGCTAGACCTTAGGAAAACCTTCTTTACTTGCCAGAAAATAATATTCTTTCTATTGTTATTTCACCGTGGACTGCCCTCAAACCTAGAGCCCATTAACTAGTTCCCCACTGCCCCAGTTGTTTGAAGGATGGGAAGTTGGCCAAAGCAAGATGAGCCAAGATCCTCAGGAAGAAACAATATGATGTTGGAGGCGAGAGCATTTAACTCCCTCTTCTGGGACAGTCGGCTCTAAATGTATGACAAAGTAAAGCCAGCAGAGGGGTGAGGAACTGTCCCTGTGATGCTATTTGTCTCCCTGGATCTTACCACACCTGAAGGAGATATGGCCTCTGAAATGTTCAATTATGTCAGTCAATACATTCTTCTTTCCCCTAAGCTCCCTGGGCCTAAATTGTGGAGACAAGATTATTGCGAATGTCTCCTTGCACTCTCACAGGTGTGATGCTCTACTTTGCGTAGATCTCAAATGTTCTGATTCATCACTGTTTACTTAAGCAATTTGTATTAATTCTCCTAAAGGTTCATCCTCTCATCTGTAGAAAAATTAGTAGGCCTGAAATGACCTACGTGTAGAGAAATTGCAAGCAGCAGTGAGCGAAGGGCCGAGCGCTGAACAGCACCCATGGAGAGTGGGTCGGAGCTCTGATGTCAGCCAATACCCTGGGTTTCACCCTACTACACCCCAATGTCATTATGTGACCTTAAATAAGTTCTTAATATATCTGAGCATCAGATTCTTCCTCCATAAAATGAGAGTAATGAAAAAATAGTAACAGGCATTTTAAAAGGCTAAGAGAGATAACTCTTGAAAAGCACAATTAGGGCTAATTAATAATTGCTGTTATCATTAAATGATCGACATAAATTTTAAAATTCCTTTATCCTTTCCTCAGTTAGAGAGGTTCCAGAGGAGTCCCTAACTAGGACACATCAGAGAAAAATATATATATAAATATATATATATACACACACACACATATACACTTTTACACACACATATACATATTATATATCATTACATCCTTCCACTTTCCTTTTTTGAGATGTTACTATTGTCTTCCTTGATACTCACACTAACTTCAAGGTAAAGGAAAATAGATCGTCCTTCTTGACTGACAAATAAGAAACAGGTCTGGCAAAATTGAATTTCTAGCTATTCCCACAGCCTTTTGGGCAGCAAGACCCTGGAATACTTCCAAGTTTCCTGACACACAACCAGGGTTTTCCTTTCCACCCGCAAGACAATAGTGCCCAGATAGATTTTTCAGAAGTAAAAATTAATTCACTCAAATTTATCATCCAAAAAAAAAAAAAAAAAAAGCTTGGCTTTTTCTGAAGCGGGAGAATCCAATGCACAGACCTTTTCATGGAAAGATGTGCTAGAGATTAAAGAAGTAACTGTCCTTCATAATTCACACCCAGAAGTGGTGAAAAATAATCTGCTATTATCTAGAGTAAAGAAAGAATAATTTATAGCCGACCGTGAATACTTAATCATTAGGCCCAGTGACGTTGCTCACATTAACACAGCCAAAATAAATCAGCCGTAAATCCAAAGCAGACTTCAACATGACGCCGGGTAGATAAATCAGTGGGGCCTGGCATGAAAGAGTCTGTACGTGAAACAGAATTATTAATACATGGTAATTCTTCCCCCTGTCCTTCCCAGGAACCCAGGCAAAAACTGCATCAGTCCAGCAACAAAAGTAACAGGACTGTACATTTTATAACCAGCAATTAGAGTTCCATAGCAATTCTAAACACATGAATTATTGCTAAAAAGGCCCAGGTTGTCTTTTTGTTAATTTCCCAGTGGATACATTTGCTACTATGCGACAAGTAGAGTAAAACTTCATTAATTGAGACTTCCCAGGGGACAACAGTCTGAGTTAGTGAAAAGTGTAAATTTCACATTTAAAATCAAGAAAATGTGCTGCTTACTTCTGAGAACACAGAGTAACAGTAGATTAGCAAAAGCTGTATTTGAATCACTGTGTATATTTGAAAGCACAAGAAAAAAAGTACCTTTTTTTACCTAAAAAATATTTTTCTATAGTTTCTTAAATCTATTTTAATAAAAAATAACTTTTTAAATTGTAATTAGAGTGGCAATTATTTGCAAATGGCATTACAAATAATTTGAAAATTTTTAAAAGAATTTAATGTTTCTCTTCCACATTTACCACTAATGTCTTTTAATGTTATATATTCTGCTAAACAACTGTTTGTGTTTTGGTAACCTTTAGGTCAGTCTAAATTAGTTCTTACTCTATAAAGTACACTCAAAATTAATATGATCATGATTCACATTTTTTCTCTCTTCTCTTCTTTGCTCTTGACTCCACTAACTCTCTTGTCATTTGATGAAGTCACATGGATCCTACCATGGTTGCTTCTTCTAAAGATTTGTTAAAAGCTGTTTGTTATCTGTTCACACAAAAAGATTCCATTCTTCTCACCTACGTGTGCCTTATATAAAGCTTGCTCTTTCTAAGTGAGTATAATGGCAATTGCTCACTGGCTTTTCTTTAAACGTTCTTCGTCCAAATGTATCACATCATGTAACGTGGCAGGGAGAGGTCTTTACTCTCCAGATCTCCCACTTGTCCTGTACTTTTGCACACATGGGTGGCAGCATCTCTCTACTCAGAGCACAATGAGAGCTCCAGGAGACCACCTGGTCCTATTCCCCAAGATTGCAGAATCTTGTTTGCCAGGCAAACCTCATTGAACCAGAGTTCACAGAGCATGGGCACAGGAGGGTGAACCAGCCTATCAGAGCACTTGCCTCTCCAGACATCCTTTGAGCCAGGTATTTCCACCATTTGAGAGATGAAGAATTGAGAATTGCAATAATGACCCAGTCATCCAAGATGTCATAGCTAATACATGACTGAGTTAGGATTCACACCCAAGTCCATCTGAATTTAACCCTCATGGTCTCCCGTGAGGGGAAAGAGACTTAACTCACTGACTCCATCAGAAACATAATTCAGTTTCAATCCTTATTGGGAATCCAACACAGAGGACAAGCTCTGCTAGTGAGGAAATAAAGAACAGACTGTGGGTGGTCCTCTTTGGAAGGTGGGGATCTGACTGGAGTTAAGAGGTAAGAACCTGAGGCAGTAGGAGGAGAAAGTATAGGAGACTGAGTAGATAAAAGCCCAAGGGAAAAACATAAACATGAATATTTTAAAATAAACCCCTAAAATCAGCTTTCTACTTTTGAATTTTTTTTCCTAATAATAAAACTTCAGCCAAAGTAACTGGCAATCTTGCTGAGCATTCTGTAATAGAGACCAGTTCCTTTAAATAAGAAGGAATGAGGGGACAAAATGGTATATGATAGAGAACAAAGATTTTGGAATAAAGTAGTTTTGATTCCAAAATATGTGTCATCTACTTTCTAGACAAGAGCTCTTTGTCAATTAACTCCTCAGTAAAACTTTGAGAGAAAACCTATTCTGCATAGTGTTGTTGGGTAGATTAGAAAAGATAATGCATAGTAAATGTCTCCCTCTCTGTCTAGCACAGAGTTTATGCTTAGTGTAGATGAATAAATTCTTCCTTTCTTATTTTTATTTATTTGCATCTAAAAAGTCATATAAGTGTCAAGAGACCCAGATTCAAGTTTTGAATGACCCAGAGTCAGTCAAGGATAGCAACATGTTATTGTGGAAAGATCTTGGGTTCTTAACTATCTCTGTCACTTGGGACACCCATCTTTATGAGAAAAACAGGAATAATAATTCTTACCATAAGGAGTTGCACATATAAAGTGTCTAGAATCATACCTGGCAGACAATTTCCTGCCATTGTGACTTCAAAAAAATGATGTTCATAAATTATGTTCATTTATAGTGATGCGGTTTGGCTATGTCTGCACCCAAATCTCAACTTGAGTTGTATCTCCTAGAATTTCCAGGTATTGTGGGGGGGACCCAGGGGAAGGTAATTGAATCATGGGAGATGGTCCTTCCTATGCTATTCTTGTGATAGCGAATAAGTCTCACAAGATCTGATGGGTTTATCAGGGGTTTCCATTTTTGCTTCTTTCTCATTTTTCTCTTGCCACTGTCATGTAAGAAGTGCCTTTTGCCTTCCACCATGATTCTGAGGCCTCTCCAGCCATGTGGAACTGTAAATCCAGTTAAACGTTTTTTTCTTCTCAGTCTTGGGCATGTCTTTATCAGCAGCATGAAAACAAACTAATACATATAGGATGTCAATTTTCTTAAGTTTTTCTACAAATGATTATTAAGCACCTCCTGTGTAATGATTCCGGAGGTATAGTGACAAACAGATTGAAAAGGTCCGTGGCTTCATGAATCCCATTCCCATGGGAGAAACCATAAGAAGTAAGTAGCCAAATAAAATACATGAGACAGTGATTGAAGCTAAGAAGACAACAAAGACGCTAATCAGATGGGAGTAGTGTTGCTTAAGGATTCTTCTAATTCTCACATCCTGTCACTAGTATTGCACTTCCCACTAGAACCTGGACTCCAGTTTACTGGATTCACCAAGGAAAGAGAACCAATAGGAGACACACACACACACACTCGCGTGCACACGCGTGCGCACACACACGCACACACCATATAAGGAATTGGTTCACATGATTATAGAGGCTGAGAAGTCCAAGATCTGCAGTCAACAAGCTAAAAGCCCAAGAGAGCTGATGACATAATTCCAGTCCAAGTCTAAGGGCCTGGGAACCAGCAGAGCTGATGGTACTGGAGTTTCAGTTCAGACTGAAGTTAGAGAACCAGAAAAGCCAATGGTAAAAATTCCAGTCCAAGTCCGAATCCGAAGGGAGGGGAAAATTGATGTCCCAGCTCAACAACAGTCAGGCAGGCAGAAAACATTCTTCTCTTCTTCAGTCTTTTATTCTATTTAGGCCTTCAATGGATTGAGTGGGACCCACTCACATTGGGGAGGGAAATCTGCTTTGCTCAGTCCACCAATTTCAATGTTATTCAAATCTCATCCAGAAACCCACTCAATGACACACTTACGAATACAGTTTAACCAATTATATGGGCACTCTGTGTCCTAATGAAGTTGACACATAAAATTAACCACACACTTTTCTTAATGAGGTTGTCTAGTAAGCATTTCATTGCACAGTATAGCACCTCTCCTGTTAACTGTTGAATTCCAGCTAGAACTTTGCTCCATCTTCAGGCAACCTATCCCATGTAGAAAAATCACCATCATTACCATCACCTGAGTTGTCAACATACTTGTAAACTCCCAGAAAAAGATAATAGAACTTGGTCAGGCGTGGTGGCTCATGCTTGTAATCCCAGCACTTTGAGAGGCTGAGGCGGGTGGATTACCTGAGGTCAGGAGTTTGAGACCAGCCTGAGCAACATGGCGAAACCCTGTCTCTACTAAAAATACAAAAATTACCTGGGCATGGTGGCACGCGCCTGCACTCCCAGCTACTCAGGAGGCTGAGGCAAGAGAATTGCTTGAACCCAGGAGGCGGAGGTTGCCATGAGCAGAGATCGTACCACCACAATCCAGCCTGGACAACAGAGCGAAACTCTGTCCCTGCCTACCGCAACCACCACCCCCCCCCCCAAAAAGAGAGAGAGAGAGAGATAACAGAACTCTAAGCACCTAGTTTGGTGGTAATGCTAGCGGTGGTGGCATTGGTGGTGACAGAGGTGATGGTGATGTTGGTGGGGTCATGATGGTGAGGGTATGGTGGTAATAGTAGTACCAGTAGTGTCGGAAATAGAGATGATGGTAGTGTTGGTTGTAGTGGTGGTGGTAATAGTATTGGTGGTAATGGTGGTGATGAAGGTAATAGTAGTATTGGTTGTAGTGGTGACAGTGACCGTACGGTGATAGAGGTGATGGTGGTGGTGGTCGTGGACATGGTGCCTGTGGTATTTGTCTATGGTGGTGTTTTAAAAGGGAAAGCCTCTGAACCATCCTTGGACAACCCTGTTTAGAACCAGCTAAAGACCCTCATTCAGACAGAACATAATAATTCACACCTCGATTGCAACCATAAAATGAGGATAATGAGCCACACCTCAATCGCATCCATAAAATGAGGATAATGAGCCCCAACACAG
The DNA here is from genome assembly GCF_000001405.40 of Homo sapiens. NCBI lineage: Eukaryota > Metazoa > Chordata > Mammalia > Primates > Hominidae > Homo > Homo sapiens. The sequence continues at coordinate 135,862,145 of NC_000008.11, read as the reverse complement.
GTTTATTTTGCACATTATGTGAGGTCATGTGATGGCAGGATTTGAAGACATAAAAAGCTTTACACATTGCATCCTTACAAACCCATATGCCAAGATCACAGAGAATCTGTGATTGTTTACTGTATTCACATTTGCCTAGAAACCAGTAGCCTCTGCCTCTAACTCTTCAGAGTAGAACTTTCTGAGTGCAGATTCTCTGATACTTTATTTTTCCAAAAGAGGTACCTTGGGCCCAGGCCCTATACAGAGCATCCTTGGATCACACAGCCTAGGTCTCTGCCTACGCCTGCCACTCCCACGACCAAGCCTGCTTGAATTCCAGATCCTGTTAGCCTTCCTAGCAGACAATTAACCAAGAAAAGAAAAAAAAATATGTCTCCTCAAAGGTTCCTCAATAAATGTTCAGTAAACAAGAGGTGTGAGGGAAATTAATTATAAACACTCTGTACTGTGCCTCTCCAGGATGAGAGGTTAAAAAACGAAAAAAAAGGAAAGGATTTAAAGAAAAAAAAACTGATTTCAAATGAAATGTTTTTTCATTAAAAGTTCTCCTGACGTAGTCCCCCAAAGGATGTAAATGTCTCAGATTAAAGCCATAAAAAACAGTGATGTCTAGAGGCAGCTCCCACTGGATTGGGGTAGCTATGAGCTCCTAAAGCTAATAAGCTTTTTCTTCAGAGTCAGCGGTTGACACTCAAACATGCCAGGGCCTTGACGACTGTCGTCCACTAAAACAGCAGTTCCTGCTTGGATGTACGAATGTGTTAGTCAGCAGAGAAAGCACAAGGTTCTATGGGGTGTGCTTTTTATTCTGGCCAGAAAACAATGTGGACTACCATCTCCCGTCACAAATAACTCCAGACATTTTCTCAAATACATTTGCATCACTCTTCCTTTCTTTCTTCCATGCATCCATCTCTTACTGTTTTACTTTTGCATTTGATGTACATCTGCTATATCCTGGACACTTTGCTTTACACAGTTAGAATAGAACGAGCTATGCTGGAGCAACACATATACTCCCGAATCTCAGTGGGCTGACACAGTGAAACTTGTCTCTCGCTCATATCACAATCCTCTGAGGGTCAAGTAACTCTTGGTGACATTACTCTAAGTGATGACTCAGGGTCATGGGTGGCTTCTGTCTTTTGCTTGCACCATGTAGAACACTTGGCATCCAAGGAGATTTCAGAGAGGGAAAGGAAGGGTACAGGATCCTGCAGGGCATTTTCAAGGGCTAAGCTTTGAAGTTGCTTGTATCACATCTGTCTACATTGCACCAGCCAGGACCCAGTTGTATTTCCCCTCTGTAACCATAAGGATGGGCCAGGCGCAGTGGCTCACGCCTATAATCCCAGCACTTTGGGAGGCCAAGGCGAGCGGATCACCTGAGATCAGGAGTTCGAGACCAGCCTAACCAACATGGAGAAACCCCATCTCTACTAAAAATACAAAAAAAAAAATTAGCCAGGTGTGGTGGTGCATGCCTGTAATCCCAGCGACTCAGGAGGCTGAGGGAGGAGAATTGCTTGAACCCAGGAGGCAGAGGCTGTGGTGAGTCAAACTCCTGCCATTGCACTCTGGCCTGGGCAACAAGAGCAAAACTCTGTCTAAAAAAATAAGATAAAATAAAATAAGGATGGCGGGTAGATATAAAGGAGCACGTGGATATTCAGTGGACACAAAAGGCTTGTCATACCATGGTAGAAGAGTGTGATCCAAACCTTTCCCTCATACTCTGAATTCTGTAGCCATGTCCCACTTCTGTCACCTCCTGTATGATCTATGCTTACACACATGATTTTGATGAGAGCACATTGAAGTGCCCCCAACCACTCACACTTAACATCCTCAGTTTTGAAAGGTGGGAGAACAGAGTGGTTAAGAGCTGACTTGGGATTATGCCCAATCCCCCCAACTTGTAAATTACATACTTGGGTAAGCCTCTTAACTTCTTTGAGCACTAGTTTTGCCTTCCATAAAATCACAATGATCATACTTCCTCATATGGCTGTTATAAAGAATGTAAGTGAAATAGGCTGGGCATGGTGGCTCATGCCTGTAATCCCAGCACTTTGGGAGGCCGAGGCGGGCAGATCGCGAGGTCAAGAGATCGAGACCATCCTGGCCAACATGGTGAAACCCCATCTCTACTAAATTACAAAAAATTAGCTGGGCCTGTAGTCCCAGCTACTGGGGAGTCAGAGGCAGGGGAACTGCTTGAACCCGGGAGGTAGAGATTGCGGTGAGCCAAGATTGAGCTACTGCACTCCAGTGTGGCGACAGAACAAGACTCTGTCAAAAAAAAAAAAAAAAAAAAAAAAAGGAAAAGAAAGAATAAGTGAAATAATGTAAGTAAACAGCTCAGCAAGGAGTTTTATACAGAAAGATAACAATGTTTAGCATTACCTGTGACAGGTCTCTACTCTTTGACAATTATCTCATCTTCCTTATCTTACTAAGAGTGGACACTCAAGGCAAGGATATATTTAGTCATTGTTTCTTTTACTGACAAAATAATATACAGTTGACCCTTAAACAACAAGGGTTTGAACCACGAGGGTCCATTTATGCACAGACTTTTTTCAACCAAACTTGGATTGAAAATACAGTATTCGAAACCCACCTGTATGGAGGGCCAGCTGTGCTTGCACTATGTGTATCAGTCAGCAGTGCAACAGGGAGCTCTTGTTCTCAGGCCCACAGGTTAGTGGGGAGGCTGGAGATCCACACGTTCATTCTGGGGTCCAAGACGAAAGAGTAGCAGCTATATCCAAGGGTATGCTCTTGTCATGGGAACGGTTGGAAGCACAAATGGAAATACACAATGCTTCTTATGGTCGGGACTTGGAACTGTCACTTTGTTGCTTCCACCTACATCTCAAAGGTCAAAGGCTGAGGCAAATCACAAGGCCATGTCCAACAGAGACACAGTAAGACAATATCCTCCAACCCCAGAGAACAGAAGTGCTAGATCTTAAGACAAGCATACAGGAAGGCGTGAAAAATCAGGAAGAATAATGCAATTAACCACATCTGTCATCTATCTCACCCCCTAATTCTTTTTTTTGAGACGGAGTCTCGCTCTGTCGCCCAGGCTGGAGTGCAGTGGCGCGGTCTTGGCTCACTGCAAGCTCCGCCTCCCAGATTCACGCCATTCTCCTGCCTCAGCCCCCCAAGTAGCTGGGACTACAGGCACCCGCCACCGCGCCCGGCTAATTTTTTGTGTTTTTAGTAGAGACGGGGTTTCACCGTGTTAGCCAGGATGGTCTAGATCTCCTGACCTCATGATCCGCCCGCCTCAGCCTCCCAAAGTGCTAGGATTACAGGCGTGAGCCACCGTGCCCAGCCTGTCACCCCCTAATTCTTACTAAAATTATTCCCAAATTTGAGGAATAACGTAAAGCTAGAAATAATTTGATCTAAACCCCCATTTTGTAGATAAGGAATCAAAGGCCCAGAGAAGGCACTGACCTATCCAGTGATACAGAGCCAGTGCTTTACTTAGGTGATGGGTTGACAGGTTCAGCAAACCACCATGACACACGGTTTTCTATGCAATAAACCCGCACATTCTGCACATGTACTCTAGAGCTTTAAATTAAATTAAAATTAAATTTTTTAATGCCAGCTCTGAGGGTGAAAGAGATTGCCCTCAAAAGTGCTACAATAGTTGGAAACTATTCTGTGACACCCCCAAGCCCATCTCTATGCAGACATTTTGTGATCTAACTCACGCAGCAACCTTGCCATGTAAGTCCTATTTTCCCCACTTTATAACAGGGCAGGTGAATCAAATACACAAGCAGATCACTTCAAATATAGATTTTTTTAAAAAGAGAAACTGTGTTCAAATTATGTTTTCTAGTTTGCATCATTTGGATTAGAGTTTATCTTAAATGTATACAAGAATACATTTACTCAACACTTAAAAAATCAAGTGAAACATAAGAAAATGCCCAGTGAGAAGGAGATGGTTCAAGAAAGGGAGGCAATGACCAGAAGGGATGAAAAATGCTTCTTCTACTAACATAACAATTTGTGAGCACTTAATTATGCCTTGATTTTGCTGATTGCAATTAGAACGTCTTCTCTGTTGGGGGGATATCATGTCAGAATCCCAATCTAAGTTAAGTAGACACCATCTTCAATAAGAAGTCTCAGCCGGGCGCGGTGGCTCACGCCTGTAATCCCAGCACTTTGGGAGGCTGAGGGAGGTGGATCACCTGAGGTCAGGAGATCGAGACAAGCCTGGCCAAATTGGTGAAACCCTGTCTCTACTAAAAATATAAAAATTAGCCGGGTGCAGTGGCAGGTGCCTGTAATCCCAGCTATTCGGGAGGCTGAGACGGTAGAATTGCTTGAATTCGGGAGGCGAAGGTTGCAGTGACCTGTGATCGTGCCACTGCACTCCTGCCTGGGCAACAGAGAGTGAAATTCCGTCTCAAAAAATAAATAAATAAATAAAATAATAATAATAAGTCTCATGAAATACAAGAATCCCTGTGCCAAGCAGGGATTCTTTATACTTGTCCCTAGTATAAAGTAAGCCAGTCTGTACCCTAAGAGCTGATGATCAAAAGGAACAGACAGACAGGACAAACACACACACACACACACACATATGCACACATACAGACATACACACAGACACACACACATGCGCACACACACACACACAAACACACACCTTCCCCTTGGTATCCGTGGAGGATTGGTTTCAGGACACCCTCAGATACCAAAATCCAAGGATGCTCAAGTCTCTTATATAAAATGGCATAATATCTGCACGTAACCTATGCACATCCTCCCATATACTTTAAATTATTTCTAGATAATTTATATGATCTAATACAATGGCTACACAACACTTCAGTTGCACGTATTCAATGTAGTACTTGGCCAAGTTTTGCTTTTTGGAAGTTTGTGAAATTTTTTCCCCAGATATTTTTAATCTGAGGTTGGTTGAATTTACGAATGTGGAGCCAACAGACATGGAATGGCAACTGCATGTGTGTGTGTGTGTATACATGTGTCTGTGTGTGTGTGTCTGTGTTTATATACACACACAATCATTGATCACTTAACACTGGGGATACATTCTGAGAAATGTTATTCCCACAGTGTTACTGTTAGGCAATTTTGTCACTATGTGAACATCATAGGGCGACTTACACACATCTAGATAGTACAGCCAACTACACACCTGGGCTATTTGGTATAGCCTATTGCCCCTAGACTACAAACTTGTACAGCATGTTACTGGACTGAATACTGTGGGCAATTGTATTTTTGTATTTAAGTATAGCTAAACATAGAAAAGGTACAGTAAAAGTACAGTATTATAATCTTAAGGGACCACAGTCATGTATGTGGTCCATTGTTGACCAAAACATCATTATGCAGTGCATGACTGTATATATATATATATATATGTGTGTGTGTGTATGTATGTGCTTTTATATATACATATATGATATCATATATTATACCATGTATGAACATACATACATATTATGCATGTACACATAAATGTACATATTATATGTAATATATTATCAACATATTAATGCATTTTACATATATCACAAGAGTCATATACACTCATGCTAAACATGCGCATATGTTACATCACAGGAATCTTTCACCTAGATGGACCCCTATACACAAATATACTTAATAAATGGTATGTTTGGAGAAGCACTAGTCATAATAGCTACCAAAAAAACCTGCTGAAATACGTATGAACCAAAAAATATGTAAAGAAGTTGTGGCCCATTCACTCAATGGACCACTATATAGCAATAAGGAGGAACAAAGAACAAGCACGCTCAACGACATGGATGACTCTCACAAACTATGTTGAGTGGAAGAAGCCAGGCAGAGAAGAATGCATGCTGTATGATGCCATCCACATAGAGTACAGAAGCAGGGGAAATCAGTCAGTCCTGAGAGAAGTCAGGACAACAATTACCATCATAGGGTGGGGAGAGAGGGAATGATGTAAAGAAAGCATCAGGGAGCTTCTGGACCCCTTAATAATAATAATGCTTTGTTTCTTGATCTGGTGGTGCTGGTTGCAAGGGTGATTTCAGTTCTAAAAATTCTATTGACCCAGCAATCCCATTACTGGGTATATACCCAAAGGAATATAAATAATTCTATTATAAAGATACATGCACACATATGTTCATTGCAGCACTACTCACAATAGCAAAGACATGGGATCAACCCAAATGCCCATCAATGATAGACTGGATAAACAAAATGTGGTACATACACACCATGGAATACTATGCAGCCATAAAAAGGAATGAGATCACATCCCTTGCAGGGACACGGATAAAGTTGGAGGCCATTACCCTTAGCAAACTAATGCAGGAACAGAAAAGCAAACACTGCATGTTCTCACTTATAAGTGGGAGCTGAACAACAAGAACACATGAACACAGGGAGGGGAACGACACACATCGGGGCCTGTCAGGGGAGGGCAGCTCGGGGAGAAAGCATTAGGGAAAACAGCTAATGCATATTGGGCTTAATACCTAGGTGATTGATGGGTTGATAGGTGCAGCAAACCACCATGGCACACATTTACTTATGTAACAAACCTGCACATCCTGCACATGTACCCCAGAACATTAAAAAATTAAATAAATAATAAAAAATAAAAAGTGTGTAGCACTTCCCGTCTCTCTTGCTTCTGGCCATGCGATGTGCTTGTTCTCCTATCACCTTCTGCCATGATTGTACATTTCCTGAGGCCTCCCCAGAAGCCAAGCAGATGCTACCATCATGCTTCCTGTACAGCTTGCAGATCAGTGAGCCAATTAAGCTTCTTTTCCTTATAAACTAAAAAAAAAAAAAAAAAATTAAGTTGTATACTTATGATATGTGCAATTTTCTGGATATTATACATCACTTAGAAGTTTTTGAAAAATGCAGTAAAGTAAATAATGACTCCCATCCACTTTAGCTCCTTAATATTCCGATTTGCCTTCTCTGTCCTGGGCATAGCCAGAGCTTGGGTCTCTATAACATACCACTGTATCCTGGGTTAATAGAGCAAGTAGCCATTTTTATTCCCATAACAAATCAGCAGGCTGATAAACAAGTGTATGACTGAATGTGCATGTGCCTGTTTTTCTGGTTGTTTTATTTTCACTTCTTTAGCATAAAAACCAACACACGCTGGGTCTTAAGAGTCTGCTCCAAAGAAAGCCTATCAAGTTCTGATTAGCTGCAATCCAGAATGAATCTTTTCAATGAATGAAAATGAAGCAAGCTTTTATGGACCTATTACCCGAGGACATCCAGTGATATTTTTATTCTCCATATTTGACCTTAAAAATGTTTTGTAGTTTGTCAAGGATATAATTTTCACCCAGTCAGGCTGTAGGGGCAGCTAATTAAGTGGTGTTTAATGACATTTGTTCCTTAAAGGAGCCTTGATTAAATGTACCATGTAATTTTTTACCAAATCAAGCAATTCACCCAATTTTCAAATGTGCTTAATAAGCCAGGCCCAAGTCATTACAGCCTGCCAGCTGTGTGGCTGATGTGGTCTAGGCTGGAAGGTTTTAAAAGCTGCTGAGAATTTCCTGCCTCCATTCTTTGTTTTGGCTATCTTCCCAACCGGAATATTCTTCTTCACTTCCCTTTACCTGAATCACTTTTATTCCTGGTGGGTAAATCCAAAATCCCATGGGCTTCTTAAAATTTCCCCATCAGGAGGGGAACATCACACACCGGGGCCTGTCGGGGAGTGGGAGACTGCAGGAAGGATAGCATTAGGAGAAATGCCTAATGCAAATGATGGGTTGATGAGTGCAGCAAACCAACATGGCACGTGTATACCTATGTAACAAATCTGCACGTTGTGTACATGTACCCCAGAACTTAAAGTATAATAATACATTTAAAATTTTTTTAATTTTAAAATAAATTTTAAAGAAATTTCTCTGGTTTAGCCTGTCTCAGCTCTCCCTCCGCCAAGCTCCTATAACTTCTAGAGCATGGCCCTGATCTGTGAACTTGTGCCTACATCACAAATTCTTTGCTCCCCTTTCATGTATATGCCTCTTATGACCCCAATTAAATTATAACCAGTGTGAACTGAGGAACCATTTTTAGACTTCTTCTAAGTGTCAGAGCTTTACACAGTCCTAAGGACACAGAACAATCCAGATTTAGAGAAAGCAGGGCAAGTGCTTTAGAAGGAGATGCAGACGTCATAATCCTGCCACTTAGTGGCAGCATGGCCTTGGGCAGTTAATTATTAATTTTCTTCTCTAAAACTGAGGTTCCTCACCTTTAAAAGAAAAAACTTTTATTCTTTGTATGAAATCTAGTAGAAATTACATAAGAAAATGCAGTAGCTTTCATATGCTAGTTTGCCTAAGAATTACTGCCGTGATTGTTAAAAATGAAAAATCATGGCCCCCTAGAAATTCTGACTAGGTCTAGAAAGATTCCCAGAAAGATCTAGAAAGATGCATTTTTATAAGTACCACGCAACCCCGCACATTATGCTCATGGAGGTGTTTCAAAGTATCAGTCTTTGAGAAACACTGAGATGCAAAATAATAACAGCAATTACTATTATTATAAAGCCAAATTATAGATGGCCGAATAGGAACAGCTCCGGTCTACAGCTCCCAGCATGAGCAATGCAGAAGACGGGTGATTTCTGCATTTCCATCTGAGGTACCGGGTTCATCTCACTAGGGAGTGCCAGACAGTGGGTGCAGGACAGTGGGTGAAGCACACCATGTGCGAGCCAAAGCAGGGGGAGGCATTGCCTCACTCGGGAAGCGCAAGGGGTCAGGGAATTCCCTTTCCTAGTCAAAGAAATGGGTGACAGACAGCACCTGGAAAATCAGGTCACTCCCACCCTAATACTGTGCTTTTCCAATAGGCTTAAAAAAACGGCACACCAGGAGATTATATCCCACACATGGCTTGGAGGGTCCTACGCCCACGGAGTCTCCCTGATTGCTAGCACAGCAGTCTGAGATCAAACTGCAAGACTGGGGGAGGGGCGCCTGCCATTGCCCAGGCTTGATTAGGCAAACAAAGCAGCCGGGAAGCTCGAACTGGGTGGAGCTCACCACAGCTCAAGGAGGCCTGCCTGCCTCTGCAGGCTCCACCTCTGGGGGCGGGGCACAGACAAACAAAAAGACAGCAGTGACCTCTGCAGACTTAAATGTCCCTGTCTGACAGCTTTGAAGAGAGTAGTGGTTCTCCCAGCATGCAGCTGGAGATCTGAGAATGGGCAGACTGCCTTCTCAAGCTGGTCCTTGACCCCCAAGCAGCCTAACTGGGAGGCACCCCCCAGTAGGGTCAGACTGACACCTCACACGGCCGGGTACTCCTCTGAGACAAAACTTCCAGAGGAACAATCAGGCAGCAGCATTTGCGGTTCACCAAGATCCGCTGTTCTACAGCCACCGCGGTTCTACAGCCACCGCTGTTCTACAGCCACTGCTGTTCCACAGCCACTGCTGTTCTGCAGCCACCGCTGCTGATACCCAGGCAAACAGGGTCTGGAGTGGACCTCTAGCAAACTCCAACAGACCTGCAGCTGAGGGTCCTGTCTGTTAGAAGGAAAACTAACAAACAGAAAGGACATCCACAACAAAAACCCTTCTGTACGTCACCATCATCAAAGACAAAAAGTAGATAAAGCCACAAAGATGGGGAAAAAACAGAGCAGAAAAACTGGAAACTGTGAAAGGCAGAGCACCTCTCCTCCTCCAAAGGAACGCAGCTCCTCACCAGCAATGGAACAAAGCTGGACGGAGAATGACTTTGATGAGCTGAGAGAAGAAGGCTTCAGACGATCAAACTACTCCGAGCTATAGGAGGAAATTCAAACCAATGGCAAAGAAGTTAAAAACTTTGAAAAAAAAATTAGACGAATGGATAACTAGAATAACCAACACAGATAAGTCCTTAAAGGAGCTGATGGAGCTGAAAACCAAGGCTCAAGAACTACGGGAAGAATGCAGAAGTCTCAGGAGCTGATGCAATCAACTGGAAGAAAGGGTATAAGTGATGGAAGACGAAATGAATGAAATGAAGAGAGAAGGGAAGTTTAGAGAAAAAAGAATAAAAAGAAATGAACAAAGCCTCCAAGAAATATGGGACTATGTGAAAAGACCAAATCTATGTCTCATTGGTGTACCTGAAAGTGACGGGGGGAACCAAGTTGGAAAACACTCTACAGGATATTATCCGGGAGAACTTCCCCAATCTAGCAATGCAGGCAAACATTCAGATTCAGGAAATACAGAGAATGTCACAAAGATACTCCTTGAGAAGAGCAACTCCAAGACACATAATTGTCAGATTCACCAAAGATGAAATGAAGGAAAAAATCTTAAGGGCAGCCAGAGAGAAAGGTCGGGTTACCCACAAAGGGAAGCCCGTCAGACTAACAGCGGATCTCTCGGCAGAAACTCTACAAGCCAGAAGAGAGTGGGGGACAATATTCAACATTCTTAAAGAAAAGAATTTTCAACCCAGAATTTCATATCCAGCCAAACTAAGCTCCATAAGTGAAGGAGAAATAAAATACTTTACAGACAAGCAAATGCTGAGAGATTTTGTCACCACCAGGCCTGCCCTAAAAGAGCTCCTGAAGGAAGCACTAAACATGGAAAGGAACAACCGATACCAGCCGCTGCAAAAACATGCCAAAATGTAAAGACCATCAAGTCTAGGAAGAAAACTGCATCAACTAATGAGCAAAATAACCAGCTAACATCATAATGACAGGACCAAATACACACATAACAATATTAACTTTAAATGTAAATGGGCTAAATGCTCCAATTAAAAGACACAGACTGGCAAATTGGATAGAGTCAAGACCCATCAGTGTGCTGTATTCAGGAAACCCATCTCACATGCAGAGACACACATAGGCTCAAAATAAAAGGATGGCGAAAGATCTACCAAGCAAATGGAAAACAAAAAAAGGCAGGGGTTGCAATCCTAGTCTCGGATAAAACAGACTTTAAACCAACAACGATCAAAAGAGACAAAGAAGGCCATTACATAATGGTAAAGGGATCAATTCAACAAGAAGAGCTAACTATCCTAAATATATATGCACCCAATACAGGAGCACCAAGATTCATAAAGCAAGTCCTTAGTGACCTACAAAGAGACTTAGACTCCCACACAATAATAATGGGAGACTTTAATACCCCACTGTCAAAATTAGACAGATCAATGAAACAGAAAGTTAAAAAGGATACCCAGGAATTGAACTCAGCTCTGCAGCAAGCGGACCTAATAGACATCTACAGAACTCTCCACCCCAAATCAACAGAATATACATTTTTTTCAGCACCACGCCACACCTATTCCAAAATTGACCACATACTTGGAAGTAAAGCTCTCCTCAGCAAATGTAAAGAACAGAAATTATAACAAACTGTCTCTCAGACCACAGTGCAATCAAACTAGAGCTCAGAACTAAGAAACTCACTCAAAACTGCTCAACTACATGGAAACTGAACAACCTGCTCCTGAATGACTACTGGGTACATAACAAAATGAAAGCAGAAATAAAGATGTTCTTTGAAACCAATGAGAACAAAGACACAACATACCAGAATCTCTGGGACACATTCACAGCAGTGTGTAGAGGGAAATTTATAGCACTAAATGCCCACAAGAGAAAGTAGGAAAGATCCAAAATCGACACCCTAACGTCACAATTAAAAGAACTAGAAAAGCAATAGCAAACACATTAAAAAGCTACCAGAAGGCAAGAAATAACTAAAATCAGAGTAGAACTGAAGGAAGTAGAGACACAAAAAACCCTTCAAAAAATTAATGAATCCAGGAGCTGGTTTTCTGAAAGGATCAACAAAATCGATAGCCTGCTAGCAAGACTAATAAAGAAGAAAAGAGAGAAGAATCAAATAGATGCAATAAAAAATGATAAAGGGGATATCACCACTGATCCCACAGAAATGCAAACTACCATGAGAGAATACTACAAACACCTCTACGCAAATAAACTAGAAAATCTAGAAGAAATGGAGAAATTCCTCGACACATACACCCTCCCAAGACTAAACCAGGAAGAAGTTGAATCTCTGAATAGACCAATAACAGGTTCTGAAATAGTGGCAATAATCAATAGCTTACCAACAAAAAAAAGTCCAGGACCAGATGGATTCACAGCCGAATTCTACCAGAGGTACAAGGAGGAATTGGTACCATTCCTTCTGAAACTATTCCAATCAGTAGAGAAAGAGGGAATCCTCCCTAACTCATTTTATGAGGCCAGCATCATCCTGATACCAAAGCCGAGCAGAGACACAACCAAAAAAGAGAATTTTAGATCAATATCCTTGATGAATATTGATGCAAAACTCCTCAATAAAATACTGGCAAACCGAATCCAGCAGCACATCAAAAAGCTTATCCACCATGATCAAGTGGGCTTCATCCCTGGGATGCAAGGCTGGTTCAATATACGCAAATCAATAAATGTAATCCAGCATATAAATAGAACCAAAGACAAAAACCACATGATTATCTCAATAGATGCAGAAAAGGCCTTTGAGAAAATTCAACAATGCTTCATGCTAAAAACTCTCAATAAATTAGGTATTGATGGGACGTATTTCAAAATAATAAGAGCTATCTATGACAAACCCACAGCCGATATCATACCGAATGGGCAACAACTGGAAGCATTCCCTTTGAAAACTGGCACAAGACAGGGATGCCCTCTCTCACCACTCCTATTCAACATAGTGTTGGAAGTTCTGGCCAGGGCAATTAGGCAGGAGAAGGAAATAAAGGGTATTCAATTAGGAAAAGAGGAAGTCAAATTGTCCCTGTTTGCAGATGACATGATTGTATATCTAGAAAACCCCATAGTCTCAGCCCAAAATCTCCTGAAGCTGATAAGCAACTTCAGCAAAATCTCAGGATACAAAATCAATGTACAAAAATCACAAGCATTCTTATACACCAATAACAGACAAACAGAGAGCCAAATCATGAGTGAACTCCCATTCACAATTGCCTCAAAGAGAATAAAATACCTAGGAATCCAACTTACAAGGGATGTGAAGGACCTCTTCAAGGAGAACTACAAACCACTGCTCAAGGAAATCAAAGAGGATACAAACAAATGGAAGAACATTCCATGCTCATGGGTAAGAAGAATCAATATCGTGAAAATGGCCACACTGCCCAAGGTAGTTTATAGATTCAATGCCATCCCCATCAAGCTACCAATGACTTTCTTCACAGAATTGGAAAAAACTACTTTAAAGTTCATATGGAACCAAAGAAGAGCCGCCATCGCCAAGTCAATCCTAAGCCAAAAAAACAAAGCTGGCAGCATCATGCTACCTGACTTCAAACTATACTACAAGGCTACAGTAACCAAAACAGTATGGTACTGGTACCAAAACAGAGATATAGATCAATGGAACAGAACAGAGCCCTCAGAAATAATGCCACATATCTACAACCATCTGATCTTTGACAAACCTGACAAAAACAAGCAATGGGGAAAGGATTCCCTATTTAATAAATGGTGCTGGGAAAACTGGCTGGCCATATGTAGAAAGCTGAAACTGGATCCCTTCCTTAAACGTTATACAAAAATTAATTCAAGATGGATTAAAGACTTGCATGTTAGACCTAAAACCATAAAAACCCTACAAGAAAACCTAGGCAATACCATTCAGGACATAGGTATGGGCAAGGACTTCATGTCTGAAACACCAAAAGCAATGGCAACCAAAGCCAAAATTGACAAATGGGATCTAATTAAACTAAAGAGCTTCTGCACAGCAAAAGAAACTACCATCAGAGTGAACAGGCAACCTACAGAATGGGAGAAAATTTTTGCAACCTACTCATCTGACAAAGGGCCAATATCCAGAATCTACAATGAACTCAAACAGATTTACAAGAAAAAAACAAACAACCCCATCAAAAAGTGGGCAAAGGATATGAACAGACACTTCTCAAAAGACATTTATGCAGCCAAAAACACAAGAAAAAATGCTCACCATCACTGGCCATCAGAGAAATGCAAATCAAAACCACAATGAGATACCATCTCACACCAGTTAGAATGGCGATCATTAAAAAGTCAGGAAACGACAGGTGCTGCAGAGGATGTGGAGAAATAGGAACACTTTTACACTGGTAGTGGGACTGTAAACTAGTTCAACCACTGTGGAAGTCAGTGTGGTGATTCCTCAGGTATCTAGAACTAGAAATACCATTTGACCCAGCCATCCCATTACTGGGTATATACCCAAAGGATTATAAATCATGCTGCTATAAAGACACATGCACACGTATGTTTATTGCAGCACTATTCACAATAGCAAAGACTTGGAACCAACCCAAATGTCCAACAACGATAGACTGGATTAAGAAAATGTGGCACATATACATCATGGAATACTATGCAGCCATAAAAAATGAAGAGTTCATGTCCTTTGTAGGGACATGGATGAAACTGGAAACCATCATTCTCAGCAAACTATTGCAAGGACAAAAAGCCAAACACCGCATGTTCTCACTCATAGGTGGGAATTGAACAATGAGAACACATGGACACAGGAAGGGGAAAATCACACTCCGGGGACTGTTTTGGGGTGGGGGGAGGGGGGAGGGATAGCATTAGGAGATATACCTAATGCTAAATGATGAGTTTATGGTTGCAGCACACCAACATGGCACATGTATTCATATGTAACAAACCTGCACATTGTGCACATGTACCCTAAAACTTAAAGTATAATAATAATAAAAAATAAATAAATAAAGCCAAATTATGTTGAAATTTAAAGTTGCCTAATAGGTCTTCAATGCACTACCCAATTGAAGAACAAATTAAGAGATAAAAAGGCACTAAAATGAATATTGGTCACAATGTCACATTTATTTTTTAATAAAAGCTGATAATGAAAAATGTGGCTTGTATATGTGAGCAAGTGGACTTCCTAACACTGAAGTCTAGGATTAGAAAGACTCATTCATTCTACCCCTGTACGAGTATCTTGCTCCTGTAAAATTCAGAGCATGGAGCCACAGAGCTCTCTTCACAACCACCATGACCACCACCCCTCAGAAAACAGTAAGAGGTAGAGCTAAAGATATGTAATTCCTTATCCCAAGTCTACCAATCAGGGAGGAGAGAAGCTAAGAGTGTTACTCCAGTGAATGTCCCTCTACAGAGAGGAAACATCAGGAATAACAAACTGGTGTTTCTCCCAACACTTAACGTGTGTGCTATGATCTGGAAGATTGTGTCCCTCCAAGTATGTTAAAATCTAACCATCAATGTGATGGTATTAATAGGTGAATACTTTGGAGATCATGTCGGTAGAGGCTTCAGAATGGGATTGGTGCCCTTATAAAAGAGGCCTGAGAGAGGCCACTCACCCTTTCCTTAAATGTTAGTGCCCGATAAATAAGGCAGGAAATACTAGAGTTCACGCCTTCCGCCATGCGAGGACACAGCTAGAAAGTGCCATCTATGAACAAGAAAGCCAGCTATCATCAGGAACCAAATCTGCAGGAACTTTGACTTCAAATTTCTAGCCCCTAGAACTGTGAGTAATAAATTTCTGTTGTTTATAAGCTACCCAATCTATGATATTTTGTTATAGCCAAATGAACTAAGACAGCGTACCAAGATACACTTTACAGTTACTGTATCGTTTAATGCTCATAATAGCCTCTTACGGGTGAAGTGAAGCACAAAAGTATTAATCATTCAGTAGATGATCAATAAATAAAATTCTTCTTTCCATTTGTACCCACTTCATAAGCAAAACCACACTGATCTACTCAACTTCATCCTTACATACCTCTTTTTTATTCAAGTCAAAATGATCACCCCATTGCCATCCACACTGCCATACTCAGGCCCCATCCTATCCCTTTTTTTTTTTTTAGACAAAGTCTCACTCTGTCGGCCAGGCTGGCCAGGCTGGACTGGCACCATCTTGGCTCACTGCAAGCTCTACCTCCCGGGTTCAAGCGATTCTCCTGCCTCGGCCTCCCAAGTAGCAGCGACTACAGGCGCCCACCACCATGCCCGGTATTGTATTTTTAGTAGATACGGGGTTTCACCGTGTTGGCCAGGCTGGTCTCCAACTCCTGACCTCAGGTGATCCGCCCCCCTCGGCCTTCCAAAATGCTGGGATTTACAGGCGTGAGCCGCCACTCCCAGCCATCCTACCACTTAATTATCGATGTTCTTTTTGCCTATGAGGCTAGCAGAGATGCTCACAGTAACAGGGCCACCCCTGTGGAGTCAGGGTTCATCTTTTTCAAGTGGTTTTCAGCATTGGTTCTCTGCCAAATAAATGCCAACCCAGATTAATCTAGTTAGACCCAAAATACAGATCAAAAGCCTGTTGTATGTTAGAAATGAAAATTTTTTTATGGGGCAGCACCCCCACCTCTTGAGGCTCCATCCTGAACCATTCAGTGGAAGACTGTTCTGTCCCTGTGGTTTGTGTGTGGCTCAACCCCTTTGACTCCCAGTAGGTGTGTAATCTTTGCCTAGCCCATCAGAGGATGCCATCTGATAGCCACTATGAGTGGTTAAAGGGATGGACACATGACCCAGGTGGAACCAATCAGAGCCCCGCTAGGCACTTTTGCCTGAGCTACTGAGCAACATCCTCCCTCCTCTTCTCAGGCCTCTGACTTTAGGACCAATTCAGCTCAAGGCCATTGGTTGCCATCTTTTCCTGCCTCACAAAGGAAGCAGAGTGAAGAGACTGAGGGACACAACACTGGGGCAGTGATGAGCACCTGAAACCAGCTAGGCTGAGAGTCTGCCCAAATCCTAGATTTCTTTCTTTATGTGACCCCGGAAGTTTCTTTTCTGCTTTGTTATTTGCTTGGCATTCTTTTAGTTGCAAAAGAAAGAGCCCTGGATGGATATCATACTTCCATGCTTTTCTGCAATTCACATCCATGTCCCAGCACACAGGCCGGACCCAGCTTCCCTATCCTGTCCCTGGCCATGATTCACTCTTGATGCAAGTCAACGCACATTAACATAAGTGCACTAGACACCATCTGTGTTAAGCCTTAGAAATGCAATAAGGATCAAGAAACATGCAGGTCCTACCTTGGAGTTGTCAGAGTCCAGGGCTGTTCGGAAAAATGAAGCAGTTCATAAGGATAGAATGTGCTGGCGGCTGTGATGGTGGAGTACTCAAGCCCCCTTCAGCCCAGGCCCTGAAAAGATTCTGTCCACTTTCATCAGAACTCAGACTCATAGTGCTCTGAGGCCCATTCCCACATCTGTCCTGCTCTTTGTATCTGTCTTCCTCTCTGTTTTATCAGTCCTAAGTTTGCACAGCCTCCTGCAGACACTTCCTGTCTATTTTCTGTGATCAAGGAGCACATGAAGCAGGAGCAAAAGTCTCAAAAATTCCTTAATTTTCTTTGTTTAATAAAAGATGAAGAAACTGCCCCTTATCTGGGCCTGGGAAAGTGAAATCACCACCAACCCAAAAGGCCTTCCAGAGCCTCATCAACAAAGCCCAGGTCACGGCTCCCCTCTGCAGGGACTGCTCCAAGTACTCAGCTCTCCTTGGCTTTCCCAACCTTCAGATGGGGACAGGGGCCTAGGAAAGTCCTTCCCTTTATCCTGCAATAAAGAGGCAAGATATGCAAACATAGTTAACAAAGGGACCCCTGAGTTACCCTAACTTGCTGGACATTTGGATTTCCCACTTACTAGCTGGTAACTTAGAACAAGTTACTAATTTCTCCAAGCCTCAGTTTACTTATTTGCAAAACAAGAGCAATAATGGATTCTCCTTTGCAGGACTGGATGTGAGGCATACAGATGTAAAGTCAGGAAAGCCCGTAAAATAGTCCTTTGTATGCAGCAAGGCCTGGAACTTGCTAGTCATTATCACAAGAGGCTCATACCACATTCTTCCTACAGAAGAGAGGAGGGGAGGGAGACAGGATAGGCTTTCGAAGTGGTTCATGGGTGCGCGACAGAAATCAAAACACTTTTTGAAGCTAGAGCTGCGTCTCTGGCAGAAAGGGAACCACTGAGCAAGAAGCCATGCACACTTCAGTGACTCAAATCCCCACTGCAGCTTTGCTTTTTAGGTTTAAGAAAAAACGTCAACCAAACAAAACTTTTTTTTCATTGTATTTATTTTATTCCTGGGTCTCTGTTCCATGCCTCACTCACCCCCAAATCCCTCTCCCACAAGATCTGCTGTAATCAACACTCCCTCAAGAAGTTCCCTGACTGAAGCTATTCTTAGCTTCCTGATTGTAACACAGAGGTACAGATTCGGAAAGTTAGCCTGGACCACGGGGGTCACCCATGAGACCACCCCCGCAAAAGGAATCTCCATGACAGTTCCCACACTCTGGGGGGCTACTATTCCATTTGCAAAGACACTCCTTCCCAGAAAATCCTCCTACCTAGCTAGAAGGCTGATGGCGCCATGCTTCCCGTTCTCTTCAATCCTGGCTTCATTCTCATGGGAACTTTCAATCGTCCAACCATCCCTGCTGCATGATGACTCTGGGCCTCCCTGAGCTGAGCTGGCATCCCTTCCCAGGTTGCATTTCTCAACTTTTGCACAACCTCCACCTTACAAACTCTCCAACACTCTCATAGGGTGTCACAGAGCAACAATAACACCTGCTAACACTTGTCGGGAATTTACTGGGTCCTGAGCACTGTGCTAACATGCATTGCCTATTTTAATCCTTAGAAGGACTTAAGAGACAAGGACCGTGACTAGATTCACCTGTTAGATGGGAATACCAAGGTTTGCAAGGCTAAGAGCATGCTGATAAGTGGCACACAACTAATAAATGGGGAATGGAGTTTGAATTAGCTCTGTCTGACATCAGAGCCAGAGCTTTAAAGTCAGGCAAATACATAGATTCAGAGAGATGCTGACTCAAACAAGAATGTGGAGGCAAGGTGGAGCCCATGAGAAATGTTTATGGGAAGAAATTGACAGGAACGAGTAACTGGTCAGGCTCTGCCTGTGAGGAAAAGGGAGAAGTCACAGACAACTCCTAAACCTGTGACCAGAGCTGCTGGGTGAAAACCGGATGTCCTTTACTGAGGTGAGCATCGTGTTGGGTAGAAAGGAAGATGCGATCTGTCTGAGGCATGTGCGAGGCCAGGAGCAAAGACAATGGATTCCTGTTGCTGACACCACCACAACTCTCTGAGCTTCCTTGAGCCCCTCAGCCTTTCTAAGCCTGTTTCCTTGAGGTTAAAATTATGATAACACTCTCAATGCTTACCTCACAAGGCTGCTAGAAGGACCTAATGGTACCACATGAAATTCATTTATAAACTTCATGGTCTAGCAGGACAGGTAGATAAATAAACAGATAATCACAATACCATGTATAGGTGCTATGGTAAAATATTCACACAGTTATAT
Source organism: Homo sapiens (assembly GCF_000001405.40). Classification (NCBI taxonomy): domain Eukaryota; kingdom Metazoa; phylum Chordata; class Mammalia; order Primates; family Hominidae; genus Homo; species Homo sapiens. The sequence goes on along the minus strand of NC_000008.11, from coordinate 135,842,688 downwards.
CACTGTGAATATCGTACCATTTCTGACATCGTACTGTCGACCTGTTATGTGTTAGGCAGGCTCTGGTGATAGTGGGCAAAATAGACATGACCCCTGCTCTCAGAGAGATTCCTGTCTCATTGGAGAGACAGGCATTAACCAAATAATTGTAAAAACATGCAGCAAAATTGTGACTGTGACCAGTGCCAGGAGAGAGGACACTATCATGGGCCAGAGAAGTGGGCGACAGGGAGTGCTTTTTGGGAAATGATGCTCATGGGGATGGCTGGCATGTGACTGAGCATTAACCAGGCCAAAGAGAACTCAAAAAGGTACTTGCTAGCCTGCAATGTTCATGACAGACGTCCTAGAAGAGTTACCTTAGCTAGATTGTGGGAAGCAGCAATCAGTTAACAGATATTGTCAAGCACCCATGATGCATCAAGCTCTGGTCCCCAGAAAAGTTGGACATCTGAGGCTACAGCAATTGGAAAAGAGCAAATAGGGAGGGGACTGAGTGGCAGGTTCAAGAAGTATAATCCATTAGGGAGGCTGGAGCATTGGAAGCGTGGGGTGAAATCATCAGGAGCATTGCCTGGACCAGGCCATAGAGAGCCTGGACATCAAGCTCATGTCCTAAGGGAGCTCACTTAGTCTCTGGAAATATAGAAAGCCTATGGTCCCACCACACTGGGCGGCAGAGCTGGAATTCAAAACCCAGTGGCCCAGCTCCCAATCCAGGGCTTACATCCCAGCATGAGATGCTTTTCTTAGACATTTATTTGCAGTCTGGCAAATAACAACAACAACCATAACAACAATTAATGCTTATTGCATACTTACTATGTGCCAGGTGCTATTGTAAGCACTTTATATGTTTTTAATTCTTTTAACAACTCTATAAAATAGATATTGTCATCATCCCCTATTTCACAGATGAGTCTATCGATGCATAGAAAGGTTAAATCATTCAGCGAAGGCGACACAGCTAGGAAGAGAAAGTGCTGGAATGTAAACCAGCAGCCTGGCTCCAGAATTCATGATCTCATGGCCTATGGTGTGTAGGCATGCCGCACTGATGGCCCATCTCTGCACTGACGCACAAGTCTCAGGGCAGCCGCAGGCGGGTGTAGGCCTCCTGCCCCACTGATGTTGAGTTTGACCTTGTATCTTGCTTCACTGAATAGAATGTGGCAAAAGTGACTATGTGTGAGTCCCAGGCCTGGGCCTCAAAAGGCATTGCATGTTTCTGACCGACCTGTAGGGACCAACCTCACCAGAAGAAGAACACATGCTCACTAGCCATCTTGTCCTAGAAGAAGAGACACATAGAGTGGAGCTGCCCGGTCAACTCACAGACTCATGAAGGAGAAATGAATGCTGACCTTTATGCCATGAAAAGTGTGGTTGTTTGTAAACAGCAATGGTTGATTAATAAAGAAAATGAAATACACTGATATAGAAAGTTACCTGCCCATGACAGGCTATAAAGTGGAAAAGTCACAAGTCTGGATGCGTGGCTCACACCTATAATCCCAGCACTTTGGGAGGCAGAGGTGGGTGGATAGCTTGAGCTCAGGGGTTCAAGACCGGCCTGGGCAACATGGCAAAACCCTGTCTCTACCAAAAGTACAAAAAATTAGCCCAGTGTGGTGATGCACACCTGTTGTCCCAGCTACTTGGGAAGCTGAGGTGGGAGAATCACTTGAGCCTGGGAGGTGGAGGTTGCAGTGGGCCATGATCATGCCACTGCACTCCAACTTGGGTGACAAAATAAGATCCCACTTCAAAAAAAAAAAAAGTTGTAGACATAAATCATGGTGATGGATGGATGGATGGACGGATGGATGGATGAATGGGTAGATTAGATAGATGATAGATAGATAGATAGATAGATAGATAGATAGATAGATGATAGATCTAATGACCTCATTAAGGTGTGTGAGTGTGCTTGTGTTATGTGTACTTTTATTGTGTGCATATGAATAGGTCTGAAATTACTCACATAAACTGTTACCAATGGCTATCCCTAGGCATTATCATTCCTAGACTGTATCTAACTCATTGTGTGACCTTGGCCCAAGACCTTTTTGGTTTCTGTGGACTTTGGTATCCCAATCCACTGAGAGAAGGGGTAGTCACCTTCTAGTTCTGACATACTATGATTCTGTGAATAGTAACACCCATCTTGCCAGAATTCTGTAATGATTACTTAATACAATAAGAAAGATTTGTTATGCATTAATTGAAAATCACTTGGAGAGCCTAGAAAATAAATTCTAAACAAGAGTCATTCTCAGGTCTTATCCTCCAATTCACTGTTCAATATGAGCATAAACGACCTGGGCCCTTGGCCAATCACATCATAAGGCAAAATGTCATGACTGTGGCCCAGCTGTTAGCTTTCCCCAGCAACACGGGTCTCTCTTCTCCTGAGATGCAGAGGGCCCACCAGCATTAACTCTCAGAATTTATGAAGCATTGAGGAAGCTGTCTCTCTCCTCTGTAGATGGAGAAAAACCACAGGAAAAGAATCCTTTCACACTCCCTACCATATTACTGAGACTGAATATATTAAAATATTAACATCACCAAGAAGAAAAAGGACCTTGCTTTTCACAGAAGCTAATAAATTCCTTCAGAATTTAGCAGACAAGTATCCCCACCCAGGACCCCTACCCTGAAGAACAATTCATTGCACTTACTCAAGTCACATGTAATGAGCCACAGTGTATCATTCCCTGTGCTTAGGGACTGTAAGACAAAGGGAGGAATGAGACAGAGGAAGAAAGGAAAGGAGAAAGGAAAGAAGAAAAGAATTGAAGAAGAAAAGAAGGAAGGGAGGAAATAATAACAATATATATAGTTCAATAAATGTTAGCTTAACATATTTAAACCTATGGAGCTCAGAAAGTGGATCTTATTTCTGAATTATAGATGGTAAAATATCCAATGAAGATAGTCATGTCAGTGGCCTAAGGACACTTATATAAACATCAAGACTTAGACTCTAATTCATGCCTATCTAATTATTTACTTTTATTAAGTTCCTTTCAATCATTTTCTCACACGCAGTTGGGGGGACTGAAATTTTGCAGGTTACATGGTAAAAAATACATTAAGATTGAAAATGGGCATACTCTTCAGCCCGAACATTCCTTTTCAGTGTGTGTCCAAGTGAAATACTTTCACATATGCACAGAGGCCGACACAAGGTATTCTTGCGGCACTGTTAGTAATAGCTGAAAACAGTCTGTGTCATTCTCACATCAACGCTCTCTGTGCTGCCGCCAGAGACTACGGAGAGATACAAGCTAATGTCCATGACAGCAGGTGATGCCTCTTACACTGATATGACATCATCATCTGCAGCAGAGGCCCGTTAGCACATCACCCCTGCTTCCATGCACTCTCTCTCCCCAACTCAGCACACTTGGCGTGGTAGAACTGCCGAATCCTGACCACTACTTGGGTCTGAAACATCCATTCTAGGAGCTAGGTGCACACAGGAGGCATTAATTCTGTTCTACTGCTCTGACAATCAGGCTCTGGCCTCCGGGGTGAGTAAAAATGCTTCCCCAGAGTCCAGGCATGTTTGCCTAGTTCTGGGGACCATCATTAGGAGGGCTTTTGCCTGTAGACACAGATATAAGCCAAGTCCTCCAATATCAAAATTACATGTAATAAAGACATCTTGGCCCCAACTGCCTTACTCCTTAGAGGATCCTCTCTTGGGTCAGAACCCAGGTTGTCTAGAGTGGGTGACTCACTAGGCCCATGGACATCTCCAACATCTACCTCCAGGTGACAGATGAGAGCACATTGGCTGAGGCACAGCTAGGAAGGGATGGAAGTAAAGGAAATGAAAAGATTGATTTCAATGAATGCATAGAGAGCAAAACCCACCAGAAAGGTGATATTTGTGCTAAGGAGCTAAGGACTTTCCTGGCTAAGACAAGAAAGAAGAAAATCTAGAGTCTTCTTGAGAATAGTACTGGAGGTGAGGTGGAATGTTCACAGAATAGATACCGGTAAGAGTGGATAGAACACAGATTTGAAGGGGAAGAGGCGTGGAGAGGAGTGGGTAGTGTGGTTTTAATGACAAGGAGCCATCACTGCTGGAAGGAGGAGAACGCTATTGGCTGTTAGAATGAAACAATGGGGAATGATGAAAGGAGTTTAGGATGAAAATAACATGGTAAGGAACAGGCTTTCTTAATAAAGGAGAATGTGGTAGAGGATGAAAGGTGGAGGGAGAGCAGAGACACTAGAGGCGAGGAAGGAGAATCAAGACAGTCCACGTAAGAGTAATTGCAAATTGAATCAGAGGCAACGCAGAGAGAGCGGACAAACACAGATGGATTCAAAAGCCACTGTAACCAAGTAGGCGGTGATTGCATTTCTGACTCTGCCACTAGCCAGCTCTGGGCCTCTCAAAAAAGGGTTTCAAGTCCCTGCTCAGAAACAATGCTGGATTCACTCACAAGGTGGTTGTCACGTAACATAAAGTTCCCTATTTTCCATTTTAAAGTGTATAATCTGATGGCTTTTAGAGTAGTCATAATTTTGTGCAACCATGGGCACCAATTCCAGAACATTTGCATCACTTCAAATGCAATCTTATTAACAGTCACTTCCCATCCCTTTGCCCTGGCCCTGCCAGCCCTTGCCAACCACAAATCTACTTTCTGTCTCTCTGGATTTGCCTGCCTTTTTTGAGTTTACACATTCTAGTGGCAGAGAGAGGAAATAAATGAGGAAGCAAATAAATAAACAAGACACTTGCAGATGGTGACAAGTTCTATGAATGAAAACAGGGCAATGATAGAGCCCAGCAACTAACTGGGGAAAGAGAGGCGAGACCTTAGGAAGGGTGAGCAGGGACATGATCCTTAGAAAGAAGCCAATGCTGGCTGTGATGTGAGAGTGAGCAGGAGCCCCCAGTGCAAAAGGCTAGGAAAAAAGCACTCCAAACAGAAGGAACAGCAAGTGCAAAGGCCCCAAGGGAGGTGCAGCATGCACAGTCAGATGAGGCCCAGTGGGGTTAAAAGAAGTGACGTCAGAGGGGTGAGCAGAGGGCAGAACAAAGGATATTTTTTTAGAGGGGGAGAAAAATCATTTTCTGCCTGGCCGCCTCCTCCACACTCTGCTGTATCAGGTTACCAATCCACAAAACTGCATTCAGCTGGAGAGGTGGGCTGAAAATGCATCTTCAGGCAGCTACACACAAAGAAATCATCAGAAGTTTTGAAAGAAAATACGGAGAAAAATAACATCTCACAAAAATATTATTTCTCTTGGTTCTTTTCTGTGCTTCCAGAAGCAGACAAATTTACTTCTAAATGTTCCTGCTGAGTCTGCCTTTCTTACCTGCCTTAGGAAGGCTGCATCTGCGCCAGCTGGGATGCAGGCTGCCTTCAGTCATGCTGGAGTTTCTCCGTGTAGACAGCGCAAGGGCAGGCGGAAGCTTGATTTCCCCGCAGATCCCAGCAGCAGCCCATCACCTTGATTGCTCCTAATCAGGGCGAACTGAGAAAAGCAAAGCAGGAACATCTGCTCTCTTTCTGCCACTTAAAACCGGCAAAACCACTTTAAGTTTCATATGGAACCAAAAAAGAGCCTGTACAGCCAAGACAATCCTAAGCAAAAAGAATAAAGCTGGAGGCATCACGCTACCTGACTTCAAACTATACTACAAGGCTACAGTAACAAAAACAGCATGGTACTGCTACCAAAACAGATATATACACAAATGGAAAGAACAGTGGCCTCAGAAATAATGCCACACATCTACTACCATCTGATCTTCAACAAACCTGACAAAAACAAGCAATGAGGAAAGGATTCCCTATTTAATAAATGATGTTGCGAAAACTGGCTAGCCATATGCAGACAGCTGAAACTGGACCCCTTCCTTACACCTTATACAAAAATTAACTCAAGATGGATTAAAGACTTAAACGTAAGGCCTAAAACCATAAAAACTCTAGAAGAAAACCTAGGCAATACCATTCAGGACATAGGCATGGGCAAAGATTTCATGACTAAAACACAAAAAGCAATGGCAACAAAAGCCAAAATTGACAAATGGGATCTAATTATACTGAAGAGCTTCTGCACAGCAAAAGAAACTATCATGGGAGTGAAAAGGCAACCTACAGAATTGGAGAAAATTTTTGCAATCTATCCATCTGACAAAGGGCTAGTAGCCAGAGTCTTCAAGGAACTTAACACATTTACAAGAAAAACAAACAAACAACCCCATCAAAAAGTTGGTGAAGGATATGAACAGACACTTCTCAAAAGAAGACATTTATGTGGCCAACATACATATGAAAAAAAGCTCATCATCAATGGTCATTAGAGAAATGCAAATCAAAACCACAAGGAGATATCATCTCATGCCAGTTAGAATGGCGATCATTAAAAAGGAAACAGCAGATGTTAGAGAGGATGTGGAGAAATAGGAATGCTTTTACACCATTGGAGGGAGTGTAAATTAGTTCGACCATTGTGGAAGACAGTATGGCAATTCCTCAAGGATCTAGAACCAGAAATACCATTTGACCCAGCAATCCCATTACTGGGTATATACCCAAAGGATTGTAAATCATTCTACTACAAAGACACATGCACACGTGTGTTTATTGCAGCACTATTCACAATTGCAAAGACTTGAAACCAACCTAAATACCCATCAGTCATAGACTGGATAAAGAAAATGTGGCACATACACACTATGGAATACTATGCAGCCAAAAAAAGTATGAGTTCATATCCTTTGCAGGGACATGGATGAAGCTGGAAACCATCATTCTCAGCAAACTAACACAGGAACAGAAAACCAAACACTGCATGTTCTCACTCATAAGTGGGAGTTGAACAATGAGAACACATGGACACAGGGAGGGGAACATCATACACCGGGGCCTGTTGAGGGATGGAGGGCTAGGGGAGAGATAGCATTAGGAGAAATGCCTAATGTAGATGACAGGCTTATGGGTGCGGCAAACCACCATGGCACATGTGTACCTATATAGCAAACCTGCATGTTGTGTACATGTATCCCAGAACTTAAAGTATAATTAAAAAAAAAAAGAAAAACTGGCAAAACACTGCCATCAATATGGTCACTCAACACCAATGCAAAGGTGTGTTTTAAGAATCCAATACATTGTCACTAACTGTAGTTGCCATGCTGACCCATAGATCTTCCTCCTGTACTGCAGTAATTTTGCACTCTTTGACTAACATCTCTTCAACTGCTCCAGCCTCTGGTAACTTCCATTCTACCCTCTCCTTCTATGAGAGTAAGTGTTAAATGTTCTCACCACAAACAATGGCTATGTGAGCTAATGCATATGTTATTTAGGTAGATTCAGCCATTAAATATATATATATACATATATATATGTATATATATATATATACATATATATATGTATATATATATATACATATATATGTATATATATATATACATATATATGTATATATATATATACATATATATGTATATACATATATATATATACGCGCACACACACACACACACACACACATATATATATTCAGCCATTAAAGCATATACGCATATATATATATATATGCTTTAAAGTATCAAGTTGCATGTGATAACTCCATACAATTTTATCTGTCTGCACTTTGAGAGGTCAAGGCAGGCAGATCACTTGAAGTCAGGAGCTCGAGACCAGCCTGGCCAATATGGCAAACCCCCATCTCTACTAAAAATACAAAAATTAGTTGGGCATTGGGTGGACACCTGTAACCTCAGCTACCTGGGAGGCTGAAGCAGGAGAATGGCTTGAGCCCAGGAGTCAGAGGTTGCAGTGAGCATGAGATCACACCACTGCACTCCAGCCTGGGCAAAAGTGAGACTCCGTCTTACCAAAAAAAAAAAAAAAAAAAAAAATGCCAAAGTAAATTCCAAATACAGAATGCTCCAGTAGCAAAATTACGAATGCCAACGTTGATCCATCCTCTCTTAAGAAGGAAACCACACGCTGGCTTAAGTCAGAATGAGATGTCTACATGTCTTAGTCACAAACGTCCATAAAGAACGGGGCTGACTAGTCCTGCATTCTGCCCTTGTGGCATAGTTAGAAGCCTGAATTCAAGACGTGGCTTTGCCGCTTGTCATGTATTACACCTTTGACAAATACTTTTGTTCAATAAATAAATGTTAATTAGAAACTACTTTTCACTATCATCTCTCTCTTGAGTTGATGCAAAAGCATCCTAGAGGGCTCTGTATGTGCATTCTGACCCCCTCCATCTGTTCCTCATGCTGCCGTCAGAGCCGTAAAATACTCTCCTGCCTCCTCTCTCTGCAAATCCTACTTTGGTGGTCAGATCAAGCCTCAGAATTACTTTGATTTTGTTCAGCAAGTCACACTTCATTTCGCCTCTGTGCCTTTGCATGGTGTTGCTTCTACCTGTGGCATCCCTATCTCCTCAGTGCTACCCTGTGTGTTTCACTGAGCCAGCTCCTCTCCCTCCATCAGGTCTCTGCTTTGGGAAACATTCCCTGACTATTCATCTGAATCAGACATTTCTTCAAAGTCCCACGACACCTCTTACCACACAATTCCCAGGATGTTGTAGCTTTTATGTTTTATCTCCCAACACACGGAATTCTATGAAAGCAGGACCCCTTGTTCACCATGGATCCTAAGTGCCTACGAAGTTATCTGGCAACGAGTAAGTGCCATAACATTACTTTTTGAATGGATAGATGAATGGATAGATTGAATGAATGGAGAGGATGGATGGATGGATGGATGGATTGACAGATGGACGGACAGATGAATGGCAATGTCAGTGATAGTCTCTGAGTATAAAAAGGTGAAAGAGAAGAAAGCCTGTGTCTTCCAGGAGCTTACAAAGAAGAAGCAACAAGAAGCAGCCACAAAGAGGCAATGTCACCTGAGTAGGAACACGTGTGAGAAGGGGAAGATTAGCCAGCCTCTGCAAGAGGCTCATGACAGCTTCTAGCGGGAGCCACAACCTCAGCTGAGTCTTGAAGAATGAGTAGAAAGGAGCAAGGTAAGGAAGGAGGAAGGGAAAAGGCAGCCGGGGCAATGTCAGGAATCAAAGGCCAGGGAGCCCCAGAATCCAGACATTTGTGCGAAGCTAATTCTGTACAAATAGAGCATCATATATGTGGGGTGTGTCAGGTGATGAGGCTAAAGTGCAGAATCAGAAGAGGTCAGGGCTGGAGATTCCAATCAGATGGCCATCTGCTTACAATGGAGGCTAAATTCAGGAGAGGAGATAAGAGCATCAACCCAGGGCACATGCAGAAAGGAAGGAGTCTGTGGAACACAGATGTTTAAGGGATAAGGGACAGAATGGAGACAGGAGGAGGGACAGATAATGGAAAAAGAGAAGGGCCAATCAGAGGAAAGGAGGAGAACAGGGGAGGGTGCTGATGTGGAAGACAAGGGAAAGGGCAGTTGCAGAGTAAAGTGGATGTGGCTAACCTCATCACTGCAGCAAAGATGGTATGACCTAACCAAAGCGGTGTCAGTGAAGTGCAGAGGTCACAGAGAGTGGGAAGTCAGACAGTCAGACTGTAGTACATTGATAAGGACAGGAGAGGTGAGAAAACAGAACCAGCAAGAACTCCCCACTCACTCAAGAACCTCCATGCAGAAGGACAATAGGAGAGAGAAAAACTAAAAGCAGAACGTAGAAAATGTAGGAGCAAGAGAGAATTTCATTTTGGAATTGGGAATGCTTAGCCATCTTTGCAAGCTAAAAGGAAATTGTCAGGAGGGAGCAAAAGATCAAAGAGACCAGGGAGGAAGGGACAGGGGGTGAGGATGTACAGAAGTGGCCAGGGTCTCACACACACAGGTGAGGGGCTGGCCTTGTCAAGCGGAAATTGATAGCCTCAGAAGGGGAAGACACACAGGTTGTGGAGGTAAGTAAGTGTCTAGATAGGGAATAAGAATGGAGATAATTAACTTCTCTAAGCTACGGTGTTCTTGTCTGCTGAAGGTGGAGCATGTATTTCCAGTGTGAAATGGGCTCGTATGTGAGAGCACCATATACTTCTTGAAACTGTCCTTCACTGTGACCGTGTGGAATGCGAGTCTGTGAAGTTGAAACATGCCTGCAGAAATTCTAACGTTTTAAATTAATTCAAGGAAATGAAGAGGTTTTCATGAAGATGAGCCATCTTAATCTCTATTTTTCAGTCAAAAAATACATTAGATGAATCAAAATAAGTGTTAACGGGGCTTCCCTCGTCTCAAAATTTAAGCTCTGGCAGCACTGGACTGCTTACAGGAAGTCCAACCTAATGAAATGGGCACTTTTGCAAATCAAAACATGTTGATAGCAGCAATTTCATACAGTTCCATCTAAGAAGCCCCCTGACAGCCCAGGCCTTTACTCACCCAAAACCTTCATTCAGGCTCTGCTCTCCATTTTAAAAGTCACCTTCCCTTCCACACCCCTATCCCTCCCTAAAGTGCCAGCTAGCTCCTAACCTATTCTTTAAGGCACAATCTAGCCATCACTTCCTCCAAGATTTCCTTGAGCCGTGTATTAGTTATCTATGCTACATAACAATATTACCGCAAACTCAGCAGTCTGAACCAATATATATTCATTATCTCACAGTTTCTATGGGTCAGGAGTCAGGGCATGGCTTAGCTTGGTTTTCTGCAAAGCTGCAATCAAGGTATACTGGTCTTGGCTGAGTTTTCATTCAAAGGCTACCCAGAAAAGGATAGGCTTTCAGGCTTATGTGGTTGTTGGAAGAATCCATTCCCTTGCAGACTGTTGAAACTGGACCTCACTTTCTTGCTGGCTGTTGGTTGGAGGCCATACTCAATTCCTTACCACCTGGGCCTCTCCATGGAACAGTCCACAACAAGGCCACTCACTTCATCAAAGGTAGCAAGGAAGAGTCAGCTGGCAAAATGGACATTACACTCTTAGGCAACACAAATATGGAATATCTTTGCTGTTTTCTATGGTTAAAAGGAAGCCACAGATTCTCCTGGAGAGGTGATTACACAAGGACATCAGCACAGAAGGTGGGGAAAATCAGGAGCCATCATAGAGTTTATCTACCACAGCCAACAAGGCTGAACTATGGATCTTCCTCTGTGTTCCCATGGCCCTCAGGCATAACCCTAACCTTTTTTTTTTATTACACAATCACAGTAGTTTTCTGCTTACATATTTTTCTCACCCGTTAATTTGTGAGCTTTCTTCTGGGAGACATCGTGTCTCTCTCATTACATTGCCTTAACCAGTACAATGCCTGGCACATAGCAGACACTCAATATGCACTTGGCAAATTCAACAATTAATGGCATTGCTGGCAAATTGACAAATCACTGGACAACCTAGGCCAAAAAGTATATTATAGGATGCATCAATTTTCAGTAAGGACTGGATAGGATAAATCCAATTATTACGTCCCACAGTTGAATTACAAAATTAACATTGGGTGAATGAAATAATTAAAGGACATTTTAGTGCACTAATGAGCAGAGATATCAAATGAGGTTGTATGATACTGCATCAAAGACTGGGTTCTGGTCTGTGTTTCAGGTGTGCATTCTCATTTCAGAATTAAACCACCCAGCAAGAAGCTACTTTACATATAGGAGTTTTGAAGCTGGTACTTCTAATCTTGATTATTAAAAGAGAGAAAGACCAAAAACACGAATAAGAGAGGATAGGAAGAGAGAGATAACAAAAACATGAATAAGAGAGGGTAGAAAGAGAGAGAGAACAAGAAAGGACAAGAATGAGAGCAAGAACAAATGAGAGAGATATCAAAATATTATAAGATACTTAGTGCACAAAAATGTAAAATACTCCAAAGAAATAGATACAGCTTATAGAAGAAAGGAAGTGAAAGAGGGTCAAATTCAGCTTCCAAAGAAAAGTGACTAAATCAAGAAGGTTAACTCACATCCCTGCCTGGGAACCAGGGAGTCCTGGCCTATAGTAACAAAAATTTCTCTTTCATGCAATGTCTACTCTATTGCAGGCACAGGGCTAGGAGCTATGGATATGGTAGTGATAGATAAACAAGATCACTATACTTATAAGGCATATACATCAGCACTGCAGAAGACTAACCAAAGTAATAAATAAATCACCACAATGGTTTGAAACTGGATTCTCTATCCAGGAATAAATATGGCAATAATGATAAAAGCCATTCTCTCTATTCACTAATTTTACTCTCTCAGCTAGTTATTCAGACTTTGTGGCCATGTTATTTTCAACTATAAAGTATGGCTGCCAATCCCTATCTGCCAACTCAGCATGAGGGTTAAATGAGTTAATAAAAATAGAACAAGTGGCACAGCAAGTGGCATTGAGAAGACTGTCAAAGCTTTTGCTATGCTTTCCCAATTTAATTGTCCAATGACATTTTCAATTTAAGTGCCCAGCATTGTGCTGGACTATTAGTAATTGGCCAGTGTACATGAGTTGAGCTCTGAGGCTGGGTATCTCGATAGGGGATGCAGGCAGCGTTGCTGCTTCATGCAGATGCCTGTTCCCATAAAGAAAACCATTCTCTTTTTATTTTACAAGCCCAGGGGGTTATTAAATTAAATAATTCCCTTGCTAATAGCCAACCAGAGTATCACCACCCCCAAGCCATTCATGCTAAAATTACTAACAACCTTATCGATTCTGAAACCCAAATGGATACAGAGATAAATCAACAAAGCAATATGTCTACATGGTATTGTGGTCCAAAAGAGGAAAAAAAAGTACTGTCAGGGGACCTGGTTTCTAGAAATAATGTGCCATTGACTCATTGTGTGATCTTGAGAAAAAAAATAATTTCCCTCTTTGGGTCAAAGTTTGCTCCTCCTTAAATGAAGTAAATTAGAATACATGCTTGGATAGTTTCCTCATTTTAATGAATGGTTTATAGAATTATTTTTTCTCTCTGGAAAGAGAAAGTGAGCTGGTGAGGTGAAAATCACTAATGCCGTTTACCACATAATTTGGATGCTTTTCTTGCAGATACGTGGTGGGATGACTATTTCCTCCCCCGATGAAGTTAGATATGTCCATGTGACTTGTTTTGCCCATGTATTGTGAGCAGAAGTGACAAGTACACTTCCAGACATAAGGTTTAAGGACCCATGCATGAATCACCTCCCTCCCTTTTTCCCTCTGACATGAAAATTAGCATCTCAAAAATATTTGAGATGGTGGCTGCTCCATCGGCCTGGTCCCTGAATGGCTACCGCGAGCAGAGTTCTCCTTGCTGACCCATATAAATGTGCCGAGATTGTGAGGTTGTTGTTACTGCAGCACAACTGGCCTATCTTGACTGATGCAGTGAGCTACAATGAGAGAGAGGAGGATCATCCATTTCCAAAGCAAATAATTCTGGTCGAACAAGGGATCAAAGAAATCAAGAGCTGAAATTGTCTTGAATTAAACGCAGGGCTCGGATCTCAGAACAGGTCACCAGATTGTGAAAAGGGTCTTTGGAATACCTCTAGAACTTATACATGCAGACTCTAATTCTCCAGAAACTTCCAGGCCTAGAATACTCTGTGATACGGTGATGTTGTGGTTCAATCTGGGAAGGCATGGTTTATCCGTGTATAAGTCTGTTTACACACTGCTGATAAAGACATACCCAAGAAGGGACAATTTACAAAAGAGAGAGGTTTAATAGGACTCACAGTTCCACACGGCAGGGTAAGCCTCACAATCATGGCAGAAGGCAAGGAGAAGCAAGTCACATCTTATACGGATGGCAGCAGGCAAAGAGAGAGCATGTGAAGAGAAACTCCAGTTTTTAAAACCATCAGATCTCATGAGATCCATTCACTATTAGGAGAACGGCAAGGGAAAGACCCACCCCCATGATTCAATAATCTCACTCTGTTCCCTCCCACAAGATGTGAGAATTATGGGAGCTACAAGATGAGATTTGGATGGGGACACAGAGCCAAACCATATCAATCCACAAGAGGGAGCACTGGAGTATCTGAATCGTGTATATCTCTAATAGGTTGGACAGCTCGTGTGTGTTCCTGGGCATCTGTGCAAAGGAATAGATAAAGATGACCTATGGCATCTTTAAGTGCTCAGTGCCTAGCAGCAGAACAAGATCATCTGTAGAGGACGGCTGTGATACTTTTCAAATTCTGACAGTCGAAATTTGAGATTCAATTATGCCTAGGAAAGATAACTCAATGAAAGCCACATTACTGGAGATCTGTCTAATAGCAAACAATAACAGGCGAGGGGTGACATTGTACAAAAGGTAAGAGTGATTGTGAGCAAGGTATTTATCTTTCCTTGAATTAGACCAGTGCCATGAGCCTGGAGGGAATGAGCTTAATAAATGGTGGCGGGTGGAATGTAGGTTAGCTCCAGAAGGAGAACATTTCAGTGAGGGTTATGAAACACCAGAGTAAGTGACTTATGAGGCTGTGTCATTTATTCCCCCTGAAAGATCACTGGGAAGGAGATGGAAAGTCTTTGTCAACGTCAGATGTTGAGGAACAAGTCCAAGCCTAGTCAGGTGGGAGCAGAGGTTGAGGGGTCTCAAAGGGGGAAGTGAGGGGCAAAATTGCACTCCCCTTTCTACCCAGGTTTTCAAGAAAAAGAAATCAGATTAATAGCAAAGAAGATGGAGGTCAAAATATCACCTTTTTAAAACATAAGTCTAAGCTGATGGACATATCTAAAAGTAAAGGCCAAATAGACCTGTTAAATGAGCTGCAGAATGAGACCTACTTGTCCTCTGGTCCCAGACAAGGGTGGCCAGGGACAGCCTTTGTGCTGCATGCAGAGACAGAGCACTGGAAGAGTCCTCGGCCTCATGCTGTCTGCATGCAAATCACTGTCTATAGGGAAGGTAAAGTCTGAGCTCAACACGCCCAATTTAATCTTATCTGTCCTCCAATCAGAGAGGTCACTATTGTACCTGGGACATAGTAAGCAAAGAATCAAAGAGCATCACATCCAGTGGGCTCCCAACATGGAAGAGGGAGCAGGAAAACCCCTCCCAGACATTATGCTCCCTGCCTTTTCTCCCGGTCTTCTTTTCATTCATGATATCAGTGTGTTGTATCCAACACCTTCGTATTCATCATTTTACTTAGTCTTCTTACAACCGTGGATGGAAGGTATTACTACCATACACAACCCACACATGAGGAAACTGAAGATGTGAGAGGTGATCAGCTGGTGGAGAGAGCCAGAAGTGGTACCCAGGGCTTCTTGTTTCGCTTTTTTCATCCTTTTTTTCATTTCTTTATGCATGAGTCTCACGAAAGAGTAGACCCTTACCCAGGAAAAATCTTATCAATAACTGGTCACAATTTAGGCATTCACATTTATATTAAATTCTTTTTTACCCCTGAAAGCCAACACTGACCATGAGACCCCACAATGGTTTTGGAGAATGGTACAATTGTCAGAGAGACACAAAATAGGAAAAGAACACAGAATCTTAGATGCCCACATTTCTGACCTCTTCATTTTACAGACAGAAGAGATGCTAAAGAGAAAAGGGAAGGAGTTTGCTCGGGGCCACCCAGCTGGTGAGCCCCAGGGTCAGGAGCTGAACCTCACAGTTGTGACTCTGCATCCTTTCCTCTTTACCACTTTCCTTTGCTAGAACACAGGCACCCATGGGCCTGAGGCACACTCAGATGCACATGTGCACCTTGGCAACGGCCCTGCAAGTGTGTGGAGCTGAGCCACAGCTCACACACCCATCCCCCAGGTGACCTTGAACACTGAGTCTCAGTGGTTTTCTTACTCCAAGGCAAAAACCCTCATGATATCTGATATGCTTTGGCTGTTGCCCCCACCTGAATCTCATCTTGAATTGTAGCTCCTATAATCCCCACACGTTGTGAGAGGGACCTAGTGGGAGGTAATTTAATCATGGGGGCGGTTACCCTCATGCTGTTATTGTAATAGTGAGTGAGTTCTCATGAGATCTGATAGTTTTATAAGGGGCTTTTCCCCTTTTGCTGGGCACCTCTCTTTCCTGACACCATGTGAAAGAGGACGTGTTTGGTTACCCTTCTGCCATAATTGTAAGTTTCCTGAGGCCTCCCCGGCCCTGCAGAACTGCGAGTCAACTAAATCTCTTTCCATATAAATTACCGTCTCAGATATGCCTTTATTAGCAGCATGAGAATGGACTAATACAATATCAGAACCAGTTTGCTCCCAAACTTTTTGATGGTCATGTGAGAGAATAGATACGAGGGAGAGTAAGACAAGTAACTAAACAGAAGAAATGTTTGGAGTTTGGGTTGCTTTTGCACAGTGGAGTGTGTCCAGGGAATGTGGATGTTATTGATTCTGTGTATAATTAGACCATTTACTGTGCTCTAGTCCAGGGCTTAGGTGGCTCTGCCCTTGTTCCCTGCAGCCCTGTCCAGATTTATGGCTTGAAAACTTTTTTTTAGTCCCTTTTATTTTTATGCCTGTCTAATTTGTGACCAAGATGGCTCAAGTTTAAAGTGAGTCCGGGGGCCCTGGAGAGCACCCCATTCATGAGCCTGAGAGAAAGGCCCCAGGGCCAAGCCAATGAAGAGATGGGACTTGCTTCTGACTGACCTACATGCTGCAGTCTGACCGGCTTTGGAAATACATTTCAATACTTTTCACAGGAGGAGAGTTTCCATTTTAAGCTAATAAACCCCCTCAAGGAAGGAAATGTAGCAGAACATACAAACAACTCATGACTGAAACATTTTGGTCCAGAATTTTGTCCTCAAACTTGGCAATAATGCAGCAGGAGGAAAAGAAAATGTCAATGGATGTGTTGCTCCAGCGAGTGGAAGATTTCATATGCTTAACACTTGCTGGGTCTGTGCCTTGGTGCCTGATAATATTGAAGATCCCACCAAGCCAGGGAATGTCCATCTACTGTGTGTATGACACTATGGAGGGAGGAGAAAGATGGCAGACACAGAAATGGATAAAGAGGGAAAGAGGCGAAACACCACTGCAAGGTGAACAGCCTGGGTTACTAGCAGAAAAACATCATTCAGTCTGTAAATATTTATGAAGATCTGTGAGAGGCACTACCCTTACCCTGGAGCTAACCTGTGACCCAGAGAGCAAGACTCTTGCTTTTACAGAACACATATTCTTGTGGAATGAGAGGGGCTATCATCAAGTAAGCAAATCATTCCATGGAGTGTGTTAGTCTATTTTCCCATTGCTTTAAAGAAATGCCTTTTACTGGGTAACTTATAAAGAAAAGAGGATTAATTGGCTTATGGCTCCACAGGCTGTACCAGAAGCATGGTAGCATCTGCTCAGCTTCTGGGGAAGCTTCAGGAAACTTACAGTCATGGCAGAAGGCAAATGGGAAGCCAGCACTTCACATGGCCAAAGAAGGAGGAAGAGAGAGAGAGAGGCAGGAGGTGGTACACACTTTTAAACAACCAGATCTCGTGAGAACCCACTATGGTGAGAACAGCAGAGAGGGAATGATGTTAAACCATTCATGAAAAACCACCCTCATGATCCAATCACCTCCAAGCAGGCACCACCTTCAACACTGGGGATTACAATTTGATGTGAGATTTGAGCAGGGACACAAATCCAAACTACATCACTAAGTAATCAGTGCTATGGGAAAAAAGAACTCAGGCAATTCTAATTAAGAACACCTGGTGGGGAGTGGCGGGGAAAGTAGAGAAAGTTGAAGCAGTGACTGAGCTGAGCCCTTAATTGTGAAAAGGAACCACCATTCAACTGTCAAAGGGAAAAAATTTCCAGTCGAAGGGGAGAGGAGCTGCCAGAGTTCTGAAGTGAGAATGGGTTTGGTGTGTCTGACAAACAAGAGGAAGGCCAGGTGGACAGGAGTGAAATGAGGAAGGAGACAGTTGTCAGAAGGGAAATCAGTGCAGTGGGCTTGGGTGGCCCCAGGTGCTGGGTCAAGGCAATGAGACCCATTCCAGATACAAGCCTGTGGGGTGAGCCTGCCTTGGTCAGCACTGACTCAGCATTGGACATGGTTTGTCTTTAGGATAGAGATGGGGTGCCTGTGGCTGAGCGACATGAGGAAGCAGGAGCAGACGTGAAGCAGGAGGCTTGGGATTCTCAACCCTGACTGCATGTTGGAATCCCCTGAAGCTTTAAGAATACTGATAGCTTAGTCCCACCCTCAAAAATTCTGACTTAACTGGTTAGGTATTCAGCTTGGTATTTGTATTATCACTCCTGTGATTCCAGGGTGCAGCTAAGATTGTAAACTAGACCTAAATGACAGAGAGGAGGAAAAAGGTTTGGAGAAGACATCATAATCTTAAGATAGCTCTCATCCCCAGAGCTTCTCCCTCCCACTGTGGACTAGATGTTCTCCAAGAATCCATCTGCCCAACTCCAAAATACTCACTGATTCTTTCACTTTGAATAAGACATGAAACCCTCACGTACACCTGTGAGGCTGAGCCAGAATGAACCTAGAGGGCTACAGCTAGGATGGGGAAAAAAGGTCCACATCTTTCCTTCCTGCTGCATAACTCCTGCATCTTAAAATGCCACCAAGAGGGGATTTAAAAACAGGACCTGCAAATCCCCCTGATGTGCCAATCTGGCATACCAAGGCCAAAAGTTTTCATACTGGCTCCAATGTGAACTAAGACAAGTCAGCTGTGCACACACTCTCCTCTTCACATTTTCCCATGTACACAGCTCCCACCTCCAGCTCTTGGACCGCATTTCCTACCGGGGTCAATGTGTTTATATGACCCTCTTTCTCTTTATGTTGTGACCCACTTTGAGGGCAGACACTTATCCTCTTCATCTGGTCATTCTTCTCAACGTAATATATAGCAAGTTATAGATGCCATCACGTGCACACTGTATGAAATAAGAAACATGCCCCTCCTTAAGCTGGCAGTATTAGAATTGAAAGTGATATGATTTGGCTGTGTCCCCATCCAAATCTCTTCTTGAATTGTAGCCCCCATAATTCCTATGTGTTGTGGGAGGGACCTAGAGGGACATAATTAAATCACAGGGGTGATTCCCCCACACTGCTCTCTTAGTAGTGAATAAAGTCTCATGAGATCTGGTGTTTATAAGGAAAAACTCTTTTTGCTTGGTCCTCATTTTCTCTTGCCTGCCACCATGTAAGACATGCCTTTAGCTTTGCACCATGATTGTGAGGCCTCCCCAGCACGTGTAACTGTGAGTCCATTAAACCTCTTTTTCTTTATATATTACCCAGTCCCATGCATGTCTTTATCAAAAGTATGAAAACAGACTAATACAGAAAACAACCTTAAAAATTAGTCATTTGACAATTGGGGAAATCAAAACCTAGGGAGGGTAGTAACAAGCTGCCTTTACATCAGGCTTTGCCATTTGCACGTTCACATCCATTTTCCAACGTACTGTTCATGCTCCACCCATGTGGCAGGGCTCTTCTCATTATCTACATTTGAAAATAGGGAGAGCTAAGGATCGCAGAAGTTAGCTAACTTGTCAAATGCCACTAGCTTAGAGGGAGCCATGACTCCATCCAAACAGTCTGACAAAAATTCTGTTCTTTCCACTACTCAAGGGTCCCTGTATTTTGGCTGTGACCTCAAAAGAAAGCTGACTATTCACAAAGTTAGATTAAAAAAAAAAAAATCTTTAGGCCAAGTGACTTCCCTTAGCAATACAAAACCAGGTCTTTTGGCTTCTAAAAATCTGGGTAATGGCACATCACACAACATCTTCCTCAGGGAAGTTCAAGGGAATACTTGGAATTAAAAACAAATAAACAAACCTTAGAGAATAGTATTAGGAGAAAAACAAATGAAATCAACTCTTTGCAACTGTGTTTTCTCTTTGTGTCAGCAATTCACTGTTTCCTGATACATGTGCATGACCAAGCTCGTTAACCATGTTGGAACTGAGTGCTCCTGGCATGGAGCATGATTTATTTCACTTTGGTTTCATATCTTCTGCAGGTCAAGGCTGTCTTTACATATTACATTTTGCATTTTAAGAAAACGCAAAATGATTATGCGTTTTGTGAGTTGCTGGGTTTTGTTCTTTTTTTTCTCTCCAATCTTGCTAATGTTGAAAAAACCACTCTGACTCCCTGGCCCTATCCTCCATGGCTGTAAAATCACAAATCAGGCATAATAATTGTGTTCTCCTTAAGGATGCACCCAAGCATTTCAGCCAGCATAGTGTACCAGTAATGAAATTTGCATTATGCTTACAGAACTGTTTTATTGATATAAATGGACTTTTGTGGCCAAATGACTGAGCAGCAGTTCCTGCACCTTGGTGTATATGAGTGCTTATTCTCTTCCTGGGTTCCCGAAAAAGGCCAGCATGGACCTCCCTGAATAACCGTGATAGTAGGAGAGGACTGAAGCAGCTAGTGTTGCTGCTCATCGCAGTGAGAAATTTGACTGGACCCAAGACACTTCCTTTTCTCTGTCCTCTTTATCCACCCCTTTCCCACAGCCACAGGCCTCAAGTCATTCATTCACTCAGACTCCCTGCAGGAGGATGTTACTGAATGCCTGCAATGGGTGGGCAACTGCAGGGATCGCTGCCTGAACACATGACCAGACATGAGGGACAGAGGGATGGATGGGGGTATAGTTCAGCCCCAAAGCATATATGAGAAACTATTCCGATGTTTTCATCAACAGCAAGCTCAAAATGAGGCTGCCTCTCTCTATCGTAAGAACTAACATTTCATGTGCTGCTGCCTTGACATCTTTGAGCTTTATAGGACCCCAAAGACCTAACCATGAGTTGCCCTGCTCTCCCCAGATATGGCCGTCATTCAGGAGGAAAGGTTCCCCACTCAGCTAGTTTCCTTCATCCAGCAGACATGACGCACTGCACCCACTCCTCAACCTAACAGGTTTCTTCTCCCTGCCAGCCATGGAATGTTCAAACAACCAAGCATGTACATCCTCCCATGTGACCAACTGTTGCCCCATCCTCTTGTTACTACAGAGCCTGCCTCCCACAGTCCCTGTTGGCCCATTTATTCCCTCCATGTGGCCCTGCATAGCATGCGGCACCCTCCTCTTTGGGCTCTGAGTGTACGTGAGTAATAAACTGCCATCAGTCTTATCTGTCCAGTGTCAGGCATTGTGTGTTTGGCTGTCATGCATTATTTAGGGTAGGGAATCCTTCTCTCACTAATGGGATGAATTGGAGGCAAGCAAAACATCGCTTTCCAAAAATCCCACAATACCATTTTAGATTCTTTGATGGATAGAGAACAAAGAGTGTGGTTACTCTGATCTGCATTCACCTGGTCAAAGTGTACCTAGAGTCCAGTTCAGGCTTTTGCAGGGACATGGATAGAGCAGGAGGCCATTATCTTTAGCAAACTAAATACTAGGAAACCAAATACTGCATGCTCTCACTTCTAAGTGGGAGCTAAATGATGAGAACACACGGGCACATAGAGGGGAACAACACACACTGGGGCCTTTCAGAGGTTGGAGGATGGGAGGACAGAGAGGATCGGGAAAAAATAGCTAATGGGTACTAGGCTTAACACCCAGGTGATGAAATAATCTGAACAGCAAACCGCATGACACAAGTTCACCTATGTAAGTGTGACACTTACATATGTAAGAAACCTCACTTGTACCCCTGTAGATAAAATAAAGTTACGAAAAAGGTATATATTTAGGGAAAGCTGTCAGCAAGCTAGAGCATGCTCAGAACACTGGCACATGCTGCTCAGCTGGATGGGAGGGCATCAGGGAGACACACTCAGACTGGACTCCTTAGCTTGGTAGTGAGTTGGGTGGGATAGAGCAAGACTGCAGAGTAGGAGATTTGGGTGCATTGCACAGTAGGGAGCTATAGCAGAAGCTCACAGTGCTTGACCCAGCCCCTCTGGCCCTGTCCCCAGCTTCTGCATGCTCCTCTCCAAAGGAGTTACACCTAGAACTGTATTCAAAATACGATCCATGTGCTACTGAAGCCACTTCACACAGACAAACTGAGAGCCAACAGTTTAGGGCCTTGGAGCAGTGTATCACCCACTGAGGGGTGTGAGGGTATGAAAGCTCCTTTGCCTCAAGGCGGGACAGACTCCAAGGGTAGTTACATTCCAGGGCTGCCTCGGGCATTGGCTCAGCCCAGGGCTCACCTGAAGCTGCACAGATCCTGCTTACTCTGCTTCTGGTTTCCCAAAAGCACGTCCTCGATAAATCTCACACACACACACAAATCTCCATCCCAGAGAACCTGGAGAACCTACATCAAGTCAGCATCAGGGCCTTGGCTCTATCAAAGAAACAGATAATGCACCGGAACCTCAGACCGATGTGAATGGACAGAGAGGCAGGCCAGGCAGAAAGAAGGGTCACCAGACAGGGCAAACAACGTTTTAACCCAGAAATTGTAACCTAGGGAGATGACTCATTGTCACAGGGATCCTTACAGGGCCACTAGGACCCTGAAGTAGGAAACAGGCTAAGAAAAAAGCACTTAAATGGAGAAGGGATCAACTCAGGTTCATTCAAATGTATTTCCTGGGAATCCAAGCTGATTGTCTTAGGGAAAAGAAAAAGAAGCAAGGTAACTGAATTCTAATATTTGAACAATATCCATAAAGAATAAATTATAATTGTTCTCTGGGATTCCATGGGAGTAATGGGATCAATACGTGGAATGAGGTGAAGATGGATTCAGCCTCGATTTAAGGAAGATCACTCTAAGAGTCATGGCTGTTCAAAGATGGCATGGCCCCTCAGAAGTTAATGAGTATTTGGTCACTGGAAGTGGAGCACAATTTTTAGAGATATTATTGAGGGCATGAAAGCATCTCTTAGAAGGCTGTAAAATTAGATAACTTGTAAGATCCACTCCATTAAAGCCTAATAAATCACAGCGTCTCACTCTTCTCCCAGCCCTACGGTGTTCCAGAGGAAATAGACCAATGCTTCCAGCCCAATTTATTTCCCTTAGGGTTTCTTTAGCACTTTCAAAAAATTCAATAGGTAAACAACAACAACACCAAAAACTAAAAAATGAAGAGTATGCTAAAACAGTGGATACAACTTTTTTATATTACAAACTTTTTAAATAATAATTGAATGGTCAGAGTAAAGAAACAAACATTATTTTGCTGCTAAAGATTATGTAAAAAAAAAAAAACCCATCAATTTAAAAGGAAAAATTGCTCTTCCCAAAATAGGTAAGTACACAACGTTACGCTGACAGTTTTGCTGTGAACAGGTAAGAACTTCGTTACATGCTAGTCTTGGTTCACAGACTGCTGTTTGGGAAACTTTGCTCTTAAAAATACCTCCACTAGAGTCTCATTGTGTGGCTGTTTCTGGCTTTCATGATTTAAAGGATGTCTTTAGGTAATATATTTCGGTAATAAAGGGAGGTCTCTTTCAAACTTTTATAACTAAATGCAACTTCCCACCAATAATTGCGTGAAATCTGCTAGGATTCTATTTTGCTTCCTGCAATACTTCACTTATCATTAGTTCCTCGAGTTTATAAAACATTTTCACATCCTTTATTTCACTGGATGCTCATGACAACCATATATTTGTAGGCAGAACCATATCATTATTGCATGTTTACATGTAGCTGGGCCCTAGTTGGCTGTAAGATGTTCAGTGTGTGAAGCTGGACAACCTTCTCCTCATCTAGCTAGGTCCGTTTATTTACATTGGGTGCACTTACCCTTGAGAAATGACTTTGAAAGAAAAACGTATATCCTGCCTGAGGATAGAGGGGGAGCTCAGGGAAGCTTTACTAGAGGAGCATTTGCTTGGGAGAAAGTGAGTTCTAGGTGTTCTAGGCAGAGGAAGAAGTGAGTAGTCAGGTAGGCTTCCCAGAAAAGGGAAGGAGAAACACAAGAAGTGTTGTAGGAAGAAGGAGCAGTAGGTGGGACAGGCCACAGGCAAGAGAGCCTGGGATTTGCAGGGCTGCAAGATGTTCCAAGAGCTGGACAAGATGAGAGAAGCTGGGGGAGAAAGCCAGAGAGAGGAATGTTCCCACCACACATCAGTGACTCCTCTCCCCTACAACTGTCTATCCTCTTGTCTTCTCCAGAGCCATAAATGGGATCAAGCATCCTGTTTCTCAGTCAAAAACCTGGGACATCTCCCTTGCCATCTCTCTTTCCATAACCCCTCACCCACCACCATTCTCCAGGTACCTTCCATCCACTTCTAGAGCTGCACTCGGGGATGAACCACCCTCATCTCTCAGGACCTCCAGAGCCTCCTAATGAGGTGCCCCGAGGCCAATCTTCACCCTAATGGGGTGTCTCCAAGGCCAACCTTCACCCTAATGGGGTTCCCCAAGGCCAACCTTTGCCTTTTTCCAGTCCACATCCACAGAGCAGCCTAAGTGATAATTTAAATACAAATCTTATCAATTCACTCCCTATGTAAAGCCCTTCAATGCTTCTCCTTTTGTTTAAAATAAAATCCAGGCTTTGTACGGTCAGCCCCTCCCTGTCACTCCACCTTGCCTCACATCATCTCTGCCCTACTGGCTCACTGCAGCCTCACTCACTGCCACCTGGGTTCTCAGATGCACCACACTGCATCCCTGGTCACGTTGTGCCTGGCCCAGAACCCTCCCCTCTCCTTGCTCCTCCTGTTAGCTCATCTCCCAGCTGTCAGCTAAGGCATTACTTCCTCAGGGGAAGATTTCTCTGTCCCTAAACTAGGTTAGCAATTTAGTAATCCCACTCCCCGTCATTTGCTTTCATAACACCAATAACTTCTCATCCTTTACTTATCTCTACTGGAATGAAATCATTATTTGTGTCTTTCTCTTCAACTCAAGCATAAGCTCCCAGGACAGGAACCATATCTGGAAGAACAAAACGAGAGCCATGTAATACCCAGGGCCAAACCCAAGGACTAGTGCATTCTATGGGCCAAATAAATGGCTCTATTTTTAAAAATAGAAAAAGAAAATTTATTTTTAAAAAAATCAAGAAAGATATGTCTACTAAAGCATTCGAATGATTCAGGATTATAAGGAGGACTGGATGAAGGGTTTTAAGGATCTGGAAGCTTTTCAATTCAGAGGCAGATGGACAGTGGCCTGGCTAGTCATGGAGACACAGGTTAGAAGAAGGCCAGTGTGGTGTGCTGAGTGGAAATTACTGAGGCCTCAAACTGGGCAGTGGTCACTGAGCATATATTGGACAAAAGAGTGAAGGGTAATAAAGTGGATAGAGTTTGCAGAACTCATCAGTTGGCCAGAGTCCACGGGTCCAACGGGGGCAGAGTCAGGACATAATTGGAACTTGGGCAAATGGCAGGTCGATGATGCCTTGATCCAAGGTAGTGGGACCAGGAGCAGTAGGAGGCTTACAGGATGTGTTAGTTTCTGGAGGCTGTGGTGACAAATGACCACAAACTGAGTGGCTGAAACAACAGAAACATGATCTCTCATGGTTTTGGAGGCCAGAAGTCTGAAATAGGTTGTTAGCAGGGTTGGTTCCTTCTGAAGGCTTCCAGTGAGTATATTAGTCAGGATTCTCCAGAGAAACAGAACCAAAGGATAGATACATACACATAGAGATACACACATAGGTGGAGATATAAAGAGATTTACTATGAGGAACTGGCTCACATGATTATGAAGGCTGAGAAATCTCACAATCTGCTGTCTACACGTTCAAGACCCAGGAAAGCCAGTGGCATAGTACCAACCAGTCCAAGTCTGAAGGCCTGAGAACCAGAGGGCAAGTCCAGTTTCAGGGCAGGAGGAGACCTATGTCCCAGCTCAAGCAGTCAGGCAAAAGGAACGTATTCTCCATTCTTCCTCCTTTTGTTCTATTTAGGCCCCAGTGGATTGGGTGGTGCCCGCCCACACTGGGGAGGGCCATTTACTTGACTGAGTCCACTGATTCAAATGCTAATCTCTTCCAAACACCCTCAGAGATGCACCCAGAAATAATGTGTAATCAGACATCTAGGCACCCAATGGCCCAGTCAAATTAAAACATGAAATTAACCTTCACAGGGAGAATCTGCCCATACCTCTCCCCTAGGTTCTTGTGCTTCCTGGTGTTCCTCAGCTTGTAGACACATTACTCCAATCTCTGCCTCTTTCTTCATATTGCCTTCTCCCTTCTGTGCCCCTGTGTCCAAAAATGTCCTTTCCCTTCTTTTATAAGAACACATGTCATAGGATTTAGGCCTACCATAAATCCAGGATGATCTCATCTCTTGATATCCTTAACTTAATCACATCTACAAAGACCCTTTTTCCAAATAAGGTCACAGCCACAGCAACTGGGGGTTAGGACTTGGACATATTTTTTGAGGGGACATAACTCAATTCACCACTCAGGAAATGTGGAAATATTGACTCTCACAGGCCTGTTGTGTCACATCTTGAAGGCTTGGGATAAAGAGCTGACTGACTGGAGATCATTCAAGATCAGAGTGAGCTGAGGTTAAAAAAGGAAGACACTAGGAACTAGAAAGTCTACCCAAGAGAAACAGACAAAATTCTATGGGCATCAGCAAACTGTAGACCAACTGCAGAACTATACCTAAGAAGCTAGTTAAGACATTTGATCCCAAACCATTTCTTGCTCAATAATAAATTTACCCCACATAGTCACATCACAACTACTTTTGAATGCTAGTTGGTATCCAGAATAAATCTGGCATGAAATAATATACCAACTATGCTGTTGGAACTGTTCAGCATTGGTATCTTGAAACTAGAAAGTATTGGCTCAATCATTAGGAGAATTCATCTTTTGTTTAGCTGTTTACTCATTAAAGAATGATTTACTGAGCAGCCTAGGACATGTCAAGCACTATGTAAGGTCAGAAAATGCAAACGTGACTCAGCCAGGTTGTCTCCCTCAGAGGATCACTGCAGAATGGGGTTCTCACCTTCAGGACTACTGACATTTGGAGTCAGCTTATTATTTGTTGTGGGGAGGTGCACTGCGCATAGTAGGATGTTTAGCAGCATTCCTGGGCTGGAAACATGGAATGCCAGTAGTAACCCTGCCCCTCAGATGTGACAATGAAAGATAGCCCAAATATTGCCAAATAGCCCCTGGGCACAAAATTGCCCCAGGTTGCTAGCAATGGTCCTAGGGTGATAGGGGTGGCACTGGACCGCTTCCACTAGCAGGACAACCCTGGCACTGTCCATGTGGAAGAACACTGATATAGGGGTCTGGAGGCCCAGGCTGTGGGGTGGGGAGAGGGAGGTGAGGCAGAGAGTAGATTAGATACAGGAGATTATAGAGGGGTGATGAGCTATGTACCAACTCATTCAGAAATCTTCCATATTTAAAGGGCATGCTGTATCAGAGTCCAAATACGAAAATCCACAGAGCTGGGGCTCAAATCTGGCCTCATTGCTTATAAACCCAGCATGTTTTCTGCAGGAATCCAGAGTGAGCCTCCATGTGGCAGCACGAATGATCTCATAGATATTCTCAGGGTTAGGCTGACCCCACGGATATCCTCAGCAACAGATGGAGTTAAACAAAATTGGGCCCGGCACTGTTTCAGATACAAGGGTCTCTACTGAGCCCTTCTCTTTTCCCTTCTCATTTCCCTAAACCACTTGATTTAAATACCCAGCTTTTGTATTAACTCACCAGAATAATTGACATCTCAATGTCTTCCTCTCTTTGTCACCCGTTACTAAATATACATTCTTCTCTGCAAAGTTTTCAGATTGACTGCTCCTGACAGACAACACAGATTTCAACATTTACACAGAAGTTGTCTGTCAAAAAAAAAAAAAAAAAGGAATAGAAAAAAAAATGCCCTATTTTAGGATGTTTCTTTGCTTAAAACGCAGGAGAGAGAGGAGGGAGAAATCTCTCCCTGTGCATAACAGCAATTTATGCCAGGATGCATAGTCTTGCTGGAGATGTTGCTAAGCAACTGCTTGGCGGCATGTCAGGGGGCACAGGGAGACAGAAGGTAGAAAACGCACCAAGGCCTGGGCACTGCAGGACATGCAGAGACCCACTTGGGACACCCACCTTCTTTCCCATCTCCCGGCAGCTAGAATAACCTCAGAGGTGAGTTTGCCTCTCTCTGGCCTTGAAGCCAATAAAAGAGATTTCACACCAAAAGCAGAGCTTGGAACACAGCCACCGTTGCTGGCATTTTTTCTGCCATCCCTTGTGTGGTAGATTGAGCTCAAGCTTGAGAGTTAAGCACGCTCAGTTCCTGCATCTGTAAAATGATGATGGTAGCTGTAGCTCCATCACGGCATGGTGGTGAGACCTCTATTGTGCTCTCCAGTCATCTGTTCTTACCTCCCTTACAGCATTCACCACCACGTTACATTTACATTTTCTGTTCCTTTCCTGCTTTTCCCCAATGGGACAGTGTGTTCCAAGCACAGAAACCACATCTTCCTCATCCATCATTACTCAGTGAGGAGGATACTGCCTGGCATGCAAGAGGGCTTCAAATAATTTTATCTTTCCTGATCTGAACCAAAACCTCTTAGAGTGTCTTGCAAAACCCCTCATACTCCAGTTTCACCTACATGTCTGCCCTTATCTCCAACTATCCTTGTACCTTCCACTCACCCTCCCAGCCTCAACACAGTCATCATTTTATTGGCACACTTCTCTCTACTCCCTGTGTAAATAAGGTTCGCTAAACCACTGGTCCCTCTCCTCCCTTAACTTCTGGTTAATTCCTACTCATCATCTACGACTCCACTCA
This sequence comes from Homo sapiens, assembly GCF_000001405.40. Classification (NCBI taxonomy): domain Eukaryota; kingdom Metazoa; phylum Chordata; class Mammalia; order Primates; family Hominidae; genus Homo; species Homo sapiens. The sequence goes on along the minus strand of NC_000008.11, from coordinate 135,814,012 downwards.
CTCAAGTATAAACTTCTCCATGAAGGCCCCATGTGGTTTTATCTAAGCAACCAACCTGCAGATGGAGAGTATGACATTACAGAGAGGAGGGGACTATGGCACCCCAGAAATCGATTCTGAGCCATTTATAAAGAGAGAGAGAGCTGTTCATTTGGAATCACTGATCTTCTAAGTCTTGGGTTAGCTACAAATATTTGGCTTGCTGAAGGTCACACAGAGAGTGAATGGGGGGGTGGGGGCAGATCTAATTTCCTGCAGTTGGATTCCACAAAGCCAAGTAGGAAAGTAGCAACAGAAAACCCACGTCTACCTCCTCCCAAATTTTCTGCATATCCATCTGAATCATAAATTGCCTGTGACGTGCAATGCAAACCTTTCCTTCATTAATTCAAATAGTCAATACTAATTTATTAAGCATAACTTTGGGCTGGTAATAGTGGAAGGTACCAAAATATCGTGCATTTATTTGCTCATTCAATTCAGTCATTTATACATTCATTCAATGAAAGGCACCGTGCTAGTCTCTGAACATTCAAAGATGGATAACCCCAGCCCTCAGGTTGCTCACAAGTAGACACTATAACACAATATCTAGCTGGTTTGTTTCCTGTATGCAGTGAGTCTTCTCTCCACACCTGGTCTGGCAACACCTTCATAAAACCTCTAGACCTCACATTCCTGCCTTCCCATAGCTGCCAGCTTGGGGCTTGAACCACAGGAAGTGGTGTATAATCTTGTTGGTAGGACTTGAGCTCTTATTGGTTTGTTTCTTTAATTGAATTTCCTGCAGTTTGATCCCACAAAGCCAGGTAGGAAAGTAGTAACTAAAGCACCCACCACATGCCTTGTCTTGTGAGTCTCCTATATTTTTTCACTTAGTCCTCACAACAGTTCTTTGAAGTAGGAATCATTATCCCTGCCTTCACATATATTTTCACAGAGTTCACAGAGAATCAACATTTTGCCCAGAGCAGAACCAATAATGAAGTAGGGGGTGGGGGGTTCTCCAAAGTCGATTTACCTTCCACGAGAGCATGCTGCCCAAACAGGTTCAGAATTCTGTAGATACAGAATAGGAAGAAAGGATGTCAGAGGAAGGAACAACATAGGCATGAAGGTGCATTGCATTAGGGAAACATGGCGTGTCAGGCATAGCCAAGGCAGAGTGTGAATGTAGACTTACATGGAAAATGTGGCTGAAAAGAACTTTGCGGGGAGAGCATGAAATGCCTTGAAAACCTTTGCACGGTACTTAGCTGCATGGTTCCACCTACAAGTACTCAACAGTAGCAATTCGATATTTTCTCTGTTGTAAGCCAGACCTAATTTTCTGGAGTGGACCTAGGAAAGTATTTACTTTGCAGTTCCTGTATTCTCAAAAGTTACCCTTATCTGTCTTCACACCCACTACTGCCCCCACTACAGAAGCTACTGAGCTTTTACTGCAGTTATCACACTGCACTCCAACCGCTTATGAATCCACCTAGCCTTGCTTGGCTGTGATCAACTTGAACAAAGGCATTCTGTCAGGTGCATCACAGAAAATCTACCTCCTAGTATGATGCTTAGACCATGACAGGTGCTAGCCCTATACTCAATTAATAAGATGTATTCGTCCATTCTCACACTACTATAAAGAGCTGCCTGAGACAAGGTATTTTAAGAAGAAAAGAGGTTTAATCAACTCACAGTTCTGCAGGCTGTACAGGAAGCATGACTGAGAGACCTCAGGAAACTTATAATCATGGCCAAAGGCAAAAGAGGAGAACTTTTTTTTGAGAAAGAATCTCACTCTGTCACCGAGGCTGGAGTGCAATGGCCATGATTTCTGCTCACTGCAACCTCCACCTCCTGGGTTCAAGTAATTCTCCTGTCTTAGCCTCCTGAGTGGCTGCAATTACAGGCATGCACCACCATGCCCTGCTTTTTTTTTTTTTTTTTGAGATGGAGTTTCGCTCTGTCAACCAGGCTGGAGTGCAGTGGCGTGATCTCTGCTCACTGCAAGCTCTGCCTCCCGGGTTCACACCATTCTCCTGCCTCAGCCTCCCAAGTAGCTGAAACTACAGGCGCCTGCCACCACGCCTGGCTAATTTTTGTATTTTTAGTAGAGACGGGGTTTCACTTTGTTAGCCAGGATGGTCTCGATCTCCTGACCTCATGATCCGCCCGCCTCGGCCTCCCAAAATGCTGGGATTACAGACTTTTTTTTGTATTTTTAGTAGAGACAAGGTTTCACCATGTTGGCCAGGCTAGTCTTGAACTCCTGGCCACAAATGGTCCACCCGCCTTGGCCTCCCAAATTGCTGGTATTACAGGAGTCAGCCACCATGCTTGGCCAACAAAAACCTTCTTCACATGGCAGAGTGGGAGACAGCGAGTGAAGAGGGAGATGCTACATACTTCTAAACAACCAGATATCATGAGAACTCACTCACTATCATGAGAACAGCAAGGGAGAAATCTGCCCCCATGAGCAAATCGCCTCCCACCAGGGCCTTCCCCCAACACAAAAGATCATAATTCAACATGAGATTTTGGTAGGGACACAGAGCCAAACCATATCATAAATGAAGTACTGAATTAGTGATGTATTTAAAGCAAGCCATTTCTCATCTCCATCCACATAACAATTCAAAATCTTTTGGAAAGGCCATCTTATCCCTTCAATGTACACTCCCTTCGGAAATGCATGACAGGGAATATGGCACAGTTTCACTCAGCTCAAGGTGATTTGGAGTGTATGTTTGAATTTGACTTCTCTGAGAATGACATCCCACCCAAAGCAAAAAGGGGGTATGCCTGCCGGTTTGGGGAGTGAAGGAATCTGAGCTAAGGCTGCTAATTGGGCTGCTCTTAATTACAGTCATTCTTTATGCTGGGAAATCGGAAGGGGAGGCAGGGAGCGCCAGGGCTTTATTTAACAACCACACTTTCTGCGAGATGTGTGGCCCCCATTTACAGCAGCAAATGGAATTCATGCCAAGGAGATGGGGCTCCATTATTAATTGCAAATAATTAGGCCCTTAGTTCCTGGAGATGGGAAAAGGAGAGCTCTGTGCAGCACAGGGGTGGAGAAAGTACCATTCATTTTGAGATTTTCATCATTTAAAATGATAATTAGTGGGAGATAATATGCCTCTGTCGCCAATTTTGCCTCTGATTATTTGCTTGAATATGGTAATTGTATGGTTTTGTTTTGCCCTCCCTTCGATATGCTTCCTAAAGTCCTTGTGATGTTTTAGGGGGTTGGGGGACTCATTTTTATAATATCTCTCAAAGTAACCATGGAAATATATAATTAGACATTATTCAGGATAGAATGACCCAGGTTGCAGGAGCATCTGTGGTACAGTGCATTTAACTATGCAACGACTCTCTCTTAATACCAGCAGGACATTATTTTCCCTCAGATCTTATAGTCCTGTCTTATGGAACTATGGAGGAAATAAGTCCAGACAGAAGAAGACCTGTTTTCTGGTAATAGCTCTGCCCTGTCTGCAACTGGTTCTACATCTCTGAAAGCAGGTGGGAAGGGAACATATGTGGTTTCAATTATATTACTAAGTGCTTGCATTTGTGTACCTTTGTACTTCTTCACTGTCAGTGGAAGATCCTGTCAAATCACTTCTCTATATTAAAATGCCTGAGTATCCCCAAAATAGGAGGAGGGAGGGTTCTGTTTTTATAAAAACATAAATATGTGTTTGATATGTCATGGATACATAAGAAGACTAGAAGTTATAGCTATATGTTCTCACCACCAGACACAAAATATCTGTGGTCCAGAATGGCTCTATGGATTCCAGTAAAGGACTAGGTTATATCATTTGCTTGGCAATCTGGAAAGATACACTCAGTTTGGAAGGATGGGAGTTAGGAAGCTACCAAAAGTGATGGGGAACAGAGGCAGAGGAGGCAGACTTCAAGGCAGAGGAGGGTTGCATTTCCTGGCCATTCCCTCATGGGAATGGGAGTTAGTTTGAGAAAGGGAGCTGGTCACCCAGAAAGATGGAGGCACAGTTAGAGGATTGGGACTTTCAGCTCCACCTCCAGGGAGGCAAGAGAGGCTGAAATTCAAGCTGGTCACCAACCGCCAGTGATGTAATCAATTATGCCTATATAATAAGGCTCCCATAAAAACCCAACAGGACTGGGTTCTGAGAGTGTCCAGTAGCTGAACATGTTCAGATTCTTGGAACACTAAGACTTCATTCAAGGTTTAATGTCACACCAAGCAATGGCATCATAAGAATGGGATGGGCTCAGCTTTAGGAGGCCAGCTTCTTCAGGGTAAGTCCAAACTCCTGGGCATAGCACAGAAGGCCATTAGTGATCTGAGCTTGGCCTGTCTTCCCAACTTTCCCACCTTGTCTCTCTCATTCTAGTCCTACCTGTTCAGCTCCCTGTATTCCATGTTTCAGGCATTTTTGATATCTCGGAGAGTCTAGAAAATTGTCTTTCTTTCACCTGTCCAGAATGTTTTATCTTTCCTGTTTGTCTAGATAACTATAAACCACCCTTTAAAACAAAGCTCAAATATCAATTCCTCTGGAAATCTCCCAATTTTTGGTCAAATTCACTTCCTGAGCACAACCACAATATTCTGAATTTATTCCACTATTGCACTCACCAAGCACTTAGTAGGTGCTCAATAAATGTTTGATTCATTAATATAGCTTCCTCCTGTGACCTGTATAGCATCTCATCTGTTCATTCTGTCAGTTGAGTTGGGTTCATTTGTCCTGTATCCTGGTTCACTGGCTGGAGGTATTCTTGTATCTCTTCACCTTGAGTTCATTCCAATTCTAACTCAACACCAGTCAGTTTAACCTATGTCAACCCAACTCAACTCATTCCAAGTCAATATCAGAATTGAACTGAATTAAAGCACACATAGCTGGTTTTTGTCTCAGAATTGGTTATATGGGGAGAAATCTCAAACACATTTTGATGACCAGAAGTGAAGTGAGGTAGAATATGCTGTGTTATGTTGATGGTGTAAGAAAAGAAAAAAACACTTTTTTTTCCTATCCTCACAACAAGAAACACTAATTCCAAATACTACTTAAGGAGAAAGGGAGGATTCATACTTTCTCTACCCAGTGGTCTTGTCTTTGTACCAGGACAGAGTCAGAGCCTCGTGAATAATGCTAGGTTCTCATTCTCATCAGGGAGAAGTGAGATGAGGCTAGGATGTGAAGTCAGGGCCAAGCTTCCAAAAAGATGCTTCTTCCTAGAAGGGGCTGAGTGGGATGTTAGGCATGAAAAATAACTGTGTGCCTGAAAATGTCTAATTTTGTTGTTCCAAAGTTTATGTTATTAACTGGTGCCCTCTATTGCAGAGTGATAAAAATGGATCCAAGACTCTGTTGAACCTGGGTTCGAATACCATTGACTACATATCATCAAAAGCTTACTAGCTACTTTTATTTCCAAGGAGGAAAATAAATTTCTACTTCACTCCCTAAGAAGGAACATTGCTGAAGAAACACTCTCACCCTCTCTCTACCCATCACTCACCTAGAGGAGGGGAGCGAATGGAGATGTTGAAAGAAGGGTCAGCCTTCTCCTCTACCGTAAGCTCATATTACACACATTTTGGCATGACCAATGGACCTAAGAGAGCTGGTAAATTCAATTCTGGAGTAAAGTCTTAGGATACCCGCCACACCACATATCTAAACTCTAGTATCCAATCAGCCTTCTGTGTAGTAAAACTGTCATTTTGAACGACGTTTTTTATTTCCCATTTCTTATTAACATTTTGAATGCTATCTTTCTGTCTCCCATTTCCTGTTTCATTGGTATTGAACGCTAAAAGCATGAAGGAAGTTACACGTCAGCCCCCTCCTCCCCAACAGATGTGTAAACTTGGCCATCCACACCATCACTCCAGGTCTCTGTTTCCCCACCTGTAAAATGGGACTAGCACTTCCTATCATCAAACTATTGTGGGAAATAAAAGAAACAGCATATGAAAAATAGTCTGGCACCAAATAGAATGTTAGTTCTTTCCCATCTCTACCTTAGAAAAAAATATATTGATGATCTATGGTGTTCTTGATGTGTTCTCTTTCTTCTCCCAGTCCCATTCTACTCTCATCTTATATTCCCTATTTTAATTAAAGAAAACGCTTTCTACCCATTTGTGGTAGATGGAAGTCCATGTTGTTGACACTTAAACCCTTACCTCCAGGACAAATATTTTCTTCAAGAACCCAACCTGGTATCTCTGCAAGAATGTCTCATAGCACCCCAAATGTAACATGTACCAGAACTCATCTCCTCCCACCCAAGCCCTCGACCTGTGCCTTTTCTCAACCTCCCACACAGAAGTCATAATCATCTGGCCCACATGCACCATAAGCAAATTCTACTGAAGCCATCTCCAGACTGCACCAGCCCCCCACTCCTCCTGCCCTGAGTCACATCTTCAGCAATTCCCAGCTGGACTCATCCAAGAGCTTCCTCCTCCTCTCTCCACCCATCATGCACCATAGAAAGCTTTGCTGCAATAGCTACCAGCTGTTTTGTAAGTGTGTTCTACTACTTATCATCGTCCCTTCCCAAGCTTTACATTTCCAGAGGCAGGACCAGTGATTCTCCTTCTCTGTATCAGCATTGTTTTCTACACAGACCTTGCCATAGAGAAGCACCTTAAAAGTGTTAGTGAAATTGAAAAGTAGATTGATCTAACCTCTGTTCCCTGTTCTCTCCTATTGAGAAATAACCTTATTTTAGTGGTGGCAGTGAAGAATTGTCAGAAAAATGACATTAGATATTATTAATATTATGAAGTGAAAAATTATGTTGGCCTGCTCACAGTTGTACTAGCTTCTTTGCTTTCTAACCCAGTGTTCTAAGGGATCTCAAGTAGCCAGCTGTTAAGCTTCTTACATAAGGAGCCAAGTTCATCTTTCCAGGTTATGGTTGGTATGATAATAGCCACAGTCACCAAACTCTACTTGCAGAGATCTCCAAGGGAATAAAACACCTCTGGTCCTAAAAAGCAACATGTGGAAAATCTAATGCTCTATCTCCAATTCAACCTTGGCAGTGTATTCAATACTTTCTATAACAAAAAAAAAAAAAGAAAGAAAAAGAACAGAAAATATGCATTCCGCTATTTGAATAAACTGTAAACAGCCTCTCCTATCTGGTGCTCATCCCATATGCCCTTCTTAACTGATTTTCCAATCTCCAGCCCACAGAAGACTATGGTTGAGCGACAAGAATAGGTTAAAGAATGTTGGCACTACTTTTTTTAAAAAGCAACAGAAATAACCCTGACAGCTCCTTAATATTTATTAGCATGAAAAAAAACCCAATGATGTAGCATCACCTTGGGAAATAAAAAGGAACTAACACACTGCCGTGCCATCCTGGCACATGCCATCTAAAGAAAGCACTGTGTGTATTAAATGTGGAGATTTGCCTTTTATTTCATTGTCATGACCTTATTAGGAAAGAGCCTCCTTCTTCCCGAAAGGGACTTCTGCCCAAGATGCACAGCCCATTTGCCACTCATTTCTGCCCCTTTTAAAAATAGCTTTTTGTTTTCCCAAGACCATTGGTAAGCCCAGGCTCATGTTGAGTCAACCCTGTGCCAGACACTATTAGTGACCTCTCCTATCCACTCACTACCCACCTCTATACAGGGAGGGCTCTTCCTGAATCCTGGGGCCACCTGTATACAGGAAAGCTGCAAGACCCTGAAGGTTTCCCTCACAGTGAAAGATGCAGCGTTAGTGGCTAACCACTGCAGCACTCTTGCACATCAGGTGGGAGGACTTGGAGATTTATACCCTACTCTGGCTCCCAAAGTTCTCCCAAATAATTGACTCCCATTGTCCATAGCAGTAACTTTCTTGACAACACACACTTTGCTGGCTTCCTTCTCTTGCTGTCTTATATTACCCCTCCCCTGCTGTTGTTTCCCAAAATCATCTTTTAAATGAATCACCTGCACTTAAATTCTAGTCTCAGGGTCAGCTTCCAGCCCAACTCCTGCCTGGATCTGAAAAAAAAGTTTTGCTTCAGCACTTCTCCCTAGAGGGGGTCACCTTCCTGAGGAGCACGGACCCAGATCTCTGAGGTATTGCTCAGCAGCCTCATCCGGCAGACTTATTCCAGGCATGGGAGGATTTCTATTGCCTTTGGATGCAGGTTCAGAGCCAAGCAAGGGGACTTTCTATAAAAGAATGATTTATGGAAATGAAATTGAGCACATTTGTGGCCAAAGCATCAGCACTCATAGGGCTGAAAAGACAGTCACTGATACCTCAAATTCCAAGGCTCACAGGCAGCTTATTCCAAATTATATTTTTAGTAACTATGGTATATGTACCAAGGACTGTGCTAGCCAAATTCTGCCATATATAACATTCCTTCTAGAGGAGAGTTCAAACTATAATCTTTTTTAAATGCAATATCATATTTTTTAAAGCAAAAAGAAGAAAACAGCAATTTGCACTCTTTCAACAAAATGCAGGTAGTTAACTCAAGGAAGTATCCTTGGACAAAATGTCAAGAGAAGAGCACGCACAAGGCTTTGGAAAGGAGCATCACATACTTGCCTTGTGAACCCAATGCCTTTGGCATGGAAACAACATCTCTCTTTAGAACTTTAGTTCTGAAATGCCTTCAGGTCATTACCATGAAGATATTATCCAGCAGTCCATAGAGGTGATTCAAAGTCAACATATAATCTTCATGGTGCTGGAAAAAGAAAATATACCAAAGGCTCCACAAGGAAGCGGAGGGTAGAATAAGGGCGGTTCTCAAACCACTTCCTCACTCACTCTGCGATGCCATGCATTCTCCACAGGGGGTTGTGTGCACTGCTCCACTGCCTGGAGTTCTCTTGAAGCTCCTCCGTCTAAACTTTTATGGGTGAAACTCCTATTTAGTTTTCAGATCTCCACTCATTTGTCACTTTTCCAAGGATATTCTCTTAGACTGTCAAGATAAAGTGCTAGTCCACTTTAAACTGGTACCCCCCTGCCCGCTCTAGTTTTCATTTTATAGTACTTATCAAAGCTGATGTATTAGTCTGTTTTCACACTGCCATAAAGAAGAGCATGAGACTGGGTAATTCATAAAGAATAGAGGTTTAATTGACCTACAGCTCCACATAGCTGGGGAGGCCTCAGGAAACTTACAATCATGGCAGAAGGCAAAAAGGAAGGAAGCACCTTCTTCACAAGGTGTCAGGAGGGAAAAGAGAAAGTGAACGGGGGACAGCCCCTTATAAAACCATCAGATCTCATGAGAACTCACCATCACGAGAACAGCATGGGGGAAACTGCCCCCATGATCCAATCACCTCCCCCCAGGTCCTTCCCTTGACATGTGAAAATTACAATTTGAGATGAGATTTGGGTGGGGACACAGAGCTAAACCATATCAGCTGATAATCATGCATCTTTTTGACATATCTCTTCTCTAAGTTCCTTGAAAGCAGGACCACATCTGTTTCTGCTCTCCACTGAATCCCCAGCATCTACTTTAGAACCTAAACCCTAACTGGCACTCAACAACAACTGCATAATTAATACAAGCATGACTCCCCGTCTCCACCAACACCAGAGTAGGCTGCTGAGCCACCTGTCGCATTTCCCAACTCAGTGTTCCTCAAATTGGAATATGAGTTCCAGAAAATACTAATAAGTTTTATTACAAAGGAAAAAAAAATTATTTCCTGAATCTGAATCTGGATTAAGTAAGTCTAGAAATGCAGATTTTAATAACATTGCCCAGGTTTCTTTACTTCTTACAGCACTTAAAATACTAATGTGTGTGATGACTCTTATGATGGGAATACATTAAGCAAAGACTTCCAGCTGGGCTCCTGTACCAGCCCCAGGCTACTTGCCCTGTGAGCTAACCCTCAGCCCTGTGTCAAATAACCAATCACAGAGTGCAGACTGAATCAGGAAATACATGTTCAATAAATGCTGAAGGAAAAGAATTGTGGAAGAAAGTTAGGGTAGTAGCAGGCATTGTTCACAGAGCCATGAGCTCACACAATTTGGGAGACAACTTTAAGAAACCATCATTCTCAGCAAACTATCGCAAGGAGAAAAAACCAAACATCACATGTTCTCACTCATAGGTGGGAATTGAACAATAAGAACACGTGGACACAGAAAGGGGAACATCACACACTGGGACCTGTTGTGCAGTGGGGGCCGGGGGGAGGGATAGCATTAGGAGATATACCTAATGTTAAATGACAAGTTAATGGGTGCAGCACACCAACATGGCACACGTATACATATGTAACTAACCTGCACGTTGTGCGCATGTACCCTAAAACTTAAAGTATAATGAAATAAATAAATAAATAACACCACAAAAAACAACAAAAGAAAAAGAAAAAGAATTCGAGCTGGGCGCGGTGGCTCACGTCTGTAATCCCAGCACTTTGGGAGGCCAAGGTGGGCTGATACCTGAGGTCAGGAGTTCGAGACCAGCCTGACAAACATGGAGAAACCCTGTCTCTACTAAAAATACAAAATTAGCCGGGCGTGGTGGCGCATGCCTGCAATCCCAGCTACTCAGGAGGCTGAGGCAGGAGAATTGCTTGAACCCGGGAGGTGGAGGTTACAGTGAGCTGAGATTGTGCCATTGCACTCCAGCCTGGGCAACAAAAGCAAAACTCTGTCTCAAAAAAAAGAGAGAGAGAGAAAAGAAAAAGAATACAAAAATATACAATTACTGTGGATTTCGCAAAACCACACAACAATGTGAATACATGGATATAAATCTGCTTTGAAATTATACTCAAGTTGTTTGATCGTCTCTGGGGTTCTCTGGCAAGACATTCCCACAGAAGTGTTCCCTATTTACTCAAGTTTAGGGCTTTTGAGGGAGGCACCATATCTTTTTCAGCTTGTTTCATCCACTGCTCTCTCCAGTCACTATTTGTTTCTGAGCAACAACCTAGCACACAGTGGAGAGTCCATTAGTGGCTGATTTATGAAAGAAGGAAGGAAGGAAGGAAGGAAGGAAGGAAGGAAGGAAGGAAGGAAGGAAGGAAGGAAGGAGAAGGGGAACGGGAAGGGCAAGAGGAAGGGGAAGGGGAAGGGGAAGGGAAAGGTGCAGTGAGGTTGCTGATTGTTCATGTGACTGTGGATGGGTCTCCTCACCTGCTTCCCTGGGTTGCAGAGCCTCCACAAAGGGAGGGAGGGAAGGAGAGAAGGAGGGAGGGAACAAGATCTGGTTTATTTTTGAATCACCATAATCTTTAGTGTTTTCTCATTCCAGGAAGTTCACTTGACTGAAGTGTGAAAGATTTATGAAGAATCTCTTTTTTTTAATTAATCAGAGCACAGCATAAAGATTAGAAATAAATTACATTCTTCAAAATTCCCTTATGTGAAAGAGAGACTCAGCTTCTCCTCTTTAATCCATTAAGTCCCCTCTCTTTCTCCTGAAGTTTCAGTGGCTGTTTACCCCCTCTGGTTCCTACCGTGTCTAGGTAGGCCAAGGAGATTCCACCCTGGAGACTCACATAGGAGCCTGAAACAATAATTAGTCACACCAGAGGATAACCCAATTCCCAGGAGGATTTCCAGGGAAAAAACGGGCATGAGAGTTAGTAGTTGTGCATTGCAATCACCTGGCAAGCTTGTTCAAGTATCTCCAGGCTCCACCTCAGACCAATTAAGTCATAATATCTGGGCCGGCAGTGTCCGGCAAAAGTATCATCTTTTAGGAGCTCCTTACATGAGTGTAATGTGCAACCAGGTTGGAAAACTTCTAGCCTAGAGAAATGGAAAAATCTGCTTTTTTTTGTTCTGTTTGTGTTTTTGTTTTTGTTTGAGACAGAGTCTTGCTCTGTTGCCCAGGCTGGCACGCAGTGGCACAATCTTGGCCCACTGCAACCTCAGCCTCCCAGGTTCAAGCAATTCTCCTGCCTTGGCCTCCTGAGTAGCTGGGACTACAGGCATGCACCACCATACAGGGCTAATTTTTGTGTTTTTAGTAGAAATGGGGTTTCGCCATGTTGGCCAGGCTGGTCTCGAACCCCTGACCTCAAGTGATCTGCCTGCCTCGGCCTCCCAAAGTGCTGGGATGACAGGCATGAGCCACCCTGCCAGGCCCCATGATCTGCTGTTAATTCACTGTGTGAACATGGTTAGGCCCATTGCATTATCTGGGCCTCCGTTTTCTCATCATTGGAATCTCTGGGATGAACAGTATCATCCCTAACTCTGTTTAGAGATAAACTGATTAAGGTCCCATTGCTTGGTCAGTGTGTGTTTCAACTGTTTAATGAATACTCTTATACATTTTCTACTCTTTTTATGTAACCCAAATTTTTGTAGTTACAACAGAAGCAAGACACTGTGGAGAGTGCAAAGATGAAAGATGTGGCCTCTTCTCTCAAGCACTTTATAAACAAGTTCTAAATCTGTCAGTTGCCTAAGAGTAAAAGGCAGAGAGAGGCATGTTGGATGGATGGATGGGTAGATAAGATAGATGACAGATAGAAGATGTCTTCTTGTGATATATTCCACAGATCATCTGGATTCTTCACTTTCCTTTTTAAATCCTAGCACTATCCTGACATGAATGGTAAGCGGATGGCAGGGGGCAGGGTACTGTCATGTGGGTTACAGGAAGATAAAATTCAAAAAATCAGAATTTTATTTTTGTGTTTATTTTGTGTGACCATAAACAAAGGTTGAGTAATTCCAGGTCTTGGTTCAAGAAACACTATCAATGATCCATGCTTATTTTCATTTCATTCATTATAATTTAATCATGTAAAAGCATGTATATATCTATTGCCCAATCCATGAATAAGAACCTTATCATTTACTTAATTTAAAGCTCTCCTCTTCCAATTTCCTTGCCTTTCTCTCCTAACCAAGTCCAAAGATAATAATTACTTTAAATTTTGTGGATCGTTAAATTTACTTTTAGTTTATAAAATCTTCGTCACATACTCACATGTATACAACACAGGCACATATATCTGAACTATAGATATTATTTAGTCTTGCGTATATCTTAACTTTACAAAAAGGCTGTCGTATCGAAAACAATTTATGTTTTGCTTTTCAACCAAACATTATGTTAATAAGATTTATCTCTGTTGGGTGTGGTCATAGTTCATTCATTTTTACAGCTGTATACTATTTTATTATGTGAATATACTATGATGTCTTCACCTACTCCCCTTTAGTGAGCACTTGGGTGGTTTCTAATGGTATAATAATGCAAAAGCACTGCTATTCCCATTCTTAAATATGTCTCCTGAATACCTGTGCAAGAATTGTCCTTCCGTGTATACCTAGAGGTACAATTCCTGGGCAGCTGCATATGTGAATGTTTAATTTTACAAGCTAGTGGGTAATTGTTTTCCAATGTGGATAGGTCAAATTGAAGTCAACCATAAAGTATAAAAAAGCCTACATTAGAATTTAATTATTTGGTCAACAAACATTTATGGTGAGCACATCAGATACTGTGCTTTATGCTAGGGACAAAAAGGATGCAACAACAGAGAAGTTACCGCATCTCAGTGGGGCTACGCGCAAGCCAGGGAAGAATTAGAATAACATCATGAGTGCAAGGAGTGGTGGTTATTACATTCCTGACAAAGCAGAAAGAAAGGGCCTCCAATTCTAACTTGGAAGTCAAAGAAGTATGGAGCAAAAAGGGGTGATAGACAACATCTAGTCCAACACATTCATTTTCTAGGCAAGGCCATAAATGCCTGAGTGAAACTTGGGGAAAAGATAGCAAGGGGTAGTCAAAAAAAATCATCCATAAAATAAAAAAAATAAAAATCTCATGATTATATTGTGGTGACTTTTAAATGAAATGCTTCATATAAAGAGTTTAGCAGACTTCCAATCCACGTAAACAACTAAGTAATGTTAACAATTATTTTATCAGCCAAGGTAGTGCCTCAATTGTGGTTCAGACAATTGAGTGATTGATGTTCCATTCATTAAGATGAAGAGCAGAGGGAGAGGATATGTGGGGATGGGGAGATACTCACATACAGAAGCCTGCTGGATACAAGTCTGAATTCAGAGATATAGATGTTGGTGTCATTAGCTGGAGCTCTGGGGAAAGAGTGTGTAAACGAGAAGATTGGAAGCATAACCCTGCAAAATAGGAATATTTAAGTGGGAAGAATAAGTAGAGCCCACAAATACCTGAGAAGTGAAATGAAATATACCAAGAGATTTGGGGGTGTGAGGAACATGCGTGGAATCTAGAGAGCAGAGCATTTTAAGGAGGAAGTAACCCTGCCAAATGAAGAAACGGTTCATTGGAATGACCACCAAAGATGGTTTGGGAAACCCTGGGAAACTTAATGTCAGTGGAGTGTTGAAGGCTGAAACTTATATATCCCAGGTTTCAAGTAAATATTAGATGAAGAGGAAGGAATAGCTGATAAGAGAAAGAGAGGTAACTAGAAGAAGCATTGGCTCAAATAAACGATCTATGTTAAACATATTAATAGACTGAAAGAAAGAAGCTAATGAAGAGAGAATTTGAAAATACAAGAGAAGCCCTTAATTGACAGAATGAAAACCTTCTGAGTGGAGCGTATTTAAATCCTCTTCCTTTTAACTGGAAGTTTGATGAGCTTTGCTTTGGAGCTAATTGACAGTTTCCTTTAGCCCCTAGCCTACTCAGACAAAGAGGTTATTCTAGATAATCAAGTATTATCTCTGAGTCTTTCAGATACAATATTTGTAACTTTTACTAATGCAGCATTCTCCATTGTTTCCTAGAATCTGAAAATAAGGATCATCTGCTATCCAACCATCTGATTTTATTAATGAGAAAATTTTGATCCTAGAATTTTAATCCACTAAACTAAGGTCATGATAAATATCACAATAAATTAGTGATGGAGATAGAAATGATGTCCACGGCTTTTGAACCCGGTTTAAAAATAGTTTATTCCACGTGTACCAAACACATAAAACAGACAAAACATCTGTCCTTGTGGCTAACACAAGATTATTTTCACAAGACCAAATTGTCCTTACATATTTGTTTTTATGTCTCTTTAAAAAATATGACTACAAATTACTGAGGCTCCTTCAGTGAAGACTAGAGCCAATTCTCACCTTATTTTGCCATTAAGACTTTGCACCCTCCATTTGTTTAAGTCCTATCAGCTTAGTACGATTCATAATATTGGAAAATAGGTAGAACAAATGAGGGTCCCATTTCTTAGTACATCATCTGAGCCATTACTCTGTCATCATTCACCAGATTCCAGCATTGTGATGATAGATCTCCACTTCCTTTCCTCTAACATGCAAATATCTTTATTATTATGTAAACAGCAAAGGGGATAATATATTTGAATTTTCTGGCATATAGTAGATATTCAGTGGGAGGTAAGTTTGAAAATTTTTGAGACAGATAAAGAACGTTCAAACAAAAACAAAACAAAGAATTGGAAGAAAACTTAGAGATCATTTTGCCCAACAAAATTGCTTTGTGGAGGCTCTGCAACCCGGGGAAGCAGGCGAGGAGACCCATGCACAGTCACATGAACAATCAGCAACCTCACTGCACCTCGAACCTGGATCTTCTAACGTTCTGCCACGAACTTCTGGTTGAGGTCAAATTGTGTTGTTTTGTGAAGGGCAGTCTAAGGAATATGGGCTTCAGACAATGGAGACCTATCAAAAGGTTACAAGGAGTAACATGATAAATTGCTCATTAGGGCTTGACACCCAGTGTGTGTAATAATTGGCAAGGACCGGGACTGTGGGAAGAGTTCTTGCCCTGTGGATGGGAGGCTCCATTTATCTGGTGAGCTCTCTCTATTTCTAAATTTAATAAACCATGAAAACTTTGACTTCCAACAGCACCCTAAAAATAATCAAAGAGATCACAAAAATGCCAACAGATGCACAAATTCAGTTTCCACATGCCTGCCCCAGCTCCAGCAGGACCCTGGGTACCTGAAGGCACTTGGTATGCACTGAGCTGATCAAAAAACATCAGTGAGAACATATTTCATCTGTGGACATAATTTTTTTTTCAGTACAGTGACTTTCACTCCCGACTAAAAAAGAAAGTGCTCAAAAAAGAGAGAAAAAAACGAAAAGCAAAGTCTTTATATCAAAGCCGTATTGATTTTTTTCATTTACAAAACTCGACCATGCCTGTCTATTAAAAATAGAATGTCTAAGGGCCTGAACTTATATCCCACCAAGAACTCAGACTTTCTGCTGACTTCAAGGCAGCCTTCTCAGTTAGAACAAAAGCAGAAGAGGCCAAGAAAGGGCTAGGAAATCAAATCTCAAATCCAGGTCTTCAAAACATTGCTTTCTTATTCTATCATCACCTTCCACAAAGTTTTTGAGTTGAACTATCACACGAGAGATATCAAAGGGCTTTATGAGAAATGCCATGTGTGAGTGAAAGCAAGAGAGTCAACAGACATCTGAGTTCCTATCTTGTCACAGAGGCTGCACTGGAAGTGGTAGAATAAATGACTCCCAAAACTGCCTCTGAAGACTAATGGCCCATCCCTCTCCAGCAGCCACCCTGTACCCCAAACACCTGAACTGCAATTTGCAGCCCAACTGCAAGTGTGATGTTGACCCCCAACATCTCCAAATATTTGCCTACATTTTTACCCTTTCATACTTCAACACCCAGCCTAAGTGTCTGCAATTACTCTGGACACTCTGAAATTATGTTTAACTGTCTTCTTTCTCCATGGAAATGGGAACTCATTCTGCAAAGGCACCAGGCCTCGTTCACTTTGGACCTCCTGCATTTACCATAGAGGTGAATGATAGGTGTTTCTTGAAGAATGCAAGGGCAAATGAAGATGGAATGCATCAGACACAGATTCTGCCATCAATTAAGCATCTAGGAGGGGAAGTAGCAACAGCCCAAAGTTAATAGAAATCCCAAGCAAAGTGCTAAATGTGATGAGGAGTGCTCAGAGGAAAGGCTTTAAAAGCAGATACTGGAGAGTATCTACTGCTGCAGGATAGGGTAGGCTTCATGGGAGGAAGTGCCATATGAAATTGACCTTAGAGGATGTCTAGGATTAAACTAACTGAACCAGGCAGGCGCTTGTAAAGATTAAATGCAACATAAGCAAATTCCTGGGTCCATAGTGGGTGTTTTTTAAAAAGGCAGTTAATAATAATAACGCTCTAGTATCAAATAACTATGACAGTTGTTAGTACTTCCATTTTATTTCTTTCATGCCTTTACCATCCTGGAATCTCTGGCCAAATGAGTTTGAAATTGGTATGTCTTACCAACCACAAAGTCATATTAACAGCCTTTGCCCAACTGGGCATGGAAGATATTGAGCTCCCGGTTTGTTTAGCTTTGGGCTTAGCATTTATTCATAGAACTTGGTTTAACTGGCAAAACCACAGTGTTAGTTCATACTCTATTCTTTATGGCCAGGAATCAACTCAGATTTTTCATTTTCCCAAAAAGAATGCTCCAAAATTGGCACTATTTATCCAGATGCCTCCTTTAACCCTCCCTTTAACCAGATGCGCTTCCCTCTAAAACATACCATGAACTTTCATCTCAATGACATTAGAGTACCAAACAGTAACAGAGGGCTCTTGCTCTTCAAATAAGATATATAATAGGTGTTCTGCCTACTCCTAAAATGGTTATGGATTTTTTTTAAACCCATGTATATTTATAAGGTGCCTGTATCATTATTGGTTCTGAACTCAGCTGCAGTCAACACTGACTTCATTCTCCTAAATGTTCTTCTGGCTCCAGTTTCTCCTTCGCCAGTCCATTCTCACATGACACCAGCATGGTCTACCCGAAACACAGATTTTCTCATGTCCCTTCACTGCTTCAAAGCCCTCTATGACATTCCATTCTCTTCTGCAGTGGTTTTCAAACGGGGTTCCACCCAATCTTAAGGATTTTTCTGTCTATGAATGACTTTCTTAAGGGACTAGAATGGACAGTACTGCAGAGACATGGAACTGGAAATGGCAAGTTCACAGTTTTTAAATCAGTGGCTTATTGATTAAAAAGAAAAAGTCAACAAAACTCATCGAAAAGTGTTCAAAGCCTTTACAATCTTGCTATTACTTCCCTACCTGTCCAACCTTTACATGCCCTATATATATATACCTAATGCTTCCACTGACAACTCTCTACATCTTAAAATTCCATGCCTTAATACATGTCATTAATATCTGCTTACAACCACTCATCCTACAATCATTCTCCCTCGGTAAACTCACATTAATCCTTTAATACTCAGCTCAAATGTCTCGTCGTCTGTCAATCCTTTCTCAGCTCCCCCAGGAGAAGTTAGATGTGCCCTCCTCTTTGTTTCTTTGACAGTGGCCCCATGTGAATACTTTGGTATCTATTCCTCAGTTACAAAGTTGAGTAGAAAAACAAAATTAACCTAACACAAAAATAGTCATAAATAAGCTTTTTTTTATAAAAAAAAAAAAGGAAAGAAAACAAGAAAAATAATACAAAACAAAACAAAAAAAGAGTTCCTGATATAACCAGTCTCTATCTCCATGAACAACTCTGTTTTCTTGTTGATTATTCTATGCATGTCAAGTATTTCAAATGTTATACAAATACTTTTGGAGTTGTTTACAAAATGAAATTGTAACTTTTTCAAAGACATAGAATTTCATGAACTCAATAAAAGTAATGTCGGAGAATTGCCAAAAGCATAAGATATCTATTGACAAGTTCGAATAGACAATTATCAAGTAAAAAAAGACAAAATCTACACACTGAACCGGTACTTCAGAAGAGAATATAAATATTAAAGGATTACAGTGGTCATTTGTAAAATCGATGATCCCCTTAGAGAGCTTGACACTTTAAATTAATAACACTAAGCTAACTACCATAACAAACAGCCCGACATCTCAGAGGCTTAACCTAAATGCAA
Source organism: Homo sapiens (assembly GCF_000001405.40). NCBI lineage: Eukaryota > Metazoa > Chordata > Mammalia > Primates > Hominidae > Homo > Homo sapiens. The sequence continues at coordinate 135,795,096 of NC_000008.11, read as the reverse complement.
GTGTGTTTCTCACTCACATGGTCTAATGTGGATGGATCAGGGTGTGTTGGGGAAAGAGGCAGACGTTCCTCCCTCCACTCAGGCTCCCTCTGTCCGTGGAGCTCTGCCGTCTTCTAGAGCAGGGACGGGAAATCTGTGCCAGGTAGTAAATACTTTCAGCTTTGTGGGCCACTTGATCCCAGTCACAACCACTCAATTCTGCCACTGTAGCATGAAAGCAGTCATAAACAATACATAAATAAATGGGCATGGCTGTGTTCCTATAAATCTATATTTACAAAAACAAGTGGTGGGCTGGGTATGGCTTACTGTCTGAGGTTTGCCAGTTCCTGTTCTAGAGCTTCCTCCTCCTCTTTACTCAAAAGGTAGAGGGGGCCAGTTGCGGTGGCTCACACCTGTAATCCCAGAACTTTTGGAGGCCAAGGCAGGCGGATCATTTGAGGTCAGGAGTTCGAGACCAGCCTGGCCAACATGGTAAAACCCTATCTCTACCAAAAATATAAAAAATTAGCCAGGCGTGGTGGTGCACGCCTGTAATCCCAGCTGCTCAGGAGGCTGAGGCAGGAGAATCACTTGAACCCAGGAGGTGGAGGTTGAAGTGAGCCAAGATCGTGCCACTGCACTCCAGCCTGAGTGACAGAGCGAGACTCCATCTCCAAAAAAAAAAAAAAAAAAAAACATAGAGGGGAAATAGAGAAGAAAAGCAAGACACACCTCATAAGGCTATTAATGCTTATACATTCCATGCTAGACTATTAGCTCTATTAAGGATTTTTGCCTGATTTGGCCACTGATCTATCCTGAATGTCTACAGAAGTGTATGTAGGTGCTCAATAAATATATATTCGATGAAATGATTGAATACATTACTATAATTTTATAAGACAAAATAAGTACTTAACCAATTTGTGCATTCTAAAAATTAAAAGTAGTACCTAATGTCTGTTGATCATTTAATACAGGTACTGCTCTAAAATCCATTTTGTGTAATATACCATTAAGTCTCTGACAACAGCCCTGAGAAATAAGTTCTATTATTATCATCTTTTTCATTCAAATGAGAAAACTGAGGCACAGAGATGTTGATCGTAGTTCTAATGTCACTGAGCTATGATTCCTTATTCTTGAAATGCACTTTTTAAATTTCTAATTTCATGTTTCCAAAATCTAATCTCAGTCATCTTTTTTTTTTCTATACCACTTCATATGACATTTTCTTCTTTTAAAACCAAATTGCTTTCAGGTGTCTTTTCTTGGTACCAATTTTTCTCCCTTTGTGATAAGTTCTTGTTATTTTCTTTTATTTCATGTTGCAAGTATGCCACTTATCAATGTATTGCCACTCAGCTGCAAAGTAACCCCTCAATGACAGCCCTGCAAAAAAATGGAGCTGGGCCCTTTAAATATTTTTCCATTGTTACCTTTACCAATAGACGGTGCTGAAAAGACATTGCAGGAAGAAAGGTACTCCTCTTGAGCTTCTCCTGCACCTCCCAAGGTTGTTAGGGGTGAGTTAAAAGAAAAAAGCAATACAGAATACCTGACACACAGTTTGTGCACAGGTAATGCTGTTTCCATTTCTTGATGAGTGTTCACATCTGCTTTTAATATTGTGGCTGATTAGCAACAGAATGTGGGGGTGAAAGAAATGTAGAAATTTTTGTTTCCTTTTTACCCCATTATCTTTGGAGGAAAAAGACCACAAGCAGTGCCCCACTACAGAAGTCTTGCAAACAAGAGGATTTATTAAATTATTTACGATCATGAATTTACAAATCAATTAATGTAAACTTCGCTATTTAGTCCTTTTTGAGGGGAATGCAGAAATAGAAACTGTATTATGCTATATCCAAAACAAATTGTCCTGTGACCTCTATTTACTAGATCTTCAATCACCTGCGAAAGATTTTAAAGTTGAGTGTTTTTGCTGTTGTTTGGTTCATTTGTCAATTTGTTTTGCAAATTTAGAAAAACACTCTGGAGGAATTTAATAAAAGACTGTTTTTTAAGGAACAAGGAAAACTGAAGAGATTGTCAAAATAATAACGATTATTTATCAAGACTGCAAAGCAAGTCATCTGTGATTATCAAAGAAACTCCAAAAGTTAGGAGGTATAATTGCCACATTATATTGAGGAAAAATAATTCAAAGGGATTATGAAATGTACTCAATAACACAAAGCTAGAAAGTGACTTGGCCGGGATTAAAACCCCAGATCTGAGTGACTGTGAACACGCCTTCTTGACCTGACACCATGACACTTCTCTCACAAACTGTGACAATAACGTTTGCTAAAACCAGATTGCAAGCCCATGTTTGCCTGACTCTATCGCAAATACTCTCCTCCTATAAGGGGCAGCAGGACAGGAGGCAGAAGGAGAGTCAGAGCCAAGCACAATATTTACCACACATTTCAGATTATGACATACTCTAAGGTAAGAATTTTGGTAGGAAACGATAGAATTTCAAGACCAACTGGCTCAGCAAGTTGCAATAAAGGGAAATTATTGACTGGTGCAACTGGCAAGTCCTGATATAAAGCTGGCCTCAGGCATAGCTATCTACCTGAGCTGAGATCATGATGACAGTGTTTCACCTTTCTGTCCACCTGTCTGTCTCTGATTATCTTTGGTCACTGGCTTTATTCTATCTGAATACAGACAGTCCCCAAGTTACGATGGTTCAACTTATGATTTCATTATTTTATGATGGTATGAAAGCAATATCCATTCAGTAGAAACCGTACTTCAGATTTTGAATTTTGACCTTTTCCTGGGCTAGCAGCATGTGGTATGATACACTCTCATGGTGGTGGGCAGTGACAAGGAGCTGGAACTCCCAAACAGCCACAGGATCATGAGGTAAACAACCAACACTCTAGTGTGCTGTGTTGACAGTGTTTTTTGGATACTGTGTTTAGTGTTTTCACATCCTGTCATGTCTTCAAAACACCCATTTGTATACAGTATTCAACACTTTATTATAAAATAAGCTCTGTGTTTGGTAATTTTGCCCAACTAATGTAAGTGTTCTGAGCATGTTTAAGGTGGGCTAGGATAGGCTATGATGTTCAGTAGGTTAGGTGTATTAATTGCCTTTTGGACTTTTCAAGTTATGATGAGTTTTTTGGGACATAACCCCATAGTAAGCCAAGGAGCATCTATATAGTCAAGCCTTTTCCACGTGACAGGCAAAACAGCTACCTTCAGCCCCCAGGCCATGTTCACAACCCTTGATCTAAAAGATCACAACTATTGCTTATCTATTTTTTGGATTTTTCAGTGTTTTTTTCATTGATTCTTTCTCATCTTCATGAGTTTGTCTAGTTTTGATCTTTGAGGCTGCTGACCCTTAAATGAGGTTTTTGTGGGAGTATTTTGTTGTTGTTGATGCTATTGTTTCTGCTTTCTGTTTTTCTTTCAATGGTCAGGTCCCTCTTCTGTAGGGCCGCTGTGGTTTGCTGGGGGTTCACTTGAGGCTCTATTCATCTGGTTTGCTCCCGCACCTGGAGATATCACTCAAGGGGGCTGGAGAATAGCTCATCTATTGCCAATTTAATAAAGTCTGGGCAAAGTCTCAAATTGGCTGAAATCGTTGGACTCTTCTAACCACCTGAAAGTGTGAGGCATCACCAAAATCATCCGGAGGGAGAATAAAGTGCCCCGAATCATGAGCAGCCAACAAGAAGCTCTCACTGCATACAAAATATACACATGCATACAAGCCAACATTACAGCATAATTCCAACATCCCTAAGATAAAATAAGTGATAAAGCATGGAACATTTTTACAAATAAAATCAGCTAAATCAGGGAGCAGGGCCAGGATGGCCAACTAGAAGCCGCAGTGGTCAGAGGCTCCATCGAAAAGAGCCATAATAGCATGTGAATCCTGCACCGGCAACCAAGGTATCCAGGTTCTCTCATCAGAACTGACTAGGTGGCCGGCGCGACCCACGGAGAGGAAGGAAGAGCAGTGTGGTTCAGCGGCGCACTTGAGAGCCACACGGGGCAGAGGAGCCCCCTGCCAGCCAAGGGAGGCAGTGAGTGAGTGTGCTACCCAGCCGGGGAAACCATGCTTTTTCCACAGAACTGTGCAACCCACGGATTGGAAGATCCCACTCGTGAACCCATGCCACCGGGGCCTAGACTCCCAACTCCAGAGCCACACAGATTCTCAATGGGCTCCCAGCTAGAATCTGCTTGAGCCTGCGGAATTCCAGGGAGAAGGAGCGACCAGCACCAGGGCTGTGGCTCCCTGCTGTCTGAGCCATTTAAGCTCCTTGGAGGAGGGGCAGCAACCAGCACTGGGACTGATAGCTGCCTAACACACTAAGCTCCCTGGATAGGGGAAGGGCAGCAGCCATCTCTATAGCTCCAGGCTGCGCTTTTCCCTTGCTGGAGCCAGGAAGGCTAGATGGCTTGGTCCCAAGAGGTGTCCCCCACAGCCCAACACACCAGCTGTGGCAGACTGTCGCCAGAGTGCCCCTTCAGGCCTGACCCTGACCCATCCCTACTCACTGGGTGGGGCCTCCCTGCAGGAACTCCAACAACTCCAGCCAGGCACTCAGGCACAGAAATCTGATCTCCCTGGGCCTGAGCCCCTAGAGGGAGGGGTGGCCACAATCTCTGTGAACCAGCAGACTTAGCCTTTCCTCCTGCTAGTTCTGAGGAATCCGGGCAGCCCAGACGAGTGGGTTTTCCCCCAGCAAAGCTCACCTCCTCCACCAAGGGACAAAGTGCTTCACTAAAAGGGTCCTGATCCCCGTGCCACCCAACTACGTGAGACCCTCCAAGAGGGGTTGTCAGACACCTTATACAGGAGTGATCCTTCTGGCATCATGTTGGTGCCCTTCAAGGTCAGAGATCCCAGAAGAAGGAGCCGGCACCCATCTAGCTATTCTCCAGCCTCCTTGAGTGATATCTCCAGGTGGGGGAGCAAACCAGATGAATAGAGCCTGAAGTGAACCCCAGCAAACCACAGCAGCCCTACAGAAGAGGGACCTGATCATTGAAAGAAAAACAAGCAAGCAGAAAGCAACAACAGCATCAACAACAAAAAAAGTTCCCATAAAAACCCCATCTAAGGGTCAGCAGCCTCAAAGATCAAAACTAAACTCATGAAGATGAGAAAGAATCAATGAAGAAAACACTGAAAACCCAAAAGGCCAGAGAGCCTCTTCTCCTCCAAATTATCTCAATGCCTCTCCAGCAAGGGCACAGAACTGGATGGAGGATGAGATAGATGAATTGACAGAAGTAGGCTTCAGAAAATGGGTAATAACAAACTCTGCTGAGCTAAAGGAGCATGTTCTAACCCAATGCAAAGAAGCTAAGAACCTTGATTAAAGGTTAGAGGAGCTGCTAACTAGAATAACCAGTTTAGAGAGACACATAAATGACCTGTTGGAGGTGAAGAACACAGCATGAGAACTTCATAAAGCATACACAAGTATCAATAGCCAAACTGACCAATCAGAAGAAAGGATATTAGAGTTTGAAGACCACCTTGCTGAAACAAGGCATGAAAACAAGATCAGAGAAAAAAAAGAAGGGAAAGGAATGAACAAAGACTCAGAGAAATATGGGACTATTTAAAAAGACCAAACCTATGATTGATTGGAGTACCTGAAGGAGATGGGAAGAATGGAAACAAGCTGGAAAACACACTTCAGGATATTATCCAGGAAAACTCCCCCAACCTAGCAGGACAGACCAATATTCAAATTCAGGAAATGCAGAGAACACCACTGAGATACTCCATGAAAACACCAACCACAAGACACATAATCATCAGATTCTCCAAGGTCAAAATGAAGGAAAAATTGTTAAGGGCAGCCAGAGAGAAAGGCCAGGTCATCTACAAAGAGAAGCCCATCAGACTAACAGTGGACCACTCAGCAGAAACCCTACAAGCCAGAAAAGAGAGGGACCAATATTCAACATTCTTAAAGAAAAGAATTATCAACCCAGAATTTCATATCCAGCCAAACTAAGCTTCATAAGTGAAGGAGAAATAAAATCCTTTTCAGACAATGAAATGCTGAGGGATTTCATCACCACCAAGGACTGCCGTGCAAGAGCTCCTGAAGGAAGCACTAAATATGGAAAGGAAAAACCAGTACCAGCCACTGCAAAAACACATCAAAATATAAAGACCAATGACACTATGAAGAAACTGCATCAACTAGTGTGCAAAATAACCAGATAGCATCATGATGACAGGATCAAATTCACACATAACAATACTAACCTTAAATGTAAATGGGCTAAATGTCCCGATTAAAAGATACAGACTGGCAAATTGGATCAGGAGTCAAGACCCATTGGTGTGCTGTATTCAGGAGACCCATCTCACATGCAGAGACACACATAGGCTCAAAATAAAGGCATGAAGCAAAATTGACCAAGGAAATGGAAAGCAAAAAAAAGCAAGGGTTTCAGTTTTAGTGTCTGAAAAAGAGATTTTAAACCAACAAAGATCAAAAAAGACAAAGAAGGGCATTACATAATGGTAAATGGATCAATTCCACAAGAAGAGCTAACTACCCGAAATAAATATGCAACCAATTCAGGAGCACCCAGATTCATAAAACAAGTTCTTAAAGACCTACGAAGAGACTAAGACTCCCACAAAATAATAGTGGGAGACTTTAACACCCCACTGTCAATATTAGACAGATCAACGAGACAGAAAATTAACAAGGATATTCAGGACTTGAACTCAGCTCTGGATCCAGTGGACCTAATAGACATCTACAGAACTCTCCACCCCAAATCAACAGAATATACATTCTTCTCAGTGCCACAGAACACTTATTCTAAAATCAACCACATAATTGGAAATAAAACACTCCTCAGCAAATGCAAAAGAACCAAAGTCATAACAAACAGTCTCTCAGATCACAGTGCAATCAAATTAGAAATCAGGATTAAGAAACTCATTCAAAATCACAAAATTACATGGAAATTGAACAACCTGCTCCTAAATAACTGCTGGGTAAATAATGAAATTAAGGCAGAAATCAAGAGGTTGTTTGAAACCAATGAGAACAAAGAGATAATGTACCAGAATCTCTGGGACACAACTAAAGCACTGTTAAAAGGGAAATTTATAGCACTAAATGCCTACATCAGAAAGCTAGAGAGATCTCAAATCGACACCCTAACATCACAATTAAAAGATCTAGAGAAGCAAGAGCAAACAAATCAAAAAGCTAGCACAAGACAAGAAATAACTAAGGTCAGAGCAGAATTGAAGGAGATAGAGACACGAAAAACTCTCCAAAAAACCAGTGAATCCAGGAGGTGTACTTTTTCAAAAACTAACTAAATAGATAGATGACCACTAGCTACACTAATAAAGTACAAAAGAGACAAGAATCAAATAGACACATTAAAAATGATAAAGGGGATATCACAACTGATCCCACAGAAATACAAAACTACCATCAAAGAATATTATAAACACCTCTATGCAAATAAACTAGAAACTCTACAAGAAATGAATAAATTCCTGGACATACACACCCTCCCAAGACTAAACCAGGAAGAAGTCAAATCCCTGAATAGACCAATAACAAGTTATGAAATAGAGGCAGAAATTAATAGCCTACTGACGGAAAAAAGCCCAGGACCAGACAGATTCACAGCCAAATTCTACCAGAGGTACAAAGAGGAGCTGGTACCATTCCTTCTGAAACTAATCCCAATGATTGAAAAGGAGGGACTCCTTCCTAACTCATTTTATGAGGCCAGCATCATCCTGATACCAAAACCTGGCAGAGACACAACAAAAAAAGAAAACTTTAGGCCAATATCCCTGATGAACATCAATGCAAAAATCCTCAATAAAATACTGGCAAAACAAATCCAGCAGCATATCAAAAAACTTATTCACCACAAACAAGTTGGCTTCATCCTTGAGATGCAAGGCTGGTTCAACATACGCAAATCAATCAATGTAATCCATCACACATAAACAGAACCAAACACAAAAACCCCATTATTATCTCAATAGATGCAGGCAAGGACTTTGATAAAATTCAACATCCCTTCATTTTAAAAACTCTCAATAAACTAGATATTGATGGAACATATCTCAAAATAATAAGAGGTATTTATGACAAGCCCACAGCCAATATCATATTGAATGGGCAAAAGCTGGAAGTATTCCCTTCAAAAACTGGTACAAGACAAGGATGCCCTCTCTCACCCCTCCTATTCAACATAGTATTGGGAGTTCTGGCCAGGGTAATCAGGTAATAGAAAGAAATAAAGGATATTCAAATAGGAAGAGAGGAAGTCAGATTATCTCTGTTTGCAGATAACATGATTCTATATTTAGAAAACATATTGTCTCAACCCAAAACTGCTTAAGCTGATAAGCAAATTCAGCAAAGTCTCAGGATACAAAATAAATGTGCAAAAATAACAAGCATTCCTATACACCAAATATAGACAAGCAGACAGCCAAATCATGAATGAACTCCCATTCACAATTGCCACAAAGAGAATAAAATACCTAGGATTACAGCTACCATGGGATGTGAAGGACCTCTTCAAGGAGAACTACAAACCACTGCTCAAGGAAATAAGAGAGGACCCAAACAAATGGAAGAACATTCCATGCTCATGGATAGGAAGAATCAATATTGTGAAAATGGCCATACCACCCAAAGTAATTTATAGATTCATTGCTATTCTTATCAAATTTCACAGAATTAGAAAAAAAAAACTTTAAATTTCATATGGCACCAAAGAATAGCTTCTATAGCCAATACAATCCTAAGCAAAATGAACAAAACTGGAGGCATCACGCTACCTGACTTCAAACTATACTTCAAGGCTACAATAACCAGAACAGTATGTTACTGGTACAAAAACAGACATATAGACCAATGGAGCAGAACAGAGGCCTCAGAAATAACACCACACATCTACCACCATCCGATCTTCGATAAACCTGACAAAAACAAGCAATGGAGAAAAAATTTCCTATTCAAAAAAGGGTGCTGGGAAAGGTGGCTGGCCATATGCAGAAAAATGAAACTAGACCTCTCCCTTATACAAAAATTAACTCAATATGGATTAAAGACTTAAATGTAAAATCCCATACCATAAAAACCCTAGAAGAAAACCTGGGCAATACCATTCAGGATATAGGCATGGGAAAAGACTTAATGATGAAAATTCCAAAAGCAATTGCAACAAAAGCCAAAATTGACAAATAGGATCTGATTAAACTAAAGAGCTTCTGCAGAGCAAAAGCAACTATCATCATCAGAGTGAACATGCAACCTACAAAATGGAAGAAAATTTTTGCAATCTACCCATCTGACAAGGGTCTAATATCTAGAATCTAAGGAACATAAACAAATTTACAAGAAAAACAAACAAACAACCACATCAGAAAGTAGGCAAAGGATATGAACAGACACTTCTCAAAAGAAGACACATATGTAGCCAACAAACACATGGAAAAAAGCTCATCATCACTGATCTTTAGAGAAAAGCAAATCAAAACCACAATGACATACCATCTTATGCCAGTCAGAATGCCGATTATTAAAAAGTCAAGAAACAATAGATACTGGTGAAACTGTAGAGAAATAGGAACACTTTTACACTGTTGGTGTGAATGTAAATTAGTTCAACCATTGTGGAAGACATTGTGGCAATTCCTCAAGGATCTAGAACCAGAAATACCATTTGACCCAGCTATTCCATTACTAGGTATACACCCAACAGATGTAAATCATTCTACTATGAAGACACATGCACATGTATGTTTATTGCAGCACTATTTACAATAGCAAAGACATGGAACCAACCCAAATGCCCTTCAATGATAGACTGGATAAAGAAAATGTGGTACATATACACCATGGAATACTGTGCAGCCATAAAAAGGAATGAGATCATGTCCTTTGCAGGGGACATGGATGAAGCTGGAAGCCATCTTCCTTAGCAAACTAACGCAGGAACAGAAAACCAAACACTGCATGTTCTCACTCATAAGTGGGAGTTGAAAAATGAGAACACATGGACACAGGGAGAGGAAAAACACACACCGGGGGCTGTGGGGGGTAAGGGGCCGAGGGAAAGAAACCTAGATGATGGGTCAATAGGTGCAGCAAACCACCATGGCACACGTATACCTGTGTAACAAACCTGCACGTTCTGCACATGGATCATGTGCTGCAGCCTACATGATCATCCATCCTGAGTTTATCGAAAGCCCTAAGCCATTCCCAATCAATTGTTGCTGGAAATTAAAGTAAAATAGAATTAAAAATCAGCTAAATCAAAATTATATTATTGTTCTGTAAGCATCACAATTTTTTCCTCAAATGAGGAATCAAAATAGGTATCTCACAGAGAGACCTCTGATTACATAATGACTGAGCCTTGCCAGTCATTATGCCTTGGCTTGTCACGTGTGTTTGGGTGTTATAAATTGTAAGTAGTATCAAGGGATCATAATGTTATGATATTTTTGTGCAACAATCAGTACCCTTTGCTACTGTATTCTCAGAAGACTATATGTCTTCAATGCTGAGTGATGTTTAATTGGCATCTAAAAGGATACCCTAAGCTCTGATATTTCTATATGTTAAACCAACACTAACACAAAAGCAAGCTTACAGTCTGTGGGGCACATGCTTTCAAGATAATACATTTTAAAAGGTTCAGTGGCCAAAACATACCGTAATTAGATAAGTATAATCCAAAATAGTTGATAAAACTCTATGAGAACTCTCAAAAAGAGAAACTATTCGGCTTTTTCTAAAACTATGGTGTCTCATTTTAGATTTCCTTAAGAGCAAAGCCCAAGACATAAATTTGCAAAAACAGTTCAAAAGGTGATCACAGGAAGCAGAAGAAAGGAATGGTGAGACAGGGAAGGAGGAAAAGCTAATAAGTTTGCCAGAACCTTGATCCTGGACTTCCAGCCTTCAAAACTTAGCAAATAAATTTCTGTTGTGTAAGTCAGCATTTCCCCAACCTTTTTGGCACCAGGGACTGGTTTCATGGAAGACAATTTTTCCATGTACCAAGAGGGCAGGGTGGGGGATGGCTTCAGATGATTCAAGCACATTACATTTATTGTGCACTTTATTTCTATATTATTGCATTGTAATGTATAACAAAATAATTATACAACTTACCATAATGTAGAATCAGTAGGAGCCCCGAGCTTGTTTTCCTGCAACTAGATGATCCTATCTGGGGGTGATGGGAGACAGTGACAGATCATCGGGCATTAGACTCTCATAAGGAGTGCACAACCTAGATCCCTTGCATGAGCAGTTCACAATAGGGTTCATGCTCCTATGAAAATCTAATGCCGCTGCTGATCCGACAGGAGGCGGAGCTCAGGTGGCAACGTGAACAATGGGGAGCAGGTGTAACTACAGATGACGCTTCACTCACTCGCCTGCTGCTCACCTCCTGCTGGGCGGCCCAGTTCCTAACAGGCCATGGACTGGTACCGGGTACACCAAGGGTCCCCCAGCCCCCATTACCGGTCTGTGGCCTAGAGATTGGGGACCACTGGTGTAAGTGATGCAACCCATGGTAGTTTGTAATGGGAGGTGCTGTGGTCACAATGTTTGTGTCTTCCCCAAAATTCCTACGTTGAAATCCTAACCCCCAAGGGCACTGAGAAGTGGAGCCTTTGTGGGTGATTAGACCATGGGAATGGAGCCGTCATTAGTCTCAGGGCAATGGGATTAGTGCCCTCATAGGAAAGGCCTGAGAGAGACCCCTCACCCCTTCCACCATGCGAGGACACATCATGAAGGTGACATCTATGAACCAGGAAATAGGCCCTCACCAGACACTGAATCTGCCAGAATCCTTATCTTAGACTTTCCAGCATCCAGACCTGTGAGAAATAAATTTCTGTTGCTTATAAACCACCCGGTTTGTGGTATTTTGTTCCCACAGCCTGAACAAACTAAAATGTAGCCCAAGCACACTCACTGCGTCACATTGCTAGGGACTGAGCACAGGACTCTGACTCCTTCATTCTTTATTATGTCAACAAGTATCAACTGAGCAAAACACTGTAACAAACCCCAGAGTTAGAGAGAGAATGACAGAGACACAGCCCTGGTCTGTATGTTGCACAGTCTTGTGGGGAAAGCCTAATATTGAAACCTATAAATTATAAAAATAACAACACAGCCATGATGCTAATGAGGAGTTGAGAGGGAAAAAAAAAAGGCTCTTGGTTCCTTGCAAGAATTGAAACTGGAAAGCTGGAAAAGACAATAACAGAGGAATCCACGTTGTTATTTGTTAGTTATCCAAGCTGGTCCTCAGAAACTTTATCTGAACCTGTTGTGGTTCAGAAAGGGAAACATGAGAGGTCTTGGTTAATGTCTTGCTGCAGCCTACGTGATCATCCATCCTGAGTTTATCAAAGGCCCTAAGCCATTCCCAATCAATTGTTGCTGGAAGATTACTTAATGGGGTTGCACAGAAAGCAGCTTAGCATCTGTTACTGCCAAGAGGTGAGGCATGTTTTGGTGTGGAATCCCAGCAGGAGATGACCCTTGCTACCAAGAGTTTAAAAATACCTTCTCCCAGTGCTGCAGCAAACTAATAAAGTGCCACGCCCACACTGAACACAGATGGAAATGGAATGCAGGCTCAGACCACAGGAGCTCATGCTAGACCAAAAGCTGCAGCATCACTCCACCCCAGGTACAATTTTGCAGATTGTATCTGTGGGATGCAAAAGTTTCCAGAACAACTCATTAGCAAAGATGCAGAATGTAAACTCTGCAATGTGGACAATGACAGGAGAAAACAGAGACTCAGTGACAATCTCTACCACTGTGGGAGGAGAATAACATAAAAGATACAGAAAAGCCCCAGTCCACATCACATCCACAAATGTTCAGTGCAGCTTTATTTATGATAGAAGACAAAACAAAAAGCTAGGAATGAACCCGAATGTTTATTGACAGGTAAATGGCTAAACAAATTCTACTGTATCCTTATTATGGAATACTACTCAGCAATAAAAGAATAAACTATTGGTACACACTGAACATACATAAATCTCAAAATAATCATAATAAATAAGAGTCCACACAGAAAAGACTGCATGCGTACTGTATGATTTCGCTTATGTAACTACTAGAAAATGTAAACTAATGTGTAGTGACATAAAGCCAATCAGTGGTTACTTGGGGATAGGGAGGGGGGAAGGGAAAGATGACAAAGGGGCCTGATGGATTTGTTCACCATCTGTCATGTTGATTTCTGTGATGGTTTCATAGGTGTAGACATATAACAAAACATCAACTGTTTCATACGTACAATTTATTCTATAACAATTATACATCAATAAAGCTGTTTTAAAGAGAGAGTACGAAACCTCATTCTCCTAAAACTCCTTCCTTGGTTACATTAGTAGCTAAGGGGCTAGAGACATATCAGATCCCAACTTGCACTTATTTTCTACCACTGGTGAAATAAACCCTGGACCTATCTCATTGCAGTGTTGGGATGGTCATTCTTTCAATAAATCCTGTTGTCTTCATCAAGTCTGAGTTAAAAGACTTCACATACTCATATCTGGGAGCTGAGGTTGGATGGAGGCTACCTGATTTTTAAAGTCAAGATTCGAATGCCCCAAAGAGATGAATCCAGATAGGACAGTCCCCTTCAGAGTCCTGAAGAGCTATTCTGTTTCTGCCTCCGCTGGCCACCGTTCACACAATCAGTGGCCGAACTGTTAAGAGAAGCACGTTCCTCTCCTCTATCTCAGGCTCCACCCAGGATGAATCTCTGAAGTGTGTCTCCCTCCACTCACTGAGAGCCAGCTCCTTTGAGGGCTTTTGCAGCTTCACTGAGTGTTTCTGGATGCTTGGGCTCACCTCCTCCTCCTCCTTCCTTCCAGCCACTACTCCACCTCAGAAGCCTCCAACTAAAAACACACCTAGGCCTGGCTCTGGACTCTGAAACTCTGCCCCCTGGAGCTTCATTTACTTTGCTTGCTTTCTCATGAAAAATATAGTTCACCGTTCTGTAGTTCTATAGAGGCCAGAAATGAGAAGAAAAGAAAACTGCCAAAGTGGTCACGTGGACGACCTGAATAAGACGTAAGATTTCATTTCCCAAAAGTGTCTCAGTTAAGCAAATATGTCCTCTGCACCGCGATAAGCAAAACACTTAGCCAAGCTCTGGAAGGGAAGAAAAGCTGAGTAGAAAGATGTCCTGCCCTCAGGGAATGTGTAAAGGACTCTCTGGAAAAATGTGTTGTTAAAAATGAGGGACAAAAGGAAAGCTTTGACAGTCCAGAGCAAGTCAAGATGATAGTCTGGACTTTTAGCAAAAACAGCCACTTCTCATAACACAGTAAGATGACAACAAAAAAATTCATTAAATGTAAAGCCATAAAGACAAGAAAGGTGAGGAAGGGGATGACAGCCCATGAGAGGGACAGCTGAATTTTAGACAATGGGAAGCAAACATACAAGGCAACTGACCCGTTAGACTTAAACCTGAGCCACCTAGAGGGGCACCCACAGGAAATGAGCTGTTCCTCATTGGCTATCCAATATCCATCCTGCTGTTGAAAAAAGAACCCAGTTTTGCTTAAAGTGCAACATGCCAACCCAAACAATAGGTCGTGACTGGTCCCAGCCAAGCATGATACTCCACTTTCCCAACCTCTCTCCTAGAGAGGTACAGCCATGTAAACAGTTCTGGCCAACAAGGCTAAAGCAGAAATCTTCTGAGGCAAATCCCAAGAATTATTTTGCTTTCTTACTCAAGGGAGATATACGCAGCCAGGACCATCAACACCCCCGCTTCTTTCTGACTGGAATGTAACTGTGATGGCTGGAGCTGGAACAGCCACTCTGCAATCCTGAGGAGAAGCACAAAAGGATTGCATAGACACTGACCCTGACATATTCAGGTGGCTGAACCAATGCAGAAACTGCTGACTTCAGACTTCTTGGTATGTGGGGAAGAAACTATTTGTTTCAGTCACTGCCCACAGGTTTCTGGTACTTGAAGTAGACTGCAGTTTTAGCCGACTCACAGAGATAAAGGAAGTGAGGCCCCTAAAACTAAGGCAGGGCAAAGAACATGTCATGGTGATGAGTAAGTCCCTGAATGGCAGCTGTGGAGCAGATCCAGAGTCAACAGAGCAGACTGGACAGGAGCAATCTAGAGCCAGAGGGATCTGAGAAGCATATGCAAGGGGAAAAAGGAAAATAATATGCAATGCATTTGAACAGATGCAGGGGTGATTTAGAATCTTTTGGGAGTTTAGGTATGACTTAATGGTAGGTGCATAGAAAGCTAAGCAAACAAAGACACAAGGTATTTAATAACTCCAGGAAAAAAATGGTTAGCGTGGAGACACATTAATTGCTGTGTAAATATTCCTTGAACAATGCTTCATAGTCATGTCATCTACAATGAATGATTTAACCAAAATTGGGACATAATGCTTTCTAGAGGTTGAAAAAAGGGAACATGAGTAGAGAGGGTGTAGGAGAGTTTATATCATACTCTTCCATAAAGTCAGTAGATGATATCTACAATTAAAACATCAATCAATAGTGGTAATATGGTGCGGATGAGTCCCCACCCAAATCTCACTTTAAATTCCCATGTGTTGTGGGAGGGACTCCGTGGGAGGTAACTGAATCATGGGGGCAGGTCTTTCCTGTGCTGTTCTTGTGATAGTGAATAGGTCTCACAAGAACTGATGGCTTTAAAAACAAGAGTTTCACTGCATAAGCTCTCTCTTGGCCTGCCACCATCCATGTAAGATGTGACTTACTCCTCCTTGCCTTCTGCCATGATTGTGAGGCCTCCCCAGTCATGCGGAACTGTAAGTCCATTAAATCTTTTTTTTTTTTTTTCCTTTGGTAAATTGCCAAGTCTTGGGTATGTCTTTATTAACAGTGTGAAAACAGATTAATACAAGTGGTAACAGCATTTTGTTTAGAAATAAGGGAGGTGATACCAGAAGAAACAGTACAGATACCAGAAGAGCAGAACATGGTTGCTTTGGAAAGCAGGAATTGAGAATATGGAAAAGTGGGGCAGGAAAGTGCTGTTTTTTGGCAATAATCTTTGCATAACTGCTTCTGTCCACTATTGTAGATACAAATATTACTTTGCTAAAGGTTAACTTCTTTAACCCCATTTGGTTAAGAAGAGCAGCAAAGTATTCTTGAAAGAAGTAGCTTATTTGATTGGCTGCTGTGTTAGACCCTTATATTCTACCTTGAAGCGGAAGGTCTTTCCTGATCAAAGATTGTATGGTACCACATTGTTCTTTTAAAATTACTTGCCATTTATCCAACAAGCATTTACGGTGCACCAACAATGAGACGGGCTCTGAGCTAGGCACCGGCTCTGCTTTTCTTCAACCCATGAGGCCTTTGCTGCCCAGAAGCATGGCTCACAGTGAGGCCAGTATGAAAAGGGGCACCTGAGACAAGGACGATTGCCCTCTGCACCCACCCTTCCACCCCGTGTCTCTCACGTAGACAAGGGCAGTAGCCTCGTATTGAGACACCCACTCTCCTCCTTTGTCCTCATACAACCTATTCACACAGGAGCCAGAGGAGTCCTTTTAACGTAGGTTAGATCAGTTCATTCTGCTGCCTCCAACCTCTACATCTTCCCGGCTCATTCGGCATAAAATCCAAATCCCTCCATGATCAAAAGGCTCCACCCAGCTGGGCCTCTTACTGACTCTCCTGAACATTCACAACCCCTGACATCCCTCTCCTGTCTTCATCTGCTTCTACCACTAATACTATGATGCACGCAATTACTTAGTATCTCTTTCTGCACCATGGACCACAACAAACAAGGCTAGTGACTTCACTGTGGTCATTACCGCAGCCCCCGCACATGGGACAGGGCCTGACACTAGGCATTCGTAGCTAGTTGTTGAGTGAATACAAGAACAGTAAGGAGGCACTGAAGATGACGTTAGTAGGTGAATGGTAACAGGTTTGAGCATTAAAAAAACATTATTGAGGTAGAATACACATACGAGTTAACATCTTTACCATTTTTAAGTGTACAATTCAGTGGTAATAAAAACATTCATATTCTCTTTTTCCCGTTAATCCCCCAACTCCAGCCCCATCCTCTGGCCTCTGGTAACCACCAATCTGTTTTCTATTTTCATGAGACCCCTTTTTTTTTCTTTGAGACAGAGTCTCTCTCTGTCACCCAGGCTAGAATGCAGTGGTGCTATTTCAACTTATGGCAACCTCTGCCTCCCAGGTTCAAGTGATTCTTGTGCCTCAGCCCCCCAGCTGGGATTACAAGCATGTGCCACCACACCCAGATAATTTTTGTATTTTGTAGTAGAGATTAACCATATTGGCCAGTCTGGTCTCAAACTCCTGGCCTGAAGCGATCCACCCCCCTTGGCCTCTCAAAGTGCTGGAATTACAGGTATGAGCCACTGCACCCAGCCTGAGATCCACTTTTTTAGCTCCCACATGTGAGTGAGAAAACGTGATACTTGTCTTTCTATGCTTGACTTATTCCACTTAACATAATGGTCTCCAGACTTGAGCACTTCTAAACCATCACACTTCCTGCTGTGTGAAGATACATTGCAAATAAGAATATCTGCAGAGACACAGGAAGCCCCGAGGGGAGGGCCAGTATTGCAGTGAGGAGCCTGGGTCATCAGTGGCACTGGCAGAAGGGATGGTGAGACCTTGAAAGCCACAGCACACATTTAGGAGGTAGAGCCTCTAGGCTTAGGGACTGCTCATGTTTGGGACTGATGTGCAGAAAGTGGTCCAAGTGGTATCCAGGTTTCCAGACCCTTGAGGAAATGGTGGTAATTGGTGTTTGAGGGAAACAATAATGAATGTTGTATTATTAGTAGTATGAAGTAACAAGGTTGAGGTTATTGATGACTGCAGTTATTAGGTGGCATGTTACACAGGTGACTCAGGAGACATGTCTAGGCTGGAGAAACAAGTCATTAGGATCTAGAAGGTAATGGAATCTGTGGAGGTTGGTTCACCCAGTCAGAGCTTACAGAGTGAGATGAGAAGAGGCCAAAAACAAAATTTTGAGAAACCCTGATTGTCATACATGTCATGATATTCTACCTCTAGGCTGAGGCACTCATTGCCCAGAGGCTGAGCCTTCCCTTGGAATTGCCCGCATTCAAAGACAGCTGCTTTACCCAGGGTCCTATCCCCTTCCTGGAGACAACCCTCGTCTGATACCTGATCAGGTGAGAGGAGTTGTAAAGGCAAAACCTCTTGGCTCACTGTGAATAATTCTGAAGGGCTAACTCAGCTCTAGAGCTTTCCAAAAAAAGGATGTCTCTGTTGCAAATGAATCACAGTTCAACTTGTCTCTCAACTCAATCTTTTTTTCTTCCCTCCATTTCAGGTGTATCTCCCAAGAGGATTTCCCAAAATCCCCCTACACATACATATCTATTTCGCAGTCATGAAATAGAGAAACCCAACCTGCCACATCAATACTTAAGGAAGATACAGAAGTGGCTGATCTGAGGAAAAGCAAGAGAGATAGAAGGTGATCCTGGCTGATGTAGGGCTAAGGAAGCAAAGAAAGGGCTTTATTCAAGAGAGAGGCAGGTTTGAAAATCCATGAGGTCAAGCAAGATGCATATTGAAAATTGATCATCGGATTAAGCAATAAGAAGGCTATTGATGACCGCCAAGTGTTGCTTTCTTGGAGTGGAGGAGGTAGAAGTCAGATGTCATTGTGCTGATAGGAACGGTAAGAAAGTAGAGAACTCATGTGCATTCCATTATTTCAAGTATGAATGTATAGGAAAGGAGTGCATACAGTTTAACTACACAGTTCAGTGGTAATAAAAACATTTATATTCTCTTTTTCCCCTTCATCCCCCAACTCCAGCCCCCTCCCCCTCCTCTGGCCTCTGGTAACCAACAATCTATTTTCTATAGGCAGAAGATGAGATGTGGTGAGTGGTGACTCTTAAGTTGAGAGAGACTTGAGCACATCCAAACACTGGAGGGAGAGGTAACCGACCCAGGGAATGTAGAGGCCAACCAATGGGACAAGGTCTGGGAGCGGTGGCAGCATCTTCCATCACAAGCACAGTCAAAGAAATAGCCTTGTGTGGGAGGAGGCCACATCTTCCACTAAGAGGTGAGAATAAATGCTGGCGGGTGTGGGGATTAGGTGGCAGCAAAGACACAGGCCAGCCTCACTTGTTCCTCCCACCAGCGTGGGTAAGAGCAGACTCAGTGCTGGATGCTGTGTTCAGGCTGGGGGTACTGCTGTAAGTTAAGACACAGTCTGCCAGGAGTGACTTACAGTAAACATTTCAAAGTTCCACTTTCTTCTTATTGTCTGCGGGAATCTTGACCTTCAAGTTTGCTCCCATTTGAAGTGACTTTGCCCCCAAATATGCCTCTACTTTGCATCATTGCTTTCTGCTTTTCTCCCAATGTTTCCTCATATAAGTCCTTGGCTCACTCAATGGGCTTAATATCTTTACCCCAGTATATTTTTCTGACAATCTCCACAAAACAGAACCAAAACAGAGTAGTCATAAAGATTCTCCATGATCTCATGCCTTACCCAGGGCTCTGCAGGGGGCAGGTGCTCTCCACGCCTGTTAAATAAAGAAGCAAGTAAATTCAAGTGTTTCACCCAGTCCCTCTGTGTAGTGAGCGCATTTAATTTTAAGGGGCCTCAGTGACTGTTTTCAATGTGGGTTTAGCTTTCTCATCCCAGAGGCAGGGCTCAGGCACCCTTGACACAGTTTCCAGTTCTACACCACACCCAAATCGCTCAAGCTGGTAGCCAGAGAGAACTTAGAGGTATCTCTCTCCTACCAGACTGGGCTCCCTACTTCTTTAAGTAGAAAAGGCAAGCATCTGCTCACAAACTTAAAAGGGCCCAACCCTTCTTTCCCAATCTATGTGGCTAGTTGTCACTCTCTTCTCTCTTCCGTCTTTGCTCACAGACTTTCATGTGTGTGGCCTCCAGGCATGCTGTGTCCCCTCCTTCAAGTTTGTGAGGACTAAAAACACTTTTTTCTCATAGACTCTTTCTTGTGTTTTCAATTGACACATAAGGATTGTACATATTAATGGGGTAGAGAGTAATATTTGAATACATTATACAGTATTAATGATCAAATCCAGGTAATTAGCATATTCATCACCTCAAACATTTGTCATTTCTTTGTGTTGAGAACATTCAAAAATCCTCTCTTCTGGCTATTTGAAAATACAAATTATTAACTATAGTCACCCTATAGTGTTATAAGAATACTAGAACTTATTTCTCCTGCCTAGCTGTAATTTTGTATCTGCTAAGCAACCTCTCCCCACCCTCCCCTCCCGACTGTGCTTCTAGCCTCTTAATAGCGACAATCCTATTCACTGCTTCCATTAACTCACTTTCTAGCTCCCACATGTGAGTGAGAATGTGCGATATTTATCTTTCTGTGCCAGACTTATTTCACTTAATATAAATGTCCTCCAGAATCATTCATGTGGCCACAAATGACAAGATTCCATTCTTTGTATGGCTGAATAATACTGCATTATGTATATACACCACATTTTTTATTCATTTACTTTTTGTTGGACATTTAGGTTGATTCTATATCTTGGCTATTGTGAATAGTGCTGCAATAAACATGGTGATGCAGATATCTCTTCAATACACTGATTTGCTATCCTTTGGATAAATACTCAGTAGTGGAATTGCTGGATCCTGTGGTATTTCTATTTTTAGTTTTTTGAGAAAACTCCATGATGTTTTCTATAATGGCTGCACTAATTTACATTTCCACCAACTGTATATAAGATTCCCCCTTACTAGCATTTGTTGTATTTTGTCTTTTTGATCATTGCCACTCTAATAGGAGTAAGATGACAGCTCCTTTTGGTTTGAATTTGTGCTTTTCAGATGATTAGTTATGTTGAGCATTTTTAATATACTTCTTGGCCATTTATATGTCTTTTTAAAAAAAAAAAATATTCAGATCTTTTGCCCATTTCTTAATTGGATTATTTGGGTATTTTTTTGTGTTTTTTTTTTTTACTATTGAGTTGTTTGAGTGCCATGATACTTGTATAAAAACAGACACATCGACCAATGGAACAGAGCCCAGAAATAAGTCCCCATATTATGGCCACCTGATTACAAAGTTCCCAAGATATATATTGGAGAAAGGACAGCCTCTTCCATAAATGGTACTGAGAAAACTGGATATTCGAAATGTGGCGTACGGAAGACCCACTCCCCAGCGCCACTCATGGGGGGCCCAAGTCCTTCTGATCGAGGTGGGAAATGTGGCGTACGGAAAACTGGATATTCATATGCAGAAGAATGAAACTAGACCCCTATCTCTCACTAGGTACAAAAGTCAATTCAAAATGGATTAAAGATTTAGATGTAAGACCCCAATCTATAAAACTATGACATGAAAACACAGGGGAAATGCTTCAAGGCATTGGTCTGGGCAAAGATTTTTATAAGGAAGAATTCAAATGCACAGCCAATAAAAACAAAAGCAGACCAACTGGGATTATATTAAACTAAAAAGCTTCGGCACAGCAAAGAAAACAATCAACGAAGTGAAGGGACCACCTGTAGAATGAGAGAAATTCTTGGCAATGTTAAAACTCTTAAACTTTCCACTGTGGTTGTGTTATTGAAACTGTGCCTGCAGTCAGACCCCTGATGCAGCGAACACCCCACAGGGACCCAGGCAGGTGGATTTCCTGCGTGCTCCTTTGTCCAGGATTCTGGTGGCTATGGGGACAGTGACTACCAGCTACATTGCTAGAGTTTCATTCAAAACACGCTGGTACCCATCGTGTATTTGGAAGGTGGTCATCAGAGCAGATAGGTGGAGGTAAGCTGTAGGGAAGAGTATAAGCTCCCATAGAGGCTGGATTTCAGTGTAAATCCAGCTCTGGCACAGGCTGGGCATACAAGCCTGGATTAACTCATATTAACATCTCTGATACCCATTTTCTTATTCTAAAACTGGGAAAACTAGTTCAAACTTTATTATTTTAAGAAATGGCTAAGTCAACATTGTCAGGCCTCTGAGTCCAAGCCAAGCCATTGCATCCCCTGTGACTTGCACGTATATACCCAGATGGCCTGAAGTAACTGAAGAATCACAAAAGAAGTGAAAAGATCCTGCCCCGCCTTAACTGATGACATTCCACCATTGTGATTTGTTCCTGCCCCACCTTAACTGAGTGATTAACCCTGTGAATTTCCTTCTCCTGGCTCAGAAGCTCCCCCACTGAGCACCTTGTGACCCCTGCCCCTGCCCACCAGAGAACAACCCCCTTTGACTGTAATTTTCCATTACCTTCCCAAATCCTATAAAATGGCCCCACCCCATCTCCCTTCGCTGACTCTCTTTCCGGACTCAGCCCACCTGCACCCAGGTGAAATAAACAGCTTTATTGCTCACACAAAGCCTGTTTGGTGGTCTCTTCACACGGATGCGCATGAAATTTGGTGCCGTGACTCGGATCGGGGGACCTCTCTTAGGAGATCAATCCCCCGTCCTCCTGCTCTTTGCTCCATGAGAAAGATCCACCTATGACCTCAGGTCCTCAGACCGACCAGCCCAAGAAACATCTCACCAATTTCAAATCTGGTAAGCGGCCTCTTTTCACTCTCTTCTCCAACCTCCCTCACTATCCCTCAACCTCTTTCTCCTTTCAATCTTGGTGCCACACTTCAATCTCTCCCTTCTCTTAATTTCAATTCCTTTCATTTTCTGGTAGAGACAAAGGAGACACCTTTTATCCTTGGACCCAAAACTCCGGCGCCAGTCACAGACTGGGAAGGCAGCCTTCTCTTGGTGTTTAATCATTGCAGGGACACCTCTCTGATTATTCACCCACGTTTCAAGGGTGTCAGACCACGCAGGGACGCCTGCCTTGGTCCTTCACCCTTAGTGGCAAGTCCTGCTTTTCTGGGGAAGGGGCAAGTACCCCAACCCCTTCTCTCCTTGTCTCTACTCCTTCTCTGCTTTTCTGGGGAAGGGGCGAGTACCCCAACCCCTTCTCTCCTTGTCTCTACCCCTTCTCTGCTTTTCTGGGGAAGGGGCAAGTACCCCAACCCCTTCTCTCCTTGTCTCTACCCCTTCTCTGCTTTTCTGGGGGAGGGCAAGTACCCCTCAACCCCTTCTCCTTCACCCTTAGCGGCAAGTCCCACTTTGCTAGGGGGAAAGAACCCCCAATCCCTTATTTCCACACCCCGACCTCTTATCTCTGTGCCCCAATCCCTTATTTCCACACCCCGACCTCTTATCTCTGTGCCCCAATCCCTTATTTCCGCACCCCAACCTCTTATCTCTGTGCCCCAATTCCTTATTTCCATGCCCCAACACTTCCTCTGCTTTTCTGGAGGGCAAGAAACCCCTACCCCTTCTCCGTGTCTCTACTCTTTTCTCTGGGCTTGCCTCCTTCACTATGGGCAAGCTTCAACCTTCCATTCCTCCTTCTTCTCCCTTAACCTATATTCTTAAGAACTTAAAACCTCTTCAACTCTCACCTGACCTAAAATCTAAGCATCTCATTTTCTTCTGCAATGCCACTTGACCCCAATACAAACTCGATGGTAGTTCCAAATAGCCAGAAAATGGCACTTTCAATTTTTCCATCCTACAAGATCTAAATAATTCTTGTCATAAAATGGGCAAATGGTCTGAGGTGCCTGACATCCAGGCATTCTTTTACACATCAGTCCCTTCCTAGTCTCTGTGCCCAGTGCAACTCGTCCCAAATCTTCCTTCTTTCCCTCCTGCCTGTCCCCACAGTCCCAACCCCAAGCGTCACTGAGTCTTTCTAATCTCCCTTTTCTACAGACCCATCTGACCTCTCCCCTCCTCACCAGGCCAAGCTAGGTCCCAATTCTTCCTCAGCCTCTGCTCCTCCACCCTGTAATCTTTTTATCGCCTCCCCTCCTCACACCTGGTCCTGCTTGCAGTTATGTTCCGTGACTAGCCCTCCCCCACCTGCTCAGCAATTTACTCTTAAAAAGGTGGCTGGAGCCAAAGGCATAGTCAAGGTTAATGCTCCTTTTTCTTTATCCCAAATCAGAAGCGTTTAGGCTCTTTTTCATCAAATATAAAAACCCAGAACAGTTCATGGCTCGTTCGGCAGCAACCCTGAGACACTTTACAGCCCTAGACCCTAAATGGTCAAAAGGCCATCTTATTCTCAATATACACTTTATTACCCAATCTGCTCCCGACATTAAATAAAACTCCAAAAATTAGAATCTGGCCCTCATACCCCACAACAGGACTTAATTAACCTCACCTTCAAGGTGTACAATAATAATAAAAAAAAAAAGTTGCAATTCCTTGCCTCCACTGTGAGACAAACCCCAGCCACATCTCCAGCACACAAGAACTTCCAAACCCTTGAACTGCAGCGGCCAGGCGTTCCTCCAGAACCTCCTCCCCCAGGAGCTTGCTACAAGTGCCAGAAATCTGACCACCAGGCCAAGGAATGCCTGCAGCCCAGGATTCCTCCTAAGCTGTGTCCCATCTGTGCGGGACCCCACTGGAAATCGGACTGTTCAACTCACCTGGCAGCCACTCCCAGAGCCCCTGGAACTCTGGCCCAAGGCTCTCTGACTGACTCCTTCTTGGCTTAGCGGCTGAAGACTGATGCTGCCTGATTGCCTCGGAAGCCCTGTAGACCATCACAGATGCCGAGCTTTAGGTAACTCTCACAGTGGAGGGTAAGTCCGTCCCCTTCTAAATCAATACGGAGGCTACTCACTCCACATTACCTTCTTTTCAAGGACCTGTTTCCCTTGCCTCCATAACTATTGTGGGTATTGATAGCCAGGCTTCTAAACCTCTTAAAACTCCCCAACTCTGGTGCCAACTTAGACAATACGCTTTTATGCACTCTTTTTTAGTTATCCCCACCTGCCCAGTTCCCTTATTAGGCCGAGATATTTTAACCAAATTATCTGCTTCCCTGACTATTCCTGGACTATAGCTGCATCTCATTGCCGCCCTTCTTCCCAATCCAAAACCTCCTTTGTGTCCTCTTCTTGTATTCCCCCACCTTAACCCACAAGTATAAGATACCTCTACTCCCTCCTTGGCGACCAATCATGCACCCTTACCATCTCATTAAAACCTAATCACCCTTACCCCACTCAATGCCAATATCCCATCCCACAGCATGCTTTCAAAGGATTAAAGCCTGTTATCACTCGCCTGCTACAGCATGGCCTTTTAAAGCCTATAAACTCTCCCACAATTCCCCCATTTTACCTGTCCTAAAACCAGACAAGCCTTACATGTTAGTTCAGGATCTATGCCTTATCAACCAAATTGTTTTGCCTATCCACCCCATGGTGCCAAACCCATATACTCTCCTATTCTCAATACCTCCTTCCACAATCCATTATTCTGTTCTGGATCTCAAAGATGCTTTCTTTACTATTCCTTTGCACCCGTCATCCCAGCCTCTCTTTGCTTTCACTTGGACTGACCCTGACACCCATCAGGCTCAGCAAATTACCTGGGCTGTACTGCCACAAGGCTTCACAGACAGACCCCATTACTTCAGTCAGGCCCAAATTTCGTCCTCATCTGTTACCTATCTCAACATAATTCTCGTAAAAACACATGTGCTCTCCCTGCTGATCGTGTCTGATTAATCTCCCAAACCTCAATCCCTTACAAAACAACAACTCCTTTCTTTCCTAGGCATGGTTAGTGCGGTCAGAATTCTTACACAAGAGCCAGGACCGCACCCTGTAGCCTTTCTGTGCAAACAACTTGACCTTACTGTTTTAGCCTAGCCTTCATGTCTGCGTGCAGCGGCTGCTGCTGCTTTAATACCTTTAGAGGCCCTCAAACTCACAAACTGTGCTCAACTCACTCTCTACATTTCTCATAACTTCCAAAATCTATTTTCTTCCTCATACCTGATGCATATACTTTCTGCTCCCTGGCTCCTTCAGCTGTACTCACTCTTCATTAAGACCCACAATTACCATTGTTCCTGGCCGGGACTTCAATCCGGCCTCCCACATTATTCCTGATACCACACCTGACCCCCATGACTGCATCTCTCTGATCCACCTGATGTTCATCCCATTTCCCCACATTTCCTTCTTCCCTGTTTCTCACCCTGATCATGCTTGATTTATTGATGGCAGTTCCACCAGGCCTAATCACCACATACCAGCAAAGGCAGGCTATGCTATTGTATAAGCCACTAGCCCGCCTCTTAGAACCTTTCATTTTCTTTCCATCGTAGAAATCTATCCTCAAGGAAATAACTTCTTAGTGTTCCATCTGTTATTCTGTCTGCTATTCTACTACACCTCAAGGATTATTCAGGCCCCCTCCCTTCCCTACACATCAAGCTCAAGGATTTGCCCCCACCCAGGACTGGCAAATTAGCTTTACTCCACATGCCCTGAGTCACAAAAACTAAAATACCTCTTAGTCTAAGTAGACACTTTCACTAGATAGGTAGAGGTCTTTCCTACAGGGTCTGAGAAGTCCACCGCAGTCATTTCTTCCCTTCTGTCAGACATAATTCCTCAGTTTAGCCTTCCCACCTCTATACAGTCTGATAACAGGCCAGCCTTTATTAGTCAAATCAGCCAAGCATTTTTTCAGGCTCTTAGTATTCAGTGACAGACTAATGGTCTATTAAAAACACACCTCACCAAGCTCAGCCACCAACTTAAAAAAGGACTGGACAATACTTTTACCACTTTCCCTTCTCAGAAGTCAGGCCTGTCCTCAGAATGCTACAAGGTACAGCCCATTTGAGCTCCTGTATAGACGTTCCTTTTTATTAGGCCCCAGTCTCATTCCAGACACCAGACAAACTTAGACTGTGCCCCCAAATAACTTGTCATCCCTACTATCTTCTGTCTAGTCATACTCCTATTCACCATTCTCAACTACTCATACATGCCCTGCTCTTGTTTACACTGCCAGTTTACACTGTTTCTCCAAGCCGTCACAGCTGATATCTCCTCGTGCTATCCCCAAACTGCCACTCTTAACTCTTGAAGTAAATAAATAATCTTTGCTGGCAGGACTATGCTGACCCTCCGTAGGCACTCTCTAATTAGATGTCCTAGGTCCTCCCAATTCTTAGTCCTTTTATACCTGTTTTTCTCCTTCTCTTATTCCATTTAGTTTTTCAATTCATACAAAACCGTATCCAGGCCATCACCAATCATTCTATATGATAAATGTTTCTTCTAACAACCCCACAGTATCACCCCTTACCACAAAATCTTCCTTCAGCTTAATCTCTCCCACTCTAGGTTCCCACACCACCCCTAATCCCGCTTGAAGCAGCCGTGAGAAACATGGCCCATTCTCTCTCCATACCACCCCCAAAAATTTTCGCCGCCCCAACACTTCAACACTATTTTATTTTTCTTATTAATATAAGAAGGCAGGAATGTCAGGCCTCTGAGCCCAAGCCAAGCCATTGCATCCCCTGTGACTTACATGTATATGCCCAGATGGCCTGAAGTAACTGAAGAATCACAAAAGAAGTGAAAAGGCCCTGCCCTGCCTTAACTGATGACATTCCACCATTGTGATTTGTTCCTGCCCCACCTTAACTGAGTGATTAACCCTGTGAATTTCCTTCTCCTGGCTCAGAAGCTCCCCCACTGAGCACCTTGTGACCCCCACCCCTGCCCACCAGAGAAAAACCCCCTTTGACTGTAATTTTCCATTACCTTCCCAAATCCTCTAAAACAGCCCCACCCCTATCTCCCTTTGCTGACTCTCTTTTCAGACTCAGCCCACCTGCACCCAGGTGAAATAAACAGCTTTATTGCTCACACAAAGCCTATTTGGTGGTCTCTTCACACGGACGCGCATGAAAAACATAAATGGTCAAAAAATGATCAACCTCACCAGAAAGTGAAGAGATAAAAACTAAAATAAGAAAATATCTGCAGCTGTTAAGTTAAAAGGGATGAAACCAAAATGATAAAAATGCAGATGAGGCTGGAGAGAAATAGGCACTTTCCTGTATTGCGGACAGGTCTGTAAGTTAGCACATTGTTTCATGTGTTCTGAACAAACCTGGCTCTAGACATAAAAACACCTCATTAAAAAGCTGACCCAGAAATTCTAGTTCTAGGAATTGACCTTAGGGGAATTATTGGCTAAGTATACAAGCATGTATGTATAAAGTCACTTCAGAATTGCTTACAGTACAAGAATTAGAAAAAAATTAATTAAAAAGTATAGAACACAAAAAAATTCATATTATACTATTGATCTAAAAAGCATGCTGTACATTAGTAAAATGCAATTCCATTTTTGTTTTCAAAATTCTGCATTTTCTAACATATTGTTCTAAACCTCCCTTATCTGTAGGAGACGCATTCCAAGATCCACAGTGGATACATGAAACTGCAGATAGTATCAAACCCTATATCTATTAATACTATGATTTTTCCTATACACATATACCTATGATGAAGTGTAATTTATAAATTAGGCACAGTAAAAAATTAACAACAATAATAAAATGGAACAATCATATCAATATACAGTAATAAAAGTTAGGCAAATATGATCTCTCTCTTTTGCTTTGTCTCTCCTTCTCTCTTTCCCAAATATTTTATTGTACTGTACTCACTCTTCTTCTTGTGATCTGTTGATGTGATAACCTAGATGGCTACTAAATGACTAATGTAGCAGATACAGGGTAAATACACAAAGAGCTGATGCAGGTCCTTGGCTGGACAGAGTGGGACAGTGTGAGACTTCATCACACTACTTAGAACCACATGCAATTAAAAGCTTATGAATTATTTATTTCTTAAATTTGTTATTTAATTTTTTTTTGCCTAGAATGCTATCTTTTTATTTTTTTATTTTCATGAATACATAGTAGGCATATATATTTATGGGCTACATAAGATATTTTGATACAGGCATGCAATGTGTAATCATCATATCAGGGTAAATGGAATATCCATCCCCTCAAGCATTTATCCCTTGTGTTAGAAACAAGCCACTTATACTCTTCAAGTTATTTTCAAATGTATAATTACACTATTTTTGACTAATGTGATCCTGTTGTGCTAGTAAATATAGGTCTTATTCATTCTTTCTATTTTTTTATACCCACTAACCATCCCCTCCCCACCTTTCTCAGCCTCTGACAACCATCCTTCTATTCTCTATCTCCATGAGTTCAATTATTTTTCTTTTAGAGCTCACAAATAAGTGAGAACATGTGAAGTTTGTCTCTCTGTGCCTGGCTTATTTCACCTGACATAATGAGCTCCAGTTCTCTATGTATTTAATATTTTTTGGACCTTGTTGACTGTGGGTAACTGAAACCGAGGAAAGCTAAACTGTGGTTAAGGGGGAACTACTGCATACGCGAGGACACACACACACGCACACACACGCGCACACACACACACACACACACAAACCACTTCATGGTTATCTATATATTTACAGAGAGAAAGTCTCAGTAAGTTCTAGAAACTTGTATACCAAAATGCTAACAATAGATATCTTTATGGTTCCTGCAAGAAAAACTTTAATCCATTACTCTTGTTTCCAAATTTATTTCTAATGGCATTGTTAGACCTTTATAATCTCAATGAATCTGTGTAATGTAATCAGAAAATAATATTTTAAAAATAAAAATAAAACCCACATTTTAAATGCTTAGGACAATGCTGTATTAGTCAGGGTTCTCTAGAGGGACAGGACTAATAGGATAGATGTATATATAAAGCAGAGTTTATTAAGGAGTATTGACTCACACAATCCATCATAAGCTGAGGTCCCACAATAGGCCGTCTGCGAGCTAAGGAGCAAGGAAGCCAGTCCTCCAAGTCCCAGAGCTGAAGAACTTGGAGTTCCATGTTTGAGGGCAGTTAGCTTCCAGCATGGGAGAAAGATGTAGCTCAGAAGATTAAACCAGTTTAGTCTTTCTATGTTCTTCTGCCTGCTTTTATTCTGGCCACACTGACAGCTGATTAGATTGTGCCCACCCAGATTGAGGGTGGGTCTGCCTTTCCCAATCCATTGACTTAAATGTTAACTTCTTTTGGCAACACCCTCACAGACACACCCAGGAACAGTACTTTGCATCCTTCAATCCAATCAAGTTGACATGACACTCAGTATCAACCATCACAAATGCTTAGGATATAACAGGTGCTCATTAAATACCAATTACTGTTATAATTATTTAAAGCAAGAATATAGACCAAATTAATTGACTTGTCTTCACATCAAAGTTATGAAATTGTCCCTCTTCTTTCCATTCTCTGATCAACTTAATCTGAACCCACTAAAGGTAATATGCATTTCAATGATCTTTGAATCCCCAGCACAGAGCCCTGTGCCTGATCCATTGTCAGCGCCAAGTAGGG
The DNA here is from genome assembly GCF_000001405.40 of Homo sapiens. Classification (NCBI taxonomy): domain Eukaryota; kingdom Metazoa; phylum Chordata; class Mammalia; order Primates; family Hominidae; genus Homo; species Homo sapiens. Next base: position 135,764,661 of record NC_000008.11, on the reverse strand, counting down.
AAGACAATGAGTAATTGAATGAATGTCCTCATATAGAAGGGGTTTTTCACAGGAATCTAGAAAGCAAAGGGAAGAAGATCTAGCTGTGTTGCCACTGTGTCAAGACTATTCGAATGTTTTGTTTACATATATTGTTGATCTCACAACCCTTGGTATTATTATCTCCCTCTGAGAGATGAGGCTCAAAGAGGTTCAGCAACATGCACAAGCCATACAGGCAACTAGCAAGTGGTGGATGAAGGTTGGCACCTGCTCCACCTGACTTTCAACATCTCTTCTTTCCTCCACCCCTCCAGCTTGGTCTGTGATTCCCTTCTAGTGAATGCATTGCTAGAGGTTAAAAGTCAGACTGATCATCCAAACACTGCCATCTTCATAATCTCAAGGAGTAGAGGTGTGAGTTCTGATGGTTCACTGGCTCACTGATTTGGAAATGAGCCTGCAGAGCTACCATCCCCCAGGTAATGGGGCAGAGCAGCAGCCCTCCTTGGCTAAGGAAATTAAATGAATTTCCATCCATTCACCTAAATGATTCTTTTCGCCTCTCAGGAGACGTAGCAATCAAAGAGAGCAGGCGAAGAGCGGCAGTGGGCTTGGAAAGGTCAATGACATGAAAAGCACAGAATCTTCCTCCATTAATGCCCTAATTGTTTTTATCACCCAGTTTTCACTCAGACGTCAAACTTAATCTCTGCCTTTTTCCTCTCCCAGGTCACAGATGTTTAATATTTCTGACTAAGACATAATGAACCTTTTTATGTCACTGTAATATTTAGTCTCTTTAAAACATGATTAGCTGCATCCATTGTGCAATGCAGGGATGACTAGAAATTTCAGAGATGGGATTCCATTAGTTGGATTTTATTACCCAGCCAAGCTGAATGGGAAATTAAGCCAGGTAGCAAAGGTCAGTGGTGATACACTACAGTGCCAGCGTGGGGTGGATTCTGAAGCTCTGGTCAAAGAAAAGTAGAGGTTTGGAGTTCTAAGAACTTTTAAAAGTTATTGGAAAGACTTTCCAATTTTGTCCAAGTCTGCTTCTCAAATAAACAATTTTTTTAATGTGCTAGTTTACTAAAACTTCATGAAAAATAACTTCTGTCTGTGTGTTTCTAAATCGTGGTTCCTATTTTGACTGGCTCGTTTGGCAAAAATATGCTCACAAGTCAATGAGTAGGTGATTGCTCATAAAACATCATTGAAAAATGTAAAGTGCATTCTTATGTGTTTGTGCAAACAAGCATGAAGGTGCATCTATTGCTTCTTTTTCTTTATTTCTCAAAGTAGCTTTTGTTGTCCCATGCTCATGAAAAAGCACACACTATCTTTACGCACCCCAACACACCATGCAAGCAAGGACTGATAACACTGAGCTGAACAAACTCTGAAGCTACTTGTGGAAATTTCTCAAATTTTCTACATTTGATTCCAGAGCTATCATATCAGTTTCCACCTCAGACTTCACTCTTGATTTTTTGCCTCCCCTTTTTTTATTCTACCAATGACTTCAAGTTGAAGATACCCCATAAAGAAGAATTATGACAATATCTGACATTCATTGTGAATTATGAGTAACAGTAAAAGCTACAAAAATGAGGAGAGTAACTACTGAGGGGGATAGGTGAAGCATTTTTATAACTATCAAGATATAAACACTAGTCTCTGCTTTCTGTCATTTGCCAAAACAATAATAGTAACTAAATGCTAATGATACTATTAGAGGAACAAATATTGGAGACATGGCACCAATTAGAGTTTGGCCCCCACCATGGACAAAACTAACTATAATATTATCCCAAATCCAGCCAATTTCACTTCTTCAATATTTTCTTCAGTTATTTTTTTTAAGAAACACGGTCTTGCCTTGCTGCCTAGGCTAGACGACACTGGCACAATCATAGCTCACTGTAATCTCAAACTCCTGGGCTCAAACAATCCTCCTGCCTCAGCTGACTGAGTAGCTAGAACTAAATGTGCACACCACAGAGCCCCGCTATTTTTAATTTTTTTTTTTTTTTTTTTTTTTTGTAGAAACAGTGTCTCACTATGTTATCCAGGCTGGTGTTGAACTCCTGGCCTCAAGTAATCCTCCCTTTACTTCCAGAGAAGCTAGGACTACAAGTGCATGCCACCATGTCTGACTACTTTTCTTTTCTTACTTTTTATAGAAACAGGGTCTCATTATGTTACCCAGGCTGGACTCAAGCAGTATTTTCAAAACTCTCAATTAAACTGTTTCTATAGGTGCCACTGAATAGTTCTCTCTACCTCCATACTGACACCTAGCTCTCTAAATGGCTCATTGCCTTCAGCACAAGGCAATTGAAACCCTCCAGGACCTGGCCCTTTTCACCTCTTTTCCCATGCTTCCCCTACCAAGTGGGGAGTCTTCTTTCTGGCTCTGAAATTTCTCCTGCCGCCCACACACAAACCTGCAGCCTAGAAGGATGCAGTTACGGAGTTTTATTTGAAGGGAAATTGGGTCCTGGAAATACAGACATTTTGGATTCCTGATGGCATGGTTTCTGAGAAACTAGCAAAAAGAATATCCTCAGATATGGACTAGGCTAGAAGTTCATATTTCACTGATTATTTTCTTCCATCATGTATCATAATGAAATAGCTTATTATATATTGTAGGTATACGTGTGTGCATATTTATATACACAATTGATTTATTTATATCTATATATTAATTTTGAATCATTTTATCAGATTATTTTACTATTTTTATTCACTTATAGTTAATAGCCTTGAATTATCAGGCTATTAGTTAAAAATTGTCATTTTTAACTAATGATGGTTTTTCTCCTCATTTCAAACTTTTGTGCATGTAATTTCTTTATCTCACCAACACAACTAGTTATAATATAATTTATAACAGTGATAAATGTGAATCCTTGTCTTTCTCCTGAACTTAGTGGGAATATCTCTAGTACTTCCTCACTCACACTAAAACTGCCTTTGTGACAAAAGAGATATTATTTACCAAGTTAGGAACATATTTTTGAATTCCCTTTTTGTTGAACTTCTTTCAATCAAAAATAAATATTCAATTTTGTCTGATGCCTGTTCTGCATCTATGAAGATTCTCATTAGAATGCTTTCCTCAGATACATAAATATGATTTGAACACAGTGTCTTGTAATGCAGCATTCTTGAATTATTAGAATAAATGCCACATAGAGATGCCGAGCTGTTTAAATGTGTTATTGAATTGTTTGATATTTTATACAGAACTTTGCACTATTACCATAAATGAGAATTCCTATAATTTCATTTCCGTGTGATTTTTTAATGTTTTGGAGTCAATGCTATGCACATGACATACAAAGAATTTGTAAGTTTTTCTTTTTTATTGATATTAGGGAGAAGTTTGAATAGCATTGAAACTATCTGTTCCTTAAGTATTTGGCAAAAATCCACCATGAAGCCATCTAGATTTGGTGTTTTATTTGTGGAGGAGGTTGTCCTTTGACAATATTCCTCTATTTCTTTCATGCAAATTGTCCAGTCTAGATTCCTTTTCATGTCTTCTAGCTTTGGGAATATGTGTTTCTCTGGAACAATGGCACTTCATCTAAGTTTCATATTTGCAGAGATTTTAGCAGCATATTCTTTTATGAATCTAATTTCTTCTCTTTCTGTTGTTATTCTTTCCCTTTTAAAAATGTCATGTATTTCCACATAATCCCAACACCTTTTCTCGTAGTGTATTTGTTTCCAACAATCATCTTTTTTTCTATTGATCAGCTTTTCTCTTTTCACACTTTCCAAATCATCAATTTTTGCTTTTGTCTTTATTATTCTTTTTCTTCTGCCTTCTTCTAACTTTGTCATTGTTGTTGTTGCTATTATCTCTTTCTAATTTCTTGCTTTTATGTTTAATTCATAAATCTTTATTTCTTTTTGTTTATTGAAGTATGTATTGAAGACTACGAGTTTTCTTCTGACTGCTATTTTCACAGTACCCCATGAGGTCTGATATGCAGTGTTTCATTAGCAGTAGTTTGTAGATATTCTGTATTTTGAGTTTGTAGATTTTCTTTGAACCTATACTTACTTGAGACATATATTTTTAACTTCTAAGAGCTAAATAATTTTTTTCTGATTTTGTTCATGCCTAGACGTATGTAATTGTTATCAAATGCGTCTGTATTACTTCTACTACTTGTAATTTTTCGACATTTCCTTTGAGACTAGTATTTGCCAAATTTTAGTGACTGTTCCATGAAACATTTAAAATTTTTCAGCATCTAAAGTTTAATATATCAGTTAGAACTGTCTTGTTATTTTGTTTGGCTTTTCTGTAATCTTGCATATTTTTTCTTCTTGACTTTCCTGGACTGAGATAAATCAGTGTAGGTTTCCTGTTGTTGGTGTTTCCTTCTATTGGTGTGTTTCTGTTTTTCCCTATGTCTCTCACATGTTTGGCTTTATGAAGGTGAACGGTGTTATGCTGTATTATGTGATGCAGAGGCATTCCTAATTCTCACTGTCAAAGTCATCCTTTACATTTATTTAGTGCCTTCTTTGCTTCACGTAATGATTTTTACCATGAATTCTACATTGTCGTATGTTAATGTTGCATCCTCTGCTTTCTTCTTGTTTGAATTTCCCTAGCACACCTATTTGTAACCTTCTAAGTCACTATTATTTATTAGTTAATTAACTCCAACATTATGCACATAGCTTTTCAACTAGGCAAAGTATCGATACACAAAGCAGCCAGAGTTTTCGACAGAACAGTAAAAGGTCATGGCATTTGAAATCAGACAAATCTCAATTCAAATTCCAGCTCCAACTTATAGTGTCACTCTGCAATGTCTAAACTAAAAATAGGTACAAGGTGCAGAGGTAGCACAGAGGAGGAACTAGTTAAACACCAGGAAGTCTTCCTGTAGGAAGCAGCTTAGAAACTTCCACAAGAACTTTCTTCCTAATCTGAATCATTTTCCCCTGGATTCTCAAGGCCTCTTCTTTATTCTAAAACAACTCCTAGTCTGCCGTGTAGTACAAATGCACAGCAGGCACATCTATTTCTGGTTTGACTCTCCTGTATGGGTTTCATCATTATGCCTAGCACAGTTTACTGTTATTGAGTGAAGTAAGTTGCATTTTGAGTAAGATCAGTATTTATTTCATTAGAAATTGGCAAATCACAGCACAAGTGAAAAAAAAAGTATGTCACATTTTCAGAGTCTAAGTGTTGATTGGGTAGAGTCGGTACCATGCACGTGCTTACTTGTGAAAGAGACATGAGCCCTGCAACATCTGGGTGTCCTGGCCCTCACCACAGTTTAGTTATATTCTGCCTACTTTGGGGGACTTTATGCATAAAAGACATTTAATAGTTAGGACACTGAGATCATTCCAGAGATGTCATAATTTTTCTTCTTACCATGGCATAAATTCTCTCCAGAGTCAGCATGTAGCAGGGACTACTTTTTCATTTCCCTCTACTCTTTGGACATAGAAAAAAATTAAAATAAAATAAATCAATTATTTATTGAGCTTTTGCTCTGTAACAGATATTTTATAAGTATTTTATCTCAATTAATCTTTGTAATAACATTATGAAGTTAGTACTAATATCATACTTGCTTTACAAAGTACTCACTCTTCCCTTCCCTTATTCCTTTTAAACTTCACCATTTTCTTGCAATCGGTTATGTCTTAGGCCATCTTAGGCTGCTGTAACAGAATACCACAGATTGGGTAATCTATAATAAACAGAAATGTGGGGGGTGGGGGCGGTGCTAGAGGAGGGATAGCATTAGAATAAATACCTAATGTATATGACAGGTTAATGGGTGCAGCGAACCACCATGGCACGTGTATACCTATGTAACAAACCTGCACATTCTGCACATGCCCCCAGAATTTAAGTATAATAAAAAAAAATAAAAAACAAAATAAGCAGAAATTTACTGGCTCACAGTTCTAAAGTTTGAGAAGCCCAGTATCAAGCCATGATGAATGAAGAACAACTCCCAAGGAGTGGGGCTGAGTGCCACCCCAGAAACAGGCAATATGCACCACCGTGGGTTTCAGAATTGCTGTGGTCCAGTGATGCCTGTGTACCTCTAGGTTTCCCCTTTTTTGAATAAGATTATCTATGGCAATTATCCTATACCTTCTCATACCTTCTCAGCTATCAATTGTTGATATGTGTGTGTGCTGCAAGATAGGGTAGATAACCTATCTCTAGTTCATAGGTCTTCAGATGGAAAGGAGCAGTATCCAAAAAGAGGTGATCAAGGAATGCAACCTGAGGAGCTTCATCTGCACTTGGACCTGATGAGATGACAAAACCCTGGACATCAAGCCACTATAATGGGATGAGACTGTGGGAAAAGAGTGAATGTATTTTTCGCACAAGAAAGCTTTGAATTATTATGACCAGAGGGAGATCCGTAACACTGTGCTAAGCAAAGAGCCACCTATTCCAGTTATCTGCCCTATGCTGTTGAAGGTACCAATAGAAATTTTTATATCATTGTCTTTTTCTTTCTTTAAAATCAGGAGTTCAATTCTTGGGTAAGGCTACCATCCTCATTATGGGATGAGGCTGGAAGAATGAGATGGAAGAAAGTGGACTAGTTATTTTCACTATAACAGCATTATCAGTATTTACTATATGCCAAGCTAAATACTTAGGTTTTTCATCTTGGTTAATCTTTAAATGACAAATATTTGAGGTAGTTCTTATTACTACGTGCAAGTTTAATATGAGGAAATTGAAACACAGAGCGGTTAGTTAACTGGCCCAATGTTATATAGCCAGTAAGACTGGACCTCTGGATTAGAAGCTAGGCTTGTCTGACACCAAATCCCCATATCATTCATCACAGTACTCTAATGCCACCTTACCTTGTTCCTGGGTCTCAAAGATTTATACTAATATCATTCTACAAATTATAACATACCTGTCATAATTATTATTTTATTTCATCTTGACAAAAAAAAATAACTATGAGCTTAGGCACTGTTTTCCCACTTTCTGGAAGAGGCAATGAAAATAGAGGTATAATGAAGCTGGTGGAAAAAGAGAGTAAATAAACATTTATTGGGCACCAATGCGTGAGGCATGGTGTGTAGTCACACAAAAAAATGTCATCCTATAAAATCTTGGGAAACCTCAGTAGAAAAATATTATGGCCGCTGTTTTATGGAGGAAGCGACTGATGTCAGAGAAATTATGTCATTTGATCAGGGTTCCCCAGCCAGGAATGAAGGGGTGGAGACAGAAATCCAATCCTCATTTGTCTCATTTCAAGGTTTCTATGCCAAGAAAATGTCTCGGATATTAAGAAAGGAAGGGCAAGACAAAGCCTAGAGCTGCCAATCACCTGGCAGCATCCTCTCACACCCCACCCCTCTCCAACTCCCCCAGGCCAGCGGCTGGTCTGCATCCCTCCCTCCCACGCAGCGATCCTGCCCAGCCCACCGCTTCCCACCTGTGTGACTGCACCACACTACATAAACAACCTGAGATTTCATTTCTCATCTGAACAAAAGGGTCAATAACCTATAGCCCACCACATTTAGATGTGATTAGGAAGCAATAATGGATGTGGTTCTGATAATTCCTGTGTAACAAGCCAGCCTGAAACAGTGGCTTGAAGCAATGATGAGTTATGTGTTATGGTGACTAATCTATTGATAGTGTGGTTCCTGTGGTCTCACTGGCTCATGCTTGTGGCTGCAGCCAGCTGTGGATTGGCTGAGGCTGTACAAGTGAGGCAGGAAGGCTCAGCGGGGGCAGCTGCAATCACTGGGTCTCTCCCCATTTGGTCTTTCATTCTAACTTCCTTGCCGCTTGGCAGTCTCAAAGAAGAACCCCAGAAGGGCAAGATGGATATTGCAAGACCTCATGGGTGGATGCTCTGGAACTTGCTCCACATCCCTTCGACTGCACTCTGTTGGTCAAAGCAAGTTACAAGGTCAGTCCAGATTCAAGGGCGTGGAGATATTGACTTCACCTCTGGCTGGGAGGAGGGTCGAAATTCACATTGGAAAGTGGCGTACCCATGGGTTGGGTGCAATTTGAGGTCCCCACATAATTTTCTACACGTGTGAATTTAAAAATAAGAATTTAACTTATTTTTAATTCTTAACTTTCAAATGGAAGGGATGATGAGCCTCACCAGTTTTCCCAGTGTTTTGATGAAGCTCATTATCCTAAGCAATCTAGGCTCAATCTGTCTGCCAGGAAATGGGAAGAGCTGCAGAAGTGCCTTGAGTGGGAGGTACTGCGGGGACTTGGCCTCAATTGGCTTAAGAATGTTACCATTTTCTGGAGGAAAAATGTCCTGGGTTTTAACGGAAGAGCTCAGGTCTGTGTTGAAGCCAGGGCTGACCATGCTGCAGGCCCCTGGCCCTGGAACTTCACTCATGCACACTTTCTGTTGCTCCTTGTTCCTTATCAATTCAATTCTTTGGACATCATGACCAGTAGACTATAGGAGCTGCTCTCTTAAATCCAGAACACAATAGATATTGATACCTAATATTTCTACTTTGTTCCTAGTATGTGGCTTTTATTCATGATTTTTACCTCCTTACTTCCCATTACTAATGGCTTCTCCTGTCTTCTGAAGTATTTTTATCTTGCTTATTTTACTATCACTCCCCACCAACCACTGGCATTTGTGGTTCAGAAGGTGTCATTGTCCATTGTCTAGTGTTTCTTTGCGATATGTTACTCTTCGTGTCTTGTAAGCTACTGTTCTCTGGGGTGTGAGCTACCCTGTTTGGTTGTGGATTTTAGGGAACAGCCAAATAAACCCCTAGTCTGAGTAAATTCTGGTGTGTTTATGGGGAGGGCAGGGATGATGACCAGGCCACAGAGCTCAGGTTACCCAGAGAAGCAGGGCCCACCCTCCACACCACCTCCCTCCTGAGGTTGAATTTTTACACCTTTCTGGAGAAGCAGCACAGCCCTGGGATCCTGGAGGTAGAGACACAGGGGCTGGAGATCCAAGTCCAGTGGGTCTGGGTGGAGCTCGCCTGTCTCTATCTGGTCCTCACCTCAGCAAGGCTTTTGTGCTGCTATGACATAACTCATGGACAGTGGCTCCAGTGACTTGCACTGTTGCCCTTGATTCCTGCCATGAAGAGAGAGGCATCGCTTGTCCCAAGGGATTGCGATTTAGAGTTAAATTATTGCTAGCCATCCTGGTATAGGAAGAGTTTCCAGAAGTCTCTACTCTCCCTGTGTGCCAACTCACCCCCGCCTTCCCCGGAGACGTGAAGATGCAGGGTCATCACCATATAAACCTGTCCTTTAGTACAGCGGTCCTCAACCTTTCTGGCACCAGGGACCAGTTGTGTGGAAGACAATTTTTCCAAAACAGGATGATGGAAGGGATGGTTTTGGGATAAAACTGTTCCACCTCGTATCATCAGACATTAGATTCTCATAAGGAGCATGCAACCTAGGTCCCTTGCACGCACAATTCACAATAGGGTTTGTGGTCCCATGAGAATCTAACATCACCACCAATGTGACAGGAGGCAGAGCTCAGGCAGTAATGCTGGCTTTCCCACCACTCACCTCCTGCTGTGTGACCCAGTTCCTAGCCGGGGTCGGGGACCCCTGCTTTAGTCCTCCGAACTAGCCATATGTGGCTAGTAGAAGAGGAATGAGATCTGAAATGTGCGTAACCAGAAGCCAGTGCATGGAAAATTCTTCCAGTCATCAACTGTGTACAATTATGTTTGGTTCTCATCGATTTCCAGTCAAAACAGAAGTTCTCTTTTGTCAGTAACATGCTCAAAACTCAGCAAGTACAATTATAAATGCACTTTTCATGTTTTTCTTTAATGATGGAAATTGCACAAAATAGAATTTATCAGATCCCATGAGTACAAATTTGCAGCAGAGCAGAAGATAGCCAGTATGTCTATGTGAGAAGTTACACGTTCTCTACATCCCAACCTATTGGTTTACATCTAGCATATCCAATGCATTTTGTCCTGAGGAAGTCTCCTGGTTCCAGATGAAAGAGAATACAAAATTGTCAGCAATACAGCAAAACAGCCTGAAGAAACAAGTGACAAATTCCTACACATTTATCAGGAAGTCAATACATGTGGAGTAAGAATAACTGGATTACACAATTAAGTAGCACAATACAAAGTGTAGCAGTCCCCACCTTGCGGATGCCTGAAACAAAACCCTACATATACTACACTTTTGCCTATACATACAAACCTATGATAAAGTTTAATTCATAAATTAAGCACATGAAGAGATGAACAACAATGACTAATAATAAAACAGAACAATTATAACAATATACTGCAATAAAAGTAAAATAAGGATTACATGATCCCAAGCACTGTGAGACGGCAGCAGTCAATCTGATAGCCAAGACTGCTGCTAAGTGACTAACGGGCAGGTAGCGTCTACACCATGGATATGCTGGACAAAGGGGTGATTAATGTCCCAAGTGGGACAGAGCTGGACAGTGTGAGATTTTATGATGATATTCAGAACAGCAAGTAATTTAAAACTTATGAATTATTTATTTATGGAATTTTCCATTTAATATTTTCAGACTGTGGTTGACCTCGGGTAACTGAAACCACAGAAAGCAAAACATGGATAAAGTGGGGTCTACTGTAGGGGCAATGTTTAAAAGCATTTGAATTGCTCTTGTATGCCTTACTTTGAGATTAATTGTATAAGTTTTCAGAATTATTGATCATATCGAAATTTAAATTTGATGTGAAGGAAGTATCTTAGGAGAAGCTAAAAAATACATAAATGAACGAAGACTGGAAGAATCTTCAAGATGTTAAAAACTCATATAACCACAGAAATAAAAACTCCAATTGTTAAAGTCATAGTAAAGAGAAGGAAGCAAATCATAATAGGTCAAAATATAAAGATAAAATGACCACTGAAAGGATAATAAAGATTGTGAAAATCAGGACACTCTCAAACAGAAACCAAAAGCGGAAGAGAGATGAAAGCAAGAGCAAAGTAAGACACAATTTGTACGATCAACAGAACTGGCACTAGGGTCAAGAGCAGCTTCACTTTGCAGAATTCATCAATTTGAAGAACTTCTGTGATCTTTTGTGATGGCCTGTTACAATGAACAGTAGTTTCATTTATATCTGTTCCACTAAAAACCACTGCTTTTTCCAATATCGTGATCACAGTAATGTTTACAAAGAATCAAACAGAACATAAGAAGGACTAAAGATACTTCTGAAACAGATATTAAAAAATAATAATGATGGCCAAACTGCTGAGATGGTGGCTGGCCTCTCTGAAGACTAAGGGCCTGGTGCTGTTTTGGTTGTAAACTGTGTTCCATTAAGTGGTACCTCAAATGAACCGGACACTAAATACTCCTCCATTATTATAGATTCTGCATTGGATGTCACAGACATTGATCTGTGGGAAATACTGTGTGCTACTCCTGAGAAAACCCTATGAGAAATTTTAAACTTTTTTGCTGACAACTATTTATGACTTTATTCAACAAAGTGAAACAACATTTGGACGACTGTTGCCTGTTCTTGAATGTCATTCATGGTCAGCCACACAAAAACACTGCTATTACAGAGAACAAAGGGCCCCACCTGCTCTTTAAAAATATTTGTAAATGGCGCAGTGTGTGTGGTGGGCATCTCGTTCCCTTAAAACTGTTGGAGAAAAAGCTGCCTCCACAATGCTGAGGTTGTTGATGACTTTGCCATTCTGCTACATTAAATGTTTTCTTTTCAGGTTTGAATTGTAGATGTGTTATTATCTGTACATCACATATGCCAAGCTGGATCTTCCTTTAAAGCTTTTAGGGCTGATAAAATGCCTTGGCCATTACGAAGCTATTTAAGACTCACACGTGAGGCCAAAAATATTTGAATGACACTGATGTACATTTTTTAAAACTCAGAGGAGAAACCTGAGAAGAAACAAAATGGAAAAAAAAAAAAAAAAAAATTAGGCCAGGCACGGCGGCTCACGCCTGTGATCCTAACACTTTGGGAGGCCAAGGCAGGCGGATCACGAGGTCAGGAGTTCGAGACCAGCCTGGCCAACATAGTGAAACCCCGTTTCTACCAAAAATACAAAAAAAGTAGCTGGGCATGGTGGCAGGTGCCTGTAATTCCAGCTACTCGGGAGACTGAAGCAGGAGAATCACTGGAACCCACGAGGCGGAGGTTGCAGTGAGCCAAGATCACACCATTGCACTCCAGCCTGGGCAACAGTGTGAGACTCCATCTCAAAATAAAAAAAAAAAAATTATTCAAAAAGTTGATAAAGCTTCAATATGCCATTTAAATTATAATTCGAGAAGGCATTCTAGAATGTTTCTGTAAAACAAATAAGAAATTACAGGTTCTTGAATTGGATGTTTATGAAGGCTACATTATTTTATTATCTTTGAATTTATACATTAAGGAGATGAGAGGAAACTCAATTAAAAACTAATGGAAACAAAATTAAAATATGAGTGAAGAAAAGCAATAGAAATTATCCTGACATTTAGAAGCAAATTATAACAAAACTAATATTCAGTTCATACTAAATGTGGTAATTCATTAAAAGGAAGAGTGATCCTCCTCATAGAAATAATGCATAGGTTCTCGGATTGTCTGTAAAGGAGTGAATTAAGTAAACATATTGGAAAGATATTCAAATTTCTGGCTGATTTGAAACAAAATACTGCCATCAGTGGAGGTCTTGTAAAACTCAAAATACATTTCCACAAGAGGACATTATTGACAAGCAAGTAATGAGTATCAGTAATTCATAGCTGATTTAATATTTAGTCATTACACCAGAAAACTTAACCCTTAGAGCACACACACGTCAAAAATTTGAGAGTTTTCCCCAAGTTGATGAAATTTTGCATAACACGGCCAACAATGGCTTGGGATCCTGAAAATAACCTTTCTTATCTATCAGTAAAAACTATTTTAATCCACCATGCTAGAAAAAAGACTGACTCCACTTTCTATTCTCTCACTAGAAATTATTACAAAATTGTTGACATGTGACAAGGCAACAGATGAGAATGCACTTAAAATCTTAGGGAAAACATGTCATAGTGGTATGCCTAGAAGTTAATTTTTTTGAATTAAGCTGTTTTCCCAGATTTGGTGAGATTATTTTGGATTTTGTAGATTTTCTTTTTTTTTCTTTTTCTTTTTTTTTTTTTTTTTTTTTGAGACAGAGTCTTGCTCTGTCACCTGGGCTGGAGCGCAATGGTGTGATCATGGCTCTCTACAACCTCCGCTTCCCAGGTTCAAACAATTCTCCTGCCTCAGCCTCCTAAGTAGCTGGAATTACAGGTGCATACCACCATGCTTGGTTAATTTTCGTATTTTTGATATAGACGGGGTTTCACCATGTTGGCCAGGCTGGATTTGAACTCCTGACCTCGTGATCCACCCGCCTCAGCCTCCCAAAGTGTTGGGATTACAGGCGTGAGCCACCGCACCCAGCCAGATTTTCAATTTATATAATTTGTTATTTGTTTTCTCATCCTAAATAAATACTCATTTTAAATTGAATTTTCTCTTTACAGTTCTGTATGATTTTTCTCGAAGACAGCCCCCATAGTTGTAGAATCTTCAGCCTCTGCACACGCTGGGCTTGCCACCAGGCAGGGTGATGAAGAGAGAGGCAGGAAGACTCTGCTCTCATGCCCCCTTCCCAAAGATGCCCTCCTTGACTACCGTCCTGAAATCCCACGCAATACTCGTCACCCCCTCATTCTGCTTTCTGTTTGTTCCTTGCACTTAGCACTGCTTAAATCAATGTTCTGTTTGTTTGATGGCTTGCCCATTATTTTTCCTCTGTGACTAGAAGGGTAGCTCCATGAGAACAGAGACATATTCTTTCTCAGGATTGTATCCCCAATGCCTAGAGCACTTTGGGATATACATTAGGCATTTAATACATATTTGTAGAACCAGAGATTGCAAGATGGAGATTGCAAGATCTAACCAGATCTGGGCTTATGTAAGTGCATACACATGCACCTAATGAGCCACACAGGCCCATAGGAAAAACCCCAGGGACCTCAGTTCAGGTTCTAGTTCCTCCCCTTACCTACTGAGCCACCTTTACCAAGACTCCAACACTTTCAAGTTCCACTATCTTCACTGGAAAATTAGATTAACAGTGATACTTATCTATTCATGCCCACTGTCTCAACAAACCTGTAAGAATGTAACATGTAAAATGCTGACAGATTATCAAGTCTAGCAGTGCCAAGAGAACAACACAGTCTATAAGATAGAGCCTTCCAAAGAGGGAGGAAGTACTGGACCTCAGCATGACTCCTGGGTCTTACAGAGATTGGAGAGCTGGGGCCCTTCACTTTTCACTCTCCTCCCCAGTGACATTGGGCTTCTTTAGTGCTTCACTTTAAGTCTGCTGTTTCCTCTATCTGGAATTTCCACAACCCTGCTTCCCCCACACCAGCAGTTCCCAACCTTTTTGGCACCAGGGACCAGTTTCCTGGGAGACAATTTTTCCACAGATGGTGGAAGGGTGTGTTTTTTGGGGTGAAACTGTTCCACCTCAGATCATCAGGCATTAGATTGTCATAAACAGTGTTCAACCTAGATCCCCCAAGTGCACAGTTCACAATAGGGCTCACGCTCCTATGAGAATCTAGGAGCTCATCTGACAGGAGGTGGTGATCGTGACAGTGCTCCTCCTCTGTAGCCTGGTTCTTAACAGGCCACAGACAGGTATGGGTTCACAGCCTAGGGGTTGGAGAGTGGGACTGGGGACCCCTGCCTCACACCATGCACCCACTCACACATACTCACCATTGGCTCTGAAAGTAAGAAGCCCAGAAGCACGGCCCAAATTTCTGGTCTTCTCTTGAACCAAATGCCTACTCAGTTGCCCACTTCTATCCCGAAGATCACACACCCGAAGCCTCGTCCCTCTTTAATTGTGGCTTCCTCTAACAGAACTGTTTGTGCCCATGTGCTCCCAGGCCCTCTCCTCCCGCTTTTGGCATCCCTCATTCCTTCAGCAATACCCCAGAGGATCTTGTTCATGTTAGTGACTAGAAACCTAAGGGTTGCATGGGTGGAGAAGGAAAACGGTTGTCTCCCATGGAACAGTTGGAAGTTGACCTGGATAGAGACACTTCGTGTACCATGGCAGCTCCCCTAACCATTTCTGGGGTCATATCAATCACTTCTGTGCCCTCTGTGTTGTAAGATTCTTCAAGTTCATGAATCATTTCATAACATCTCAGCAAATTTAGGAGCAATGATAATAATATTTTATACATAAAAACAACAGTTTAATTCAATACTTGAGGAGACCATCAGTGAAGACATGCATTTTGGGTAAAAATGTTGAGCCATTATTTAAAATTTAATATTACAAAATGCCTCTTCCATCACTCCACCATTCAGAATCTCCCTCCTTCCCCAGTAACTTACAATCACTGGCCTATGTATGTTATAACAAATACTAGGTATAGATCAATGGGAAAACAGAAAAAAGGCAAACTGACTTTTTGGAGCTAATTAACAAGAAAATATAAATGATAAACTATGTTTCTAATGCAAGGATCACCAGGGAACACCACATCACTAGAATGATGCCAAGCTTCTTATCCCATCATTCAAGACCTTGGAGATTCTGGCAAGATCAGAACTGCTCAGCTAAACCCAACCCCTGTTGCTGACCTAAAGAATTATAAGCAAATAAAATGTTTATTTACATCCTTATATTATGGGATGGTTTGTTACATGGCAAAGGCCAATACCCTTACAAAGCGATTTAAAAAACAACTGTCAAAAGACAGCCATAATTGTTAGAAAGTTCTGCCTTCTCTCAATCCTCAATATAACCCTGAGTCATCTAGTTGTTTTGAATGTAATATCCCTTTCTCCATTTTATTAGTAAATCCAAATATTAAAAATTTCTGCTGATGTTGCCCACTGTACAATTACTTTTGCCACCGAGGTAAGTAGTTATTCTCTCTTGTATGCCTCTAGTGTATGTTAGAACTAAATTGTCATACGGTTTTATTCATCTTAGTGTCTTTAGTACCTAGCACAGTGGAGGGCATGCAAAGGAACACACACGGATGTTCTCCAGGTGAATAAACAGCATAGTGGTGAATTAAATGAGCTTTAAACTAAGAAAGTCCTCATTTCAAATCCCAGCTCTACTACTTACTAGCTGTGTGACTTGACTAACTGTGACTTGGCTGTGTAGAACAAAAAACCTAAATGGTGCAGTAAATGAGATGTGGTAATTTTCTCTCATTAAAACAAGTCTGGGGTACACAACCCAGGGCTCTGCTGGTGGCTCCATGGTAATAAAGGGCTCAGATTTTTCTATCATTCTCCTCCATCACTCTTTGCCTGTGATTTCCATTCTCAAGCTCACCTCCTGTTCTAAGATGTCTGGAATGCTCCAGCTATCACATCATTGTCCCAGGCAAGAAGGAGGAAGTAGAGAACATGAGAAAAAAAAAAAAAAAAAAAGATGCTTCTCTGAGGCAAGTTATCTCCTTTCACCTTTCATAGAGCCCTCTCCCCTTAGAAATCTCAACCATGAATTTTTTTTTTTTCAGATGGAGTTTCACTTTTGTCACCCAAGCTGGAATGCAATGGCGCAATCTTGGCTCACTGCAACCTCCACCTCCCGGGTTCAAGTGATTCTCCTGTACTTTTATAATTGGGCACATTGTCACACCCAGCAATCGATAGATCTTCTATCATTAAAGAAGAAGGAAAAATACGTATTGAAAGAAACTTGGAGTCTCTGCAGCATTCAACTCTTTTGAGCCTGAATTTTCCCATATATGCAAGGGGAATATGAATTTTCCAAGGTGACAGTGAGAATTTTATGAGATAACTCACATTCAGTGCCTAGCAGAGTGTCTGCCCCACAGTAAATGCTCAACAAATGGTAACTATTCTTAATATGAACTTTTATGAAAAGTTTCTAGCCACTATCTCTCCTACTTGACTATATTTTAAATGTCTTAGAAGGTCTGAGCCATCCATAGTTATTAATCTTTCTTTTTCCAGTGCTGAGCACCATGCCTGGTACGTAGTAGATGCTCCTAAAATAATTCTTCAAATAAAGTCAAATGAAAGTTAAGCATTGGAAATACACACACAAAAAACAAGAATCTGCTAAACTCTTCTACCTCCCAACACAAATGCATATCTGGACAAATTGTGGCTGTGTGTTTGGCAGTGGGCTTTGCAGACAGCAAGGCTGAGTAGAGAATTTAAGTACAATCAACCCTCAAATGGCCACTCAGCAAATGAAGGCAGGCTATTCAGTTACCATAATTTAGTGCCATCTGTTACAGAGAGTCCCGAGAAACTCAAGTCAATATGAATGTTTAATAAACAAGAAGCATGTAGAAAAAGAGCAAGGAATTATGGCCATCTTGGTAGCCTAAAGGGGCTGTTCATTCAATTTCCTCTCCTTAAAGCTCATTCCCCTGCTTTATTTCTTCCACCTGACATAGGCAAACCTTTTGACCTTTCTCAGCCACCACTGGGTCTCAGAAACTGGAGGATTTACAACTACCAACAAGAGAAGAAGACTTTCATAGCATTCCGCTGGTGACGAAAGAGTCCAAACCAATTCACATGGCATCCAGAGCCTTGCTGATCTGGCCGTGCCAGCCTTTCCAGTCCTGGGCACTCTGCTAGCCCCGGAAAACAGGCACTTAATCCACAAACAACCTTAAAAAATAGGTGTCATTTTTTCATATTTTAAGAATGAGAACACTGACACTCAAAGAAGTTACATGACATATTATTTAGGATCATTTAGTTGAATCAAATAGAAAAACAATGCAAACTTAAACCAAAAAAAATAAAAATAGTCTACATAACTAGGAAGTCTAAGGGTGGTGTTGACCTCATGAAAAGCTAGATCCTGGGGTTCAACCCTTGCATCAAGACTCAATCATTCTTAATCTCTCAGCCTTGCATCGCCTCTGCTTGGCTTTGTTCTCAGACCCCAGAGAATTCTCCATCCCCAGAGTGTCAAGATTGGCCCCAGCATTTCTTCATCTACATGGATATTACAGCCCATGAGACCACAGAAAGAGAAGGTCTTTTTCTTGATTGCACTGCCAAAATCTTGGGAAGAAATCTGATTGGCCCAGTATGGGGCACATGCACAACTCTGCACTAATCATTGTGGCCAAAGAAAAGGTTAAACAAGCCCCTAGGACCAGCTGGGGGCTCAGTAAATTCAATCCCACACAGACCGTGTGCGTTAAGCAAGATTAAGGTAGAATGGGAACACAGTTATTCTCCCAAAGTCTAAAAGTAAATGCTAACCTCATTTACACAAATCAGAGTCAGGTAGTAGAGTTAGTCTTTCATGTTGGTTTACCTTTCTCTAAAGCTACAGCTCTTTTTATTACAACATTTTGATGCCAGAGTCATTAAAGACTGAAAAGCTAAAGTATTTTTAAATGAAATCACATTTTGTGGATGCTTACTTTTGCCAGACACTGTATAAGACTTTCTTTTATGTGTGTTGTTTCGTTTAAGTCTCACTATCGTGAAGTGTAGAGAGATGAAGGCACCTATCCAAGGTCAACAGCTAGCATATGAAGGAGCTGGGATTCACCTGTCTATTTCCACTTGACAGACACCTTAACCCCCATGGGATCCTCCATTTCCTAGGTCTGCTCAGCACTAAGTACAGAAGTAGTTTAGGTGTAATTTCAGCCCTAACCACTGCCTGAATCCATCTAAGCAGAGAAGGAGTTACTTCAAGCACCTTATCATCACCACTGGGAGGGAGTTTCCATCTGCCTCAGCCCACCATGCAGGATGTAGGTCTGGGCCCCTGAATGGCTGCAGCCACTGCAAATCCCGCCATATCTGACCAGGGGATGAACTGGATTATTGTGTTGGCTTCCTGCCCTACTTGAACTCGAACTAACATTAGAGCCATGTTCTGCAGCCCAGCATACTTGCATAAGGCTGGAACAATTGTGAGGCTCTGACTGGCCTCTTCTCACAGGGGTCAGATCCTAAGGCTTATGCTCCCAGTCTTTAATTAGGGCCATAACCTGCAGTTAAGGGAGTTTCTCAGAAATAGAATCTGCCAGAAGACTCATCTCCCTCTGTCCCTGTGATCACCCTAATCCTCCATCTTTCCCTGTATCTACACCCTTTACAATTAAACTTTTAGCTCCTCCTATCAAGAAGTGGAATCTATTTCCCATCTCTCAACTCTGGGCTGACCTTATGACTTATTTTGCCAATGGAAGGCAGCAAAAGTGACCTTTTGACAATTCTGAGCCAGATCTCAAAAGGCCAGCCTGGTGGGAGGAGAGAGATCATGTGGGAAGGAGACCCCTATTCAAGCCAAGGCCATCCTAGCCCAGCCCACAGCCAGCTGATCCCTGCAAGCCAGCCCACACAAGATTAGCAGAGCTGCCGACGTGAACCACAGCTGATTGCAGATAGATGCTTGAGCCCAGCAGAGAGCAGAAGAAAAGCAGGCTGACTTCTCAACCCATTAACAGCAATTAATGCCTTAAGAAGTTGAGTTGGGGAAAAGTTTGTTATGCATTAATAATAAACCAATATGTTAACCAATACAACCTCCAGACATCCTGGGAACTTTCAGATGTCAAACTCAGCTGAGGTCAAGCTGAGGTCCCCAAAACCCTTTGGACCTATTTGAGCATCCGGTCAGTTTCATTCCTCACCATGGGTCACACCGTGCCCTGAGCCCATTCACTTTCCTTCTGCTCCCAGGTGAGTTCTTAGCAGGGATATCAGTGGGGCCTGACCAAGTTATGATGTTCTAAGCCCTAAATGGCCATTAGTAGAGCACATGAAAAGGGCAGAAGATGCATTCCTCGCCAGCAAAGGACTTGCCATCCACTTGAAGACACATGATGCACATCCAAAAGGCAATCAACAAGCAATCACCACACTCTACCTTGTGTAAATTTTAGTGACTGTCAGATAAAATAACTACCAGCCAGTCTGTCTCAAGCATTGAACTGGAACTTCTTGAGGGCAGGACCAGGTCTAGATTCTCCACAGATCCCCAACAACTAATCTCTGCCTAGACCAGAGCAAATACACAATGCACATTTCCTGAAGGAGTGAATAGCACAAGGCAGCTGCCTCCAGTGCTAAACTGAATGGTTCAGACAACATGGGTCAAGAATTTCAGCAGATGTTTGGTATGTACCAAGGACCAATAACTTCATTAGATAAATGAAGGAATGAATGAATGAATGTGTGCATCACACCTTATGGACATTTATTATCTGTGTGAACAGCTATGGAAAGAGTAGGGGAGGCTGTGTCAGATGACCCAGACTCCCTGCTCACTAACCAGGCTCAAGAGCCTTACTCATTTGCCTCAGTTTCCTCACCCTACGAAATGAGACTGAGTCAAAGGATTTCTGTGAGAATCAAATGCCATCATTTGTTTCTCTATCAAGCGAACAATAATCAAGCATCATAAGGCATTACATTCTGGTAACGTGGAGACAATAAGGCATGGCCCCAGCAGTAAGTGGCTCCAAGCCCAGGGCAAGGCCCATCTTCATGGAGACGAAAGCAATGAACCTGTAAGCAGCAAAGCACAGCACAGCCAAAGGAAGAGGAGCCATAGCCAGAGAGAACTGAACCCATACAGCACTCGCCAAACATTCAGGCCATGCAGGGCTCAAACTAGTGCACAAAGAAGGCTGTGATAAGAAATGCTGACCTCAGTCACCTGCTAAGCCCCAGCTCCGTGCCAGTATGTGTCTTCTATATTGGTTCCCGGCTGTTATTTTCCACCTCTCTTTCTGTGTGCTTCTCATTTACTTTTGTCACAGTCCGTGGTGTTTTTCCATTACCTTGCTTCACAGGGCCGCCCCAGGTGTTCTAACCCGTGACCCTCAGTGACCCTGACAGAATAAGACAGTGTGCACAAGCCTAGCCTAGATTCCAGCTTCCTGTTGATGCCGGAGCCCTGCCCAGGAGAGCTATATGCTCCTTTGAGTTTTACCATCAGGTTTTAAATCAGTGATAAACAGTGTTTGAATCTCAGCTCTGCCACTCAGCCACTTGCATGATCTTGGACAATTTCCTTTATTTCCCTGATTTTGATGTCCTCATTTGATAAGTGAGATAATGATGCCTATATCCTTGAGTTTAAGAAGAATAACCATGCTTTGTGAGTATTTCTTATGTGTGCTTGCATGGTTCTACATATTTTAATGTTTTCACTGTATAGTTCTTGTAACAGCAACTATTAGCACTTCCATTTTACAGATGGAGAAATTGAGGCATAGGGAGGACAGTTGCCTTACCCGTGATAACAAACAGCTAGCAGTCACAAGCCAGGAGTTTAAACTCAGACAGGGCGCTGGGGGCCACCTATAATCCCTCCTCACACTCTGTATTTCGTTTTCTGAATTCAATGAGTCAAGGGCATAATCCTGTGTCCAGTGCATACCAAGTACCCTAAAAATAGTATGTATCATTCAATTCCCAAGGCACATGGGAAAAAGTACAGTTGTTTGGACTCACATTTAGTAAAATCTCTACTCCATGGATGAGTGATATAAGACAGAGACAGAAGATTATGATGACCCAGAAAACTAACTTCTAGAGCAGTGGTTCTCACCTGTGGATAATACCTTACCCTTCCCTGTGCCCCCTGCCCCCTGCCTAGGGGACATTTGGCAATGTCTGGGGACATTTTGGTTGTCATAATTGGAGTGAAGGTGCCCCCTGGCAACCAATATGTATGTATGTATAGACCAAGAATTCTGCTAAACATCCTCCAATGCACTGGACAGTACCCCACCAAAAAATATTATTATTATCTGGACCCAAGTCTCAATTATGCCAAGGCTGAGAAACCCTATCCTCAAACACTGAGTCTGGGCCATGTTCTCTAATGTGGGCTAACTGCTTAGTACCCAGTACCTACAAACAAATACTTACTTCACAAATACATACATAAATACATGAATGGATATATTTTGTTAACTCTAAAATGCTGTCAATTGAACAATGTACCATCAGTTCAAAAGAGATTGCTCAGAAGAGGGAAAAAAACCACCACATTGACTGCAAGACACATCCCCAAATCAGAAATGTTAAAATGTGCATGGGGATTGGTGGGGGATGTGCAGCTTAGAATTGACTGAGTAATACTTACCTGGCAGGGGAGACACCATGATCACAAAGGTGGTTTTCCCAGGGCAAGACTCATCCATTGCACTCCAGATGTGACCTCTATGATTTCCCCAAATGTGAGAAACTTGACTGTATAATTTGTGATTATAATTTTTTAATTAAAAAATAAATGAGTGAATAAATAGAGAATACTCCTTATGTTTTAAAATCCTCAGATCAAAGAAGTGATCTTTCTACTGTGGGCTTCATTCAGCCTCCGGACAGGCAACATAGTAGAGTGTCAAGATGATAAGATGTTATCTTGAGCCTCAAGTGATTGGTAGCACATTGAGTTGAGAAGGATTATAAGCCAATGTCGCAATTTAGCAGAATAAGTATCCTTGAGTGATTAGTGATGTCTGCATAGACATGGGAGAGCAAGTAATGTAATGCATGACACATACCTGCTGTCTTTATTATAGTCAAAAGTACAGTGAACTTTGAGTCACACATTTAGATTTGAGCCTCAGCTTACCCACAGAAGATCTGTTCCTTTGGGTATATCAGTCTACTTCTCTGAAACTCCATCTATTCTTCTATAAAATGTGGATAACAGATCTTAGTTCAATTACATGGTTGTTTTAATGAGCTCTTTTGGTTATAATAAAAATGCTAATTGTTAACATTATATTAAAATGAGATAATCTATTCTGGTCCTTCTTAAACTGAAGTTTTCAGGTAATATCTGAAAACTGTTCTATTTTCTATATTTCAAAATGCACTCTGAATATCACGTAGTGATACACCCTCACAGGCCATTAGTTAATCAGCACAGCGTGTTGTGTAGTAGTTTGTTGAGGTGACATTTTTTGGAGAAGAAGTTGTAGGCCATTCTTTGGGCTCATCTCTAGCTTTTTAATATCTAGATATCAGGGCTGGGGATGTATTTCATAGTAGGAAATTGACCAGAATAAATTACTAGTCTAATTAATGCCCTTTCCTAACCCCTTTTTTTTTGAGACAAAGTCTCACTCTGTCACCCGGCCTGGAGTGCAGTGGCATGATCTCCGCTTACTGAAACCTCCACCTCCTGGGTTCAGGCAATTCTCATGATTCAGCCTCCCAAGTAGCTGGGTCTACAGGCACATACCACCATGCCCAGCTAATTTTTGTATTTTTAGTAGGGATGGGGTTTCACTATGTTGGCCAGATTGGTCTCAAACTCCTGACTCCAAGTGATCCGACTTCCTCGGCCTTCCAAAGTGTTGGGATTACAGGCATAAGCCATCGTGCCCTGCCTCCTAACTCATATTAGAGCCTTCCAGGGATGGAAGATAGTGTGTTCACAGTTAAGGAGGATACACAGGGAGCTATTATAGTTTGTCTCTCAATGTGTCCTAATGAACTGTGCCTCCAATATGCACACCCTTGCGTAATTCTTGCCCCTTGAATCTGGGCTGGTCCTGTGACCTTAACCAATAAACGTGGAGGAAGTGACACTGCATGAACCTGGGCCAGAAGAAACATTGCAACTCCCTGCTTGGTCCAAGAACATTCTTTCTTGGGGAAATAATATTCCACGTAAGCAGTTTAACCACCTTAAGACTGCCATGATATGAGGAAACCCAAGCTAGCCAAGCAGAGAAGCCACATGAAGACAGAGGTCCGCCCAGGCCCCAGGTGTTCTATTCATCCTAACCAAGGTGCCAGACATGAGTGAAGACGCATCTTAGATGTCTAGCCCAGTTGAGTCTTCAGGTGACTCCAGCCCCAGCTGCCATCTGACTTCAACCATGTGCAAGACCAAGCAAGACCCACTCAGTTATGACCTGAACAAGTTCATCCACATAACAATGAGAGATCGTAAGAAATTATCACTTTATGTCACTACATTTTGGGGTCACTTGTTACTCAATATAAGGTATCTGAAATTGGAGCCATGTTGGATGTTATCAATAGGAGAAAGACAGCCCTGTAAACTGCTTGTCTCTATCCTTATAGTAGAAACAGTATGAAGGGAGGGGTGGAGAATAGGTAGATAGCCACACTTCCAATTAACCATAAACTTAATAATTTAGACACTGAGTTCAAGCCTCTCAATGGCTACAAAAATCCCCAGAGACCTTCCAATCTTGCTATAAACTGAATGTTTGTGTCCCCCCAAAAATTTATGTTAAATCCTGGTCCCCAGTGTGATGGTGGTGGGGCCTTTGGGAAGTGGTCAGATTATGAGGGTAGAGCCCTTATGAATGGGGTCAGTACCTTTATGAAAGAGGCCTCAAAGAGCTGCCTTGCCCCTTCAACTATGTGAAGACACAAAAACAAGGAAGCAGACCCTTGTCAGACATTGAATCTGGCAGTGCCTTGATCTTAGACTTCCCAGCCTCCAGAAGTGTCAGAAATAAATTTCTAAGCTGCACAGTTTATGGTATTATGTTATGTATAGCCACTTGAATGGACTAAGACAAAGCTGAAGACTAGACACTAAGAACCTGAGTCCAGCAGCTTCAACTGCCTCTAAATACTCACCTTTCCACACTCGTGCAGGAAAACAACAACAACAAAAATAGAAGAACAAGAGCTTCTACTTCCCCTCTGCCTTCCAAATCTTATGCTCTAATTGGCATCCAGAACTTTGGCATCCAGAACTTGACCACAAGGAAGTCCAGGAGAGGTAGATTCTGATTTTGATTTTCCTAGCTCTTCAGTACAAGAAGGCACACAGAGGGAAGTAGAAATAGGCACTCAGGACTAAACAGAATTATCCAGAGGATCCTTGCTGTAATCGAGGTATGTACAAATACTATGCATATAGAAAACAAGGTGGGGGGCAGAAGACAGTGAGCTGGTTGGCATTTGGTGTGTACAAGCCAGCCCCCAGTATTCTAAGAAGGTGTTTAGAAAAAGACCTAGAAAACACTTCTAAAAAAGGTGTTTATCAGAAAAGATGGATAGACTTGGACTCAGGTCAAGTAGGATTTTACTAGAAATTTTGGAAGAAAGGGCTATCAAAGCAGAGGAGAAAGTTGCTGCAAAGAGGTGGGAGCATGGAAGTAGATGTATTAGTTTGTTAGGACTGCCATAACAAACTGCCACAATCTGAGTGCCTTAAACAAAACGTATATATTTTCTCACCAGTTCTGGAGGTTAGAAGTCCAAAATTAAGGTGTCCACAGAGTTTATTCCTTCTGAGGGCTGCCAGGGAGAACCTTTTCCAGGCGTCTCTCCCAGCTTCTGGAGTCTGCCAATAGTCCTTAGTGTTCTTTGGCTTGTAGATGCCTCACCCTAGTCTCTGCCTTCCTCTTCACATGGCCTTCTCCCTGGATGTGTGTCTGTGTCTGAATTTCCCCTTTTCCTAAAGACATCAGTCATATTGGATTAGGGGCCACCTAATGACTTCATTATTACTTGATTACCTCTATCAAGACCCTATTTATAAATAAAGTCACATTCTGAGGCACTGGGAGTCAGGACTTCAACATATCTTTCGGTGGGGACACAATTAAACCCATAATAGAAGATATTCGGAGCGGCTAAAGTGTAACACAGAGGATTAATAGGAGATGAAGCTAGAAAGATAAGTTACTTTCTTATCCTAATATTATAAATAAACCATGCAAAGGATTGTAGACTTTATGATCAGAGAAACACAAAATGGTTTTAAGCAGAAGAGTCATGTGACTAGACCTGGCCTTAGACTGGACACCATGATAGAAGCAAAAATTGAGGTAATTTAAAAAAAGAAGAAGCGGATACCAGGTGTATTACTCCGTTCTTATGCTGCTAATACAGACCTACCCAAGACTGGGTAATTTATAAAGGAAAGAGGTTTAATTGACTCAGATTAGCATGGCTAGGGAGGCCTCAGGACACTTACAATCATGGCGGAGGGGAAGCAAACACGTCCTTCTCAAATGTGATTTAATTAAACTAAAGAGCTTCAGGAAAAGAAACAATCATGAGAGTGAACAGGCAACCTACAGAATGGAAGAAAATTTTGCAATCTATCTACCCATCTGACAAGGGTCATTATGATATCCAAAATCTATAAGGAATGTAAACAAATGTACAAGAAAAAAACAAACAACCCCATCAAAAGAGGGCAAAGGCTTTGGGAGGCAAAGGTGGGAGGATCACGAGGTCAGGAGTTCGAGACCAGCCTGACCGGTATAGTGAAACCCTGCCTCTACTAAAAATACAAAAATTAGCCAGGTGCAGTGGTGCACACCTGTAACCCCAGCTACTCAGGAGGCTGAGGTAGGAGAATCACTTGAACCCAGGAAGCGGAGGTTGCAGTGAGCCAAGAACGTGCCACTGCACTCCAGCCTGAGCAACAGAGCGAGACTCCATCTCAAAAAAAAAAAAAAAAGTGGGCAAAGGATATGAACAGATACTTCTCAAAAGAAGACACTTATGTGGCCAAAAAAACACGAAAAAAAGCTCAACATCACTGATCATTAGAAAAATGCAAATCAAAACCACAATGAGATACCATCTCATGCCAATCAGAATGGCAATTATTAAAAAGTCAAGAAACAATAGATGCTGGCAAGGCTGTGGAGAAATAGGAACACTTTTACACTGTTGATGGGAATGTAAATTAGTTCAACCATTGTAGAAGACAGTATGGCGATTCCTCAAGGATCTAGAACCAGAATTACCATTTAACCCAGCAATCCCATTACTATGTATATGCCCAAAGGAATATAAATCATTCTACTATAAAGACACATGCACACATATGCATATTGCAGCACTATTTACAATAGCAAAGACATGAAACCAACCCAAATACCCATCAATGATGGACTAGATACAGAAAATGTGGTATATATACACCATGGAATACTATGCAGCCATAAAAAGGAATAAGATCATGTCCTTTGCAGGGATATGGATGAAGCTAGAAGCCACCATTCTCAGCAAACTAACATAGGAACAGAAAACCAAACACCACATGTTCTCACTCATAAGTGGAAGTTGAAAAATGAGAACACATGGACACACAGAGAGAAACAACACATACCAGGGCCAGTCAGGAGATTGGGGGTGAGGAAAGGGAGAGCATCAGGACAAATAGCTAATGCATGGGAGGCTTAAAACCTAGATGACAGGTTGATAGGTACAGCAAACCACCATGGCACACATATACATATATAACAAACCTGCATGTTCTGCACTTGTATCCTGGAACTTAAAGTAAAATAAAAACAAAAATAAACATGTTCTTCTTCACATGGTGGCAGCAAGGAGAAGTGCTGAGCAAACGGGGGGAAAGTCCCTTATAAAATCATCAGATCTTGTGAGAACTAACTCACTATCACGAGAACAACATGAGGGTAACTGCCCTCATGATTCAATTACCTCCCACTGGGTCCCTCCCACAACACGTGGGGATTATGAGAGCTGCAATTCAAGATGAGATTTGGGTAGGGACACTGGCATCCATGTTACCAGGGAGGAGGCTATTTTCAAAGTCAGGGTGAACCTTACACATACATAAAAATTAATTCGACATGGTTCATAAACCTGAAAGCAAAAAGTAAAGCAATGAAACTTCTAGAAGAAAACATAGAAGAGCATCTTCATGACCTTTGGGAAGCCAAAGATTTCTTAAACATGCCATGGAAAGCACTAGCCATAAAAGAAAGGACTGATGAATTGGACTTCATTAAATTAAGAACTTTAAGAACTTCCGTTCATCAAAAGACACCATTAAGAGAGTGATAAAAACAAGTCATGGCTTGGGGAAGATATTTGCAGCATATGTATCTGAAAAAGGACTCAGATTCAGAATACATAAATAACTCTTGCAAATCAAAGACCTATGGATTAATGTAAAATGAGCACACACACGCACACACACAAAAACCTCACAAGCTTAATGGCAATAACAAGTGTCAGTGAAGATGTAGAATAACTAGACCTCACCTACATTGCTAGTGGGAGTGTAAATCAGTTCAACAACTATTTGACAATATCAACTAAAGCTAACCCTAGAAATTCTACTCCTTGATTTTTCCCTAAGAGAGATAAAGACTTACACTGACCAAAAGACGGGTACAAGAGTGTTCATAGAATTATTTATAACAACCAAAACCTGGGAATTACTAAGCGTCCATTAAGAGTATAACAGGCAGGGTGCATTGGCTCACACCTGTAATCTCAGCACTTTGGGAGGCCAAGACAGGAGAATCGCTTCAGTCCAGGAGTTCAAGACCAGCCTGGGCAACATGGTGAAACCTCTTCTCTACAAAAAGTACAAAAATTAGCCAGGTGGGGTGTGGCACATGCCTACAGTCCCAGCTACTTGGGAGGCTGACATGAGAGGATCTCTTGAGCCTGGGAGGTCGAGGCTGCAATGAGCCATGATCACACCACCGCACTCCAGCCTGGGCAGAAGAGCCAGACCCTATTTCAGAAGGGAAAAAAAAGGAAAGAGTACAAATGATAAATCATCTATGTTATATTTATATATATACACTTCTCAGTTGAATAATTCTTAACTAAAATAATCTATTGTTGAACACAATAAATCAAATTTATTTCACAGATAAAACAGAGAAGAAAGAAAAGCTGAACACACAGATGTGTGTCTTGTAGAATTCCATTAACAAGAAGCTCAGAAGCATGTGGAAGCCACCTCAGTGGGAGGTCAGAATCATCACACCTTTGATCATCAACTGAGAAAGCACAGGGAAGGCTGCTGGAGTGCTGGCCTCCTCTATCCTGATCTGGAGGTTGCTCAAGTGTAGACAAATGTGAAAATGTGCTGAGGGAACACTTGGGGTTTGTGCACTTAACTGCGCACAGATGATACCTCAGTGAAGGAAAAGAAAGTCCAGATGAACCAAGAGAAAATCCCGGGGGCATCAGCAGCAGTGGGACAAGGGGCGGGGGCACTAGGCAGCTGTGGAGGAGATGGAATGAGGGGGATTGAAAATCACGCAGAGACAAAGCGGGAAAGTTGAGGGAAGATTCAAGGGTGACTCTTAGTCCTGACAGTAACAATACAGGAGCAAAGAGAGCCTGTGAAAAGCTGAAAGAGTCAGGGTCTCACCAGGGTCTCAATGATGGGTTGGATTTTGCTTGGGAGATTGGAGGTCAGACAAGGCACCAGGTCCTGGAAAATGAAGACGAATGCAAACAGGGGTCAAAAGCTGGGGCAACCACAGCCCATCACGCCCACCACTGAAGGAAGTTTACTCCAGCTCGTTAAAATCTTTCTGAGTTTTTGTGATAACAGTCAGAAGTTTAAAAAAAAATCAGCCAGTGCAGTGGCTCACGCCTGTAATCCCAGCACTTTGGGAGGCCAAGGTGGGTGGATTACCTGAGGTCAGGGGTTCAAAACCAGCCTGACCAACATGATGAAACCCCATCTCTACTAAAAATACAAAAAATTAGCCAGGCATTGGTGGCGGGCATCTGTAATCCCAGCTACTCGGGAGGCTGAGGCAGGAGAATCGCTTGAACCTGGGAGGCAGAGGTTACAGTCAGCCAGTGAGCTGAGATTGCACCACTGCACTCCAGCCTGGGTGCAACAGAGTGAGACTCTGTCTCAAAAAAAACAAACAAACAAACAAAAAAAAACATAGTGTTTGTTTGGCAAAGTGGTGACAGAAAAGGCCCCAGAGTAGAAAAATAGCTACTCTAGTCAAACCTTCCTCCTAGACAGGAAAAAGGTGGGGGGGCAGGGGCAAGGTAGTGGTGATTGTACCAAAAATGCACAATGCTGCATTCTTTCAGGAAAAATGCTCTTTGAATCTGAAAACCACTTTATCACAACTGTCAAAACAGACTCAGGCAGTACATAATTTATAACCCTGGGGTAGCAGCTGGGGAAAAGAAGTCTAAAAGATTGGTTTATTTTTCTTATTAATATTTATTGGCTAAGAAACAGCTACCCCTACTAGACCAGAAAATGGACTTAATTTGAAGCAGACACATTTGATTTGCATTTTTGAGCCTCTGTGGCTGGTTCTTAGACCTGACTGACACAGAGACAGGTGGGCAAATCCTCTGTTCCTCACTCCATCACTCACATCATGGTGGGGACGGAGAATATGGAGATGGAGAAGATATTGGTCCCATTGACAGAGCTCCATATCCAGGAGCTTGTCCACAACACAGACACAGAATGTTGACGCCCAGGGGCAGAAAATGACAGCCTCCATAGGGGCCCTAGGAAAAGCCACAGAAGTCTGAGCCAGCCCAGGGGCTCAGAGGAAAAGAACACACTGGCCAAGCTACACAAGGAAGGGCTGGTAGAACTTCAGGAAAACAGGAAGGAAGGGTGCTTCAGGGAGACGGAGTAGCATGTGCAAAGGTCAGGTGGCATGAACAAAGGCACCTTTTCTGGGGGAATTGACTTTTTTCAAGAACATTATTAAATTTCAGGAACAGTAAACATACATACAAAAACATTTTCTTCCATTGATATTGGAACGAAAAGGAAACTGACAAGAAAAATTGTTGAACTTGCGAGTCCCTTCTAGAGAGCCTGGAAGATGTTGAACCAGGCGTGAAGTGGATTTGGATAACTGTGTCTGCAAACGCATCTCTGTGACACAGGGTGGGGGCTGTGTCCTGGCTTCCTAGTGCCCTGCAGGGTGCATTGGCAAGTCCTATCTGGGTTTGAAATAAGGGACTGCACGCTGCAATATTCTGCACACAGAGCAGGCTCCGTCACCTCCCTCCAGTACCTCACTGCAGCCTGAGAGAAGGTAAGAGCTGGAGTGACCCGCACAGCCAACTACAGGTAAGGATAGTGCTCCAGGCACGGAGGTGGGGGCCCAGGTTTCACTACACATGGAGTGTGGGCTTGGACTCTGTCTCCAGTCTCTCGAGTCCAAATCCAGTATTTTTCAACCCAACATATCCTCTGCCCCACCTCAGCCCCAGTCCTGATCATAAACCCTGGCTTAACAGAGAAAGGACAGAGCTGAGAGGGATGAAGACTGAAGAAAAACCGGGTTGAGAAAGAGAGAGGACGAAGAGAGGTCAGAACTTGGCAGTCGGGAGTCGGAGCAGAGCTCTGGAATCACATGGACTCAGGACGTCTACGGACTCTGTCCTGCCCAGCTGGTGAGCATGGACAAGTGACAGAACCTGTCCAATCTGTGGGAAAGAGAATCATACCAATTCCATCAAGTGTTCACGAGGTGAAGTGAAGCTACAGCAAACACTGCTGATCACTGCTTAGGTGCCAGGCGCCACGCTCGCCCTTTCTCCATCTTATTTGATTGACTCTCTAGGCCATCCTGCAAGGCGGGTTTTATTACCCCATTTTTCAGGTGAGGAGACTAAAGCCTGGAGTGAATACTGTAACCTGCCTGAAGCTAGTCTGCACCGACGGGTTTAGGAGAACTCTGAGTGATGTTAACATGCCCCCTGCATTTAAAGAAGCAGACAAGAGAATCAGAGTCCAGACAAGACATAAAGAAGGGGCAAAGTCTCCCCTCCCCAGGACAAGCCTGACCTGGCAAACTCACTCTCTTGATGCTGACTTTTCCACTTACGCTACTTTCCTTTGCCTTGTCATTTTTTTTTTTCTTTGCTAGGCGTCCAGATGGCTAGAGGGAAGGCTTCTGTTTTTAGGTGTGGTTTTTGAGAAGAGCTTTCAGACAGTTGTCTTAAAAATCTTTTCTGGGAAAACTCACTCCCAGAGTAAAACTCTTTCTTCGGAGGAGAATTGCAGAGCGGTAATGGATTCTGACCTCATCAGCCTTCTGGGCCCAGCCTCACCATTGGCCTCTCATCCCCCAAAACTTATTAAGAACCCAGCCCAGCCCTGGGACACTGGGCTGTGGCTACCAGACAAAGGGGATGGTATCTCTGCCTCTCACTTTCCCAGTGGAAAGCCAAGCAGCAGGACCCCAAAAGGAGAGCTGAAGAGAGGATTAGTTTCAGGCCTGGGTGGCTGCCTGGAGAGAGGGAAGGCTGCCCTTCAGCTCATTGAAGTCAGCTGTGAAAGAGATGGAATGAGAGTGATTTGAAGCCAGACAGAGAGAAAACAGTGAAGGCGAGGCAAGATTTAAGGGCGCCTCCAAAGGAGACCGGGAGGTGTGAGAAGGAGGTGGGGCTGGATTTGGGGGGAAGGGCTGCCTCCACGAGGTACACACCCACTGGAGTGGGTAGAACTGTGTTCCTGAAAAAAAACTGTGTCCAAGTTTTAAGCCTCCAGGTATCTGAGCATGTAACCTTATTTGGAAATAGGGTCCTTACAGATGAAATTAAGTGAAAGATCTTGAGATGAGATCATGTGGATTTGAGGTGAGCCTTAAATCCAATGACAAGTGTCCTGATAAGAGAAAGGAGAGGGAGATTTGAGACACAAAGGGACACAGGGAGGAAGGCCCTGTGGAGGTGGAGGCGGAGGCTGGACGGATGCAGCTCCGAGCCTAGGAATGCCCAGGACTGCCTGCAGCCACCAGGAGCGGGGCCTGGGGCGGCTTCCCCCTCAGAGCCTTCAGGGGGAACCAATCCTGCTGATACCTTGATTTTGGACTGTGAAAGAATGAACTGCTGTTGTTTCAAGCCACCGGTTTGTATAATTTGTCACATCAGCGTAAGGAAATGAGTACACCCACAAGAGGGCCTGAGCCGCCTAAAGCACGTTTCTCTATCAGGTTTCTCACTGGGTTCCCGGGAGCCTCACAGTCCCAGGAGATGAATGAGGTGGTTTGACCCTTTAGTGATGCATTGCACTAGCTCCTGTATGACTAAGAGTGCAGCACCCCGTGGTAAGCTCAGTGGGCTGCAGGGGTGCCACCTGGGTATGGAGGAGCCAATCCTTCCTCCTCCTCCCACCCTTTTGGTCACATTCTCTGCTGGTGAAGACATCCAGGGCTGGGCCAGGCTTTGTGCTGTTCTGAGAGTAAGACCCAGCCATGCAGCTCCCCTCCACTGGAACCTCCAGGGTTTGCAAAGAAAAGAACTCTGGACCGAGCCCTGGTCCACAGCTGGGAGGAAACAATCTGCACAGCGAAGGCCTCCAGCCCAGGCCCCAGGGCAAAACCCTCCATCCCTTTCCCTTTCTCAGGCACATTAGCTCAGGCCGATCAAATGCCCAAAGGGCCGAGAGCTCCTGGATGCAACAGATGAAGCAAGACACCAAACCCCAGCCTCTGCCCATCCAGGCCCCAGCCACACCTGCCATACCTCTTCAGAGCCTCACAAGTACTTTAAGAGGTGGGCAGGAAATTACGTACCAATGTCAATGACAGAGTTCGTTTGTTTGTTTTCAATATTTTGTAGAGAGAGGTTCATTAGTTCATGCTGCCTGAGCTTTGCAGGTGGGGCTCCCTCTACCAGAAGCACCCTTCCTCCTTATGTCATTCAAGTCCTACCAACCCTTCAGTGTGCCCCTTGGCTATTCTATTCATTAGCTATGCACCCCTGGCTGACTTCGGTGTCTCTTGCCAGTGCTCCCTGCTGGCAGATGAACTCTGCTTAGAAAGGCTGAGTCCGTTAGCCAAAGGCACACAGTCAACATTGAAAGAGCCAACGCCAGACTCCACAGCTCATGGGACATGATCTGGGCCCTCACAATTCTCATGCTGTGGGAGGGAAGGAAAAGGAGGCAGGGAAGTGCACATAGAATAAGTTCAGATGAGTTGCCAGAAACCTGAGAGTTCAGCCAAGAAACCAGACTTCCCAATGGCTCCAGGTGAGGTGTCAGGGAGCAGGGCAGTGGAAACACCTGCCCACCAATCAGGGGCAGGATAGGATCCCTGAGGTGACTTTAGAGTAGGGATTGGCAAGTTAGGGCCAGTGAGTCAAATCTGCTCACTTTTAAATAAAGTTTTACTGGGACACAGCCATGTCCATTTATTGATGTATTGCCTTTGGCTGCTTTAGTGATTCAACTGTTGAGTTGAGAAGTTGAAACAAGAGACTTTTTGACCTGGCCCACAGAGCCTGAAGTATTTACTATCTGGTCTTTAACAGAAAAACTTTTGTAACCTCTGTCTGAGAATGAGAACAAATGCCCCTCCCATTAATCTTTCAGGTGGGAGCACCTTGAGCCCATGCGCTTTCTGGTGAGAGCATCTAAAATCCGTGCACCTTCAAGAGGGAGCACCTCCTGCCAGTGCACCTAGAGGCCAGAGCACCTCCAGTCATGCACCTTTAGGTGGGACCAACCAAAGCAAGTACACCAGTGCACCTCCAGGTGGTGCTGCTTTCAGCCTGGCTAACACAGCCTGAGGTCAAGGGGAACTTACTTGAGATTCCTTTTCAGGGGGTCCAGCCTAGAATGGAGATGAGGGCAGCCCAGGTGTGTGTGTTTTGTTCTCTCCAAGATGAGGCAGGAAGTGCAGTGTCCGGTAACCCCATCGGCTCCCAGCTCAGCTCCATCTCTGTCTCTGCCTCCCGTTCCACTGACACTGACACTCCCTCTGGGACCTGATGTCCTCCAGGATAGGATGGGTCTGTTGGCCAGAGCTCTAGGACATTGCTTTCCCTTTTGTCAGGCCACAGATGGCTGAATTAGGGTCAGGTTCAATCCACAACAACCAGAAGATCCAGGCCACATTGACACAAAGAACGGTGTCTTATGCCTGGCACACCTGCAACTGCCTCCTCAAAGCAGGATAATTGGCATCACAGCCCATAATACAGCGATCATTTGTTCATTTATTTCACATGTATTTATTGAACACTTATTATGTGTCAGGAACTGCATTCAGGATATGGTGACAGGCAAATTGGACACACGGAGCTGCCATAGAGTGGAGCCCATCGAGTCCATGGGCTCCTGGACTCAGAGGAAATTAATATTTCACAAGTCAGCCCCATACACAAAATCACAACCTGAGAAGTGTTGACTTAGTTTTGATTTTCTCAAAAGCAGGCTTGAGACAAGGACTTGGATTTACATATTTGTTTGGAAGTTGATTGCAGGAAGCAGGAGAGGGAGAGTGAGGCTGTGATGGAGGAAAGGCCAATCTAGGGAGGCCTCCGTGGGGTTGCTGCAGGGCTCGGTGCAGCTGGAACCTGAGAAGTGGATGGAAAACTCCCAATAGGTGGGACACTCGGGCACCACCCTGGCTCCACCCCACAGCTTTGGGGCACCCCCAGTTGATGACCTCTCCTGCACGTCTCTGTGAGCTGGTTCTCCAGTGAGCAAGCTCTCGGCTTTGTAGGAGAGACAGGGATCCAGCCATACCCATTGACCTCTGCAGCATGAGGGGCATCTGAGTGCTGTGAACTGTCCAGCAGGCTGCAGCTGAAGTCAGAAGTGGACCAGACCACAGGATGTGGACCCCAGCAATGCTGCGAAGGCAAAGGCAAAAGACCAATGAGAGAGGGGGGCAGAGAGACCTGGTTCAGCAGGGTGTCGGGGGAGAAGACAGACCTGCAGCAGGGGCCACTGGAGACAGCTGAAGGAGGAGTGGGCTGTGGGCAGGGAGGAAAGGGAAGAAGAGTCACAGGGGGCAAGGATGGCTGCTGAGGGCATCTGAGATGGGCTGGGCAGGGTGTGCACAGTTGTTGTGGGGACTACTGTCCACATCCTGCCACGTGTCTGCGCGAGAATCTCTCAAACACCTGCCTGGTGTCTGAGTCCTCCCCATTTTCAGCCCACATCTCCCAAATCAGAAACCAGGAACTCCTTCCCATCCTGGGAGGGTGGCCTCACTCGTGGGAGCAGCCATGCCCCATGATGGGGGCATTGTACCTGGTGGTGAAGGTCCCATGCCTGATTCTCTTGCTTTCTTGGAGATACTGAAAGCCACGTGCTCTCCTTCGATAGATTTCTTTCTATGCAGAGGGTGCTCTGTGGTTTGCAACTGAGAACCTTGACTGACAGTTCAGGATTTCATAGATGGGGCAAGAAGTCGGGTTCTGCTCTAAGAGCAGGAGGGAGCCCTTGGGGGGGCTATGCAGGGGAGTGATGGGAGCAGGTGGGTGTCAGTTGGAAGGTCTGCTCAGTGGATGTGCAGGCGGAGATGGGGTCCGCTAGGTGGATGTGCAGGCAGAGATGGCGTCTGCTCAGTGGATGTGCAGGTGGAGATGGGCTGTGGGGGCTTTAGTGGGAGCTTTGCCTTGGTGGCAGTTATGGTGGAGACAGGAAAGTGGACAGAAAGGCATGAAAATAACAAGATCTGTTGATGGATTGAAAATGGGAGTAAGCAAGTGAGGGGTCAAAAATGACACTTTGGAGTCGGACATGCCCTGCCTATGGTGGGTGGCGGGGGAGAGGGTGCCTGGAGAGAGGCATCAGGGAATGTAAGTTACAGGGGATGCCAGTGACTATCATCTGGAAGAGAGAGGGAGGAAAATACAAGTTTGCATACCTGCATAGAAGAGTTAAATGAGGCTGGATGTGGTGGCTCATTCCTGTAATCCCAGCACTTGGGAGGCCGAAGTGGGCTGATCACCTGAGGTTGAGAGTTCGAGACCAGCCTGACCAACATGGAGAAACCCTGTTTCTACTAAAAATACAAAATTAGCTGGGTGTGGTGGTGCATGCCTGTAATCCCAGCTACTTGGGAGGCTGAGGCAGGAGAATCGCTTAAACCCGGGAGGCGGAGGTTGTGGTGAGCCAAGTTCAGGCCACTACACTCCAGCCTAGGCAATGAGTGAAACTCCATCTCATAAAAAGGAAGAGTTAAATGAAGGAAAGAACAGGAATTCATGGGTTTTGTCTCTCACAATCTCAAACTCTAGTCTTGCTTCTCATCCCTCCCTCCCTCGTTTCCTTTTTTCCTTCTTTCTCTCCTTCTTTTCTTCTTTCCTTCTATCTCTTCTTTCCTTCCTTCCTTTCTTTTCATTCTTTTCTTCCTCCCTCCTTCTCTCTTCCTTTCCTTCCTTCCAACATCTTTCCTTCCTTTCTTCCTTCCCCCAGTGGCTCCCCACACAATGTTGTTATGTATGTATGTCGTAAAATCTTTGAGTGACACACCGTCTCAAGGTATCATTTTAACTTTTCCAGAGACAATGGAGTCTGCCAGTGGGCAGCCTCCATGAAGCTGTGGGAGAAAGAACACAGATTAAGACATCACCTCTGCATGGCCAGCTCACAGGGGACCCATCAAGAGCCCATATGGCTGGGATGGGGGGACAAGACCAGGGAGCTCTGTGGAGGTCTCAGAGACCCCCTTGTGGAGTGGGCATTTCTGTGGGAGAATCTCCTCAGGGTAGATGATATATTGTGAAATGACAGAGAGAGAGAGACAGAGAGAGAGAGAGACCACAATTCCCCTGAAAATTTTGGCTCATCCCACAGGACTCCAGTGGCCTTCGATGGTCCTAGCGCATGTGTACATGTTTTTCTCCATAAATATATGAGTGCTACTGGTACAAATGACTTAACAGTTTGCTGACCCTCAAGTCCAAAGTAAATCATTTTCTTGCTTAACATTGGTCACTGGAGAAGAAAACTGTAGAGGCTGAAATATAAAAATATATTTTTATACCCTACAGGCAGGTTCAAACTGGGGTAGAACAAAGGAAAATGCAGCTCCTGTGTATAAAAAGCCAAAACAAATTAACGCAATAAATCTGGAACAATGACAGAAGGCAACTTAATAAAACTTTCCAACAACGGTACACTTTGAACAAAGACACACTGAACAAAGACACCACAGACACACACACACTCACACACACACACACACACACACCACTGCTCCAGAAGGGCAGAGGACCATGGTGAGAAGCTGAGTGAGAACTGGGGGAGTTGGAATGCTGCTTTTGATTTTCCTGATTGTCTTGTTCTGTCCAAGCCACTGAATAATACATCAGTTAGTTTCCTGACCTGTAAAATGGATATATAGACCGCTATGTGACTGTACCAGACAATTAGAAAATAGATTTGAAACCTCATTGGAAGAGCATAAATCCTCTATCAATGCCTAGTGTCTTCATCAATATCACAATCATTTCTATCAGTACTGAAATCTGACAACAGCAACAATAATAATATAGTATCAGTTAACGCATATTAACCGATTTCTATAAGGACTATAAAACTGCTCTTTATGGGTGAAGATAATGAAGTTCAAGAACACTGTGACTTGTCAGGATCAGGGCCGCCATACACAGTTGTTCATGTTGTCCACTGTGCAGCTCTGGGGTGCCATTTACATTTGTCATTATTATGGTTTGGGACACTTTCTCTGCAGTTGGCAGTGAAAGGTTTAAGGGATGGGCAGCGTTTTCTTATTCTCAAAAAGGTGCTGCACAGGCCAGTAGAGGGGCTGGTCGGGAGTTAAATTTAATTTTTTCTGACTCCAACGTAAGAAAAATCAAAACCTTTCCCTTCTCATCCTTTCTTTTCTCACCCTACTCACCTCCCTGCAGCTGTTGCCAAACACCCTACCCCTTGTGCAGCAGCCTGGCTGGCTGGGATTGGGGACAAGGGTCTGCATCCTCCCTGCCAACCATCCCCACCTGGTGAGGCAACGACAGATGCCAGAACAGCCATCTGGGTGGAACCTGGAGAACAGCCAGGCTTGCAACACCAAACCAGGGTGTTGCCAGCTGCTCATAGTGGAGGGAGGTGAGGGGTGCGCTGAACAAGGGTGCAGAGAGAGCTGAGGTCAGCCCACATGCCACTCACCAAGGTTTGCACCCTGATGGGGGGCTACATCTGTCCAAAAGGAAGGGCACCTTTTTTCTAATTTACAAAAATGAAATATATAGGTAGCTGGGTAGCCCAGGGGAAGTGAGGGGCGAGCAAGGAAGAAGATAACAGGCGAGGACTGAGAGAATCCTTGTATTCATGTGGCAAGCATGGCTTGGTGGCTGAGAGCCTGGTCTCAGTGGTTAGAATGCCTGGGGCCAAATCCTCACTCTACCACCTGCTAACTGTGTAAACTTGGCAGCTACTAACATCTGCAACTCAGTTTCCTTCTCTGTAAAGTGGGAACGGTAACAGCTTTTAGTTTCTAGGCCATTGTGAGGCTAACATGAGTGCACGAGGGGAATGTGCTTATCATGTGCTCAGTAACTGTCTGCTATTATGACAGAAGTGTGTCTGGCCCAGGGCCCACACGATGAACAGGACAGAGCCTGGAAGGCTGGCTCACCAGTGACAGTAAACATCAGCTGGCCACAGGAGCAGTGATGAAAAGCCAGGAAATCAAGCCCACCCAGGAGCCAGGGCTCCAGGATGGAGTCAGTTCAGATGGATTCCAGAAGAAAACGAGTTGACAGTTATGTTGCACTCCTGTGCTCCACACATTTGGAGCCAGAGCCTTTTCTACCGAGAGGACAGAATGAAATCCAACTGCCTACCAGAATCTCCCCTACCCAGCCCTATCTGAGCTCCCCCTCTCTGCGTCTCTGTTCCCAACACAGTCCCCACGCTCACTGTCCCTACACTCAGCACCTTCTCTCCTTGGCCTCATCCCAGCCTTGTTTTTTCCCAGGAGAGCTTTTGCATTGCCCCATTTCAGCGTCTGGCTTTGGGAGCAAACAGAAACTGGTTCAAATCCTGATGTCTTGTTCCAACTGGTGAGGTTCCTTAGCCTCAGGGCCTCACTTGCCATCCTTACAGGGTTGGGCAGCCCAGCTCTCACTCTATGTGATAAAAGGAAATAATACACAGAAATGCTGAAAAGCACGGCTCCTCCCCTCAGTGTCCGTGTGCTTGGGGCAAACCCCTCAACCTCACTGAGCCTCAGCTCTGTCACCTGAAAAACAAGGATAATAACAGTAAATGAGGAAATGGATTTAAAAGTGTTAGAACTCAGCCTGGCACACAGCTAATGCTCCATAAATACTGTTGTTATTGTTACACATGTGTTATAAACAATCCATTCCCCCAAAAAAGATTTTTTCTCCTTTTTTTGGGTTTGCTTCCTGTGCAGTTATTTTAGTTTCTCCCAACAATTTCTGAGCACCTATTGTATTACAGCTCTGAGCTGTATCTGGGATAAGGAGGAGCAGGGTCTTTGCCTTTAATATCTTAGTCTTGAGGGGGGAAGTTCATATGTAATTAACCATCATACGATGTGGGAAGTATCTGTCAGCTATGGCGTTAACAATGCTGCATAACAAGCCACCCCCAAACTCAGTTGCTTGTGACAATAAGCACCAGTTCTCACATTCCACAGTTGTGTGGGCTGGTCGTGGCTTCGCTGATCTACACCAGGCGTGGTGTGGCTGGGCTCCAGGCTGCAGCGTGGGTCCCAGTCGGTTCCACATGTTTCTTATTGTCCTTGGCCCAGCAGCTGCTGCTGGCATGCTCTTCTCATCGGCAGATCACCAGACCTCAAGAGGGTGACCCCAGCCACTCAAGCACATGTCAGGACTCCATTCAGGGCTCACCCACTGATATTCCAGTGCTAAGAAATTCACATGGGTAAGTCTGAATTTCATGTTTAAGGATCTACACCCACTGTATCCACTTCGATCTAGGCAGGGGTGTGGAGGGAGGAAGTGGGGGGTGCAAAGAATTAGGACCCATCTTACACAGGAATTTGGACTTTAATTCTGGATACAATGGAGGTGTGAAAGCAGAAGGACAATGGTCCAAACTTGGGCTTAGGAAGATCTTACTGGTGACAATGTGAAAGAGGGATTCGAGGAGGGAGGGGCTGGAAGCACAAAGACCTCTTAGAATAGACCCTCTGGGGGTGTCCTTGTGAGTGACAGAGGGATGAGAAGCAGGAGATAGACTTGAGAACCACCCCACACTCCTTAATGCTGTGAGCTGGTCCCAAGTGCTTTCCAATAAATGAAAATAGCTCCCCTAGGTCACTTAATAACTTCAGCAAGATAGGGCGGGAGGGCGAAATGATTTTTCTAAGACTCCATTAGGAAAGATCAGATGACCACCAGGAAGAGCTTTTTCTTTCATTTCTCACCTGTGTGGGTTCCCCGAGCGCCTAAGGCTGGCCGCACTGCAAATGCAAATTATTAGTTGCCATTTGAGAAGCCTTAATTATCTGGATCCATTGGAAACCTTGTCAGTTACTTGAAACCAAGAGGTCAATAGTTCTAATCAATGCCGGGCCATTAAGGCACCCAAGCGCTCAACAGAAACAGCCGCGGCCCCACACACAGAACTCAGGATGCCCGAGGAACCTTTGCTTTCTGAAAAGAGAACAGAAAACTCTTTAGATTGGACTGTGTGATCGCTGACGAGGTGGGCATATGTAACCACAGCTGCCAGGAGTGTACAGAATTAGATTAAGATCTTTCATTTTAGGTGGTCAGAAAGGTTTTGCCTTTTATCCCCCTCAGGAAATGGGTTGTTAATCTTTAAAGTGAATCAAACCTGAGGGGTCCTCTCATGTCTCCCCTACAGACCCATCTCGTTCCAGAGAACCTTGACTGGACAAAGGAGAGATGAACTCTTCCCTTTTTTTTTTTTTTTTTTTTTTTTTTTTTGAGACAGAGTCTCGCTGTCACCCAGGCTGGAGTGCAGTGGCGCGATCTCGGCTCACTGCAAGCTCCGCCTCCTGGGTTCACGCCATTCTCTTGCCTCAGCCTCCCGATTAGCTGGGACTACAGGCGCCCGCCACCTCGCCTGGCTAATTTTTTGTATTTTTAGTAGAGACGGGGTTTCACCGTGTTAGCCAGGCTGGTCTCGATCTCCTGACCTCGTGATCTGCCCGCCTCGGCCTCCCAAAGTGCTGGGATTACAGGCGTGAGCCACCGCACCCGGCCTCTTCTCTTGCGGCTGTCATTGCTTTGCTGGGAGACCCCTCAACTCCTCTGGGGCTGGGAGATGTAGCACCTTAACCTCCCTCCTTGGATGTCCTAACATGATCAGACGTAGCACTGCCAGCCTGTCCCTCCATGGGTCTCCTGTGTCACACTAAGTGGCACCTTACTGTGGCTCCAGCCAAACACTGGAGAGTCATTGATTCTTGTCTTTCCCTCAATATCCCACACACACACCCACTCACCAGCAGGTCCTATTGGCTCCGCCTCCAAAATGTATTCTGAGTGCAGACCCTGCCCTCCAGGGCCTTTGCCCCCACCCTGGTCTAGACCCCTAGTGTCCCTTTTCTTGCCTCAGTGACAGTGATGACCTTTTAATTGGCCTCCCTGCTTTGCCCTTACCCCCAACAGAGCATTCTGCATAAAGCAGCGAAAGTGATCATTGCCAAGTGTAAATCGAAGGAGTTGTTATGGGTGGAATCATGTGCCCTATAACGGTATGATGAAGTCCTAACCCCTGGTACCTGTGAATGTGGCCTTATTTGGAAACTGGGGTTATGCAGATGTGACTGGTTAAGATGAGGGTGGGCCGTAGACCCAAGACGACTGGTGTTCTTATAAGACTCAGAGACACAGACATGCCGAGTCATGCAAGGAGAAGGCTATGTGAAGACAGAGGCAGAGACTGGAGTGAGGGGTCCCCAGGGGCTGTTGGCAACCAGCAGAAGCTGGAAGAGGCGAGGATGGATCCTCCCTGGAGCCTCCAGAAGTAGTATGGCTCTGCAGACACCTTGATTTCAGACTTCTGGCTTCCATCCTCTGTGGGAATGAATTTCTGTTGTTTTAAGCTATCTAGTTTGTGGTGATTTGTTACAGCAGCCCTGGAAACTGATACGGATGGGAAAAACAGCAGCTCTCCAGTGAGGAATCCTGGCAGTCACCACCCTATTGAAGGCAACAAGGTTCATGCCACCAGGGATAGATCTTCTTGCAACCACTTACTCTCTGATAAGATACAATGTGATAAGAAGGGCACTCCATCTTCTTCCCCAAAACCCACAGCCTCAGTCTAATCACAAGAAAACTGTAGATAAATCCAAACTGAGGAACATTCTGCAAGATGCTGACTGCTGCTCTTCAAAAGCATCAGGTCATGAAAAACAAGGACAGACCCAGAAGTTGTCACAGATCGGAGGAGCCTCAGGAGCCGGGATGACTAAATGCAGCGTAGGATCCTGGATAGGATTCTGGGACAGAAAAGGGACATCAGTGAACAAGCCACTGAAATCTGAATAAAGTCTGTAGCTTAGTTAAGAGGGTTACATCAGTGTTAATTTTTAGCATTGATAAATGGGCCATGGTTATGTAAGATGTTAACATGAGAGGAAGCTGGTGAAGGGTAGACAGGAACTCTCT
The DNA here is from genome assembly GCF_000001405.40 of Homo sapiens. NCBI lineage: Eukaryota > Metazoa > Chordata > Mammalia > Primates > Hominidae > Homo > Homo sapiens. Next base: position 135,721,497 of record NC_000008.11, on the reverse strand, counting down.
GTGCTGTCTTTGCAACTTTTCTGTAAATCTAAAATTATTTTCAAATAATTAAAAAAATCCAAACCTTCTTTTTGCACTTAGTATAAAATTCAGATTCTTAACCAAAGCCTGCCGAGGCCCCGTGGTCTCCCGTGCCTCCTTTTTTGTCCCGCGTGGCTCCATTCACCCACCCTCAATTCCCCAAACATCCAGGCCAGTTCCTGCATGAGGACCATTGTCCTGGCTGTTCTTCCTCACCAGAAAGTTCTTCTCACTGAGTTTTAAAGAACTGGTGCCCAGTCCCTTTCTGTCACTCAATCTAAATGTCTCTTACCTTCCTTCCTCCATCACTCGGTCATTCTCTGCCCCATCGGCCTATTTTAATTGTCCAAATCACACTATTTTCTGGTTTTGTCCATGTTTGCCAATTTATCAACTGTTTATCTCTTTCCCTAGAAAGCCAACTCAGTAATATTAAAGATATTATCTATCTAGTCCATAAAGTTCCAGCTCATAGCAGGAGAGCCACAAATGATTATCCAGTGAGGAGCAAAAGGAATGATGAATTGGAGAATCTCTCTGAGACTGCTTTTTCAACAGTAAAGAATGCAACAAATATGCTTTTCTCCAGGACTTGTTTTATGATGGACTAGTCCCAAATATACCATGTAATATAACCGGGAATATTACTAATATATTATTAATAGAGCATGGTGCCCAGCACACCTGGGGTTTGCTCTTTCTGCCCATCCCAACAGGTGGCAGAGCTGGGGTCTGTGGTCTCACAGCAGAGCAGGAGCAGGGACTAGAGAGTGCCAGAATTTCTCCTGTGGACTTGGAACCAGCCAAGCATACTGTGGAGAGAGAAATGAGGTGCACTCATTGAGAAGTCCTAGGTGCCGGATGGAATGTAAGAGACCCACATGAGAAGCTGGAACTGCCAACAAGCGAGGACACACTGCTCTTGGCAGTGGGTCATGAATAACGTATTTGTTACCCACAACACAGGTGATGGGGTTCCAGCCTCCACGCTTTCATTCCAGGTAGCAGGAGGGAGAATTGAGGAAGGGCAAAAGGCAATTCCCAGGTGAATAAGATCCCTTTGCAGGAGCACTTTGGGAAGTGCATCCAGCAACTTCCCCTCATATCACATCCGGGAACCCAGCCACACAGCCAAGCCCAAGACCAGGGCGGCTGGGAGGTAGACTCTCTTAGCAGGTCATTGCTCCCGCTAACAAAATGGGAGTTGTATTGGTTTGTTGTTAGGGAAGAAGAGAATAGACATGGGTGGGTGACCAGCGGACTCTGTCCTAGGTGGCTTCTACCCAAGTGGCTCTTGTCAGGGACTATCATGACTCTGGTAGGCTTGGCCCAAGATGACTGGTATCCCAGAAGGAAAGAAGTGCACCAGGCAGGGGCAGGGCAGTGGTGGTCTCTGCAAGAGGGCTGTCCTTGCAGGTGAAAGATGACCAGCACATAAGTCCGGTGCCAAAGACGGGCTGTGTATCTGGGCTGATCAGAGTCAAATAAATTTTAAAAAACCAAAAGCTTTCTCTTGCAGTTAGAATAAATCCAAATTCTTAACCAATCCCCTGTGGCCTCCCCTGACTCCTCTGACACAGGAGGGTCTGAGCTGCAGGCTGAGGAACAACAGGACCATGTGGCAGCTGCATGAAGCTGGCTGGCCCAGCTTATCTGGGTAGGAAAACAGTGGTCAGGCCCAGTAGAGAGGGGTGTAGCAGGCTTAGGTTCCAAACAGAGGAGCTGGGTTCAAGGCCAAGGCTCCAGCCCCACACCTGGAGGACCTGAATCTCATCTGGAACTGGAAAGGACTCTAGTCTTCTGCCCAGCACAGGGTACCAGGGTACAGAGAGCAGCATGGCTGCACAGTCCATTATTTTTTTAATAGAGTTCTTTCAGTTTTGAAATAAGCAACCATAAGCACTGACAGGTGAGGTACATGCCACTAGACACTAAATTTTTAAGGAAATCCAAGCATCAGATACCCGAACCCTCATGATGACCGATGGTGGTTGAGTTCCACGGGCTGCCTCTCCTTCCATCCCTGCTGCTCTGCCTCTTCATGACCCTAGACCACTCTGACTGCCTCCAAACTGGAGTCTCGGCCTCCCTCCCCCTCAGCCTCCATGCCATCCTCCACTAACTGATGGAAATGATGGCTCTAAAGCCAGCAGCACTGGCCTCACCCCGGAGCTTGTGGGAAATATATACCCTCAGGTGCCACTCAGACCTAGGAAGTCTCCATGTGCATTTTCACGCTACCCCCAGGTGATTCCTCTGCACAACAGAGTTTGGAGAGTATGGTTCTAACTCACACCCCAACCAGGCCACGTCTTCCAGCATAGAGGCAGAGGGCCCAGACATCTGTGCATGATCCGGTAAGACATGGTGTGTCCTCCCAGCCTACCCACCCACCTCACCAATCTCATCTCCCTCCACTTGCCCAGAACCTTCATTTCAAACATAAGGAGCTTCTTACCACCCCACTAGATGCTGCCACATGTCTCCACATCTGGACCTTGCAGTCATCCAGCTATCGCAAATTCATTCCTTCCACAAAGATGCTCAGGGCTCAATGCAGGGGACTGAGGGGGCTGGCCTTCATGGAGCCTGGAATCTGTACAGGGAAGATGCTTACGAAGGAAGCCTGGTGCTAAACATTCATTGATTAAAGACACATGTGTAAGTGCCATGACAACTTTCTGGCTGAGAGGAGCACACAACAGGAGCCTAACCTAGAACTCTCCTGATAAGGTTTGGCTGTGTCCACATCCAAATCTCATCTTGGATTGTAGCTCCCCAAATCCCCACATGTTGTGGGAGGGACCTGTTGGGAGGTAATTGAGTCATGGGGACAGGTTTTTCCCATGCCGTTCTTGTGATAGTGAATAAGTCTCATGAGATCTGATGGTTTTATAAAGGGCCGTTCTGTACACGCTTTCTTGCCTGCCACCATGTAAGACATGACTTTGCTCCTTATTTGCCTTCTGCCATGATTGTGAGGTTTCCTCAGCCATGTGGAATTGTGAGACCATTAAACCTCTTTTTCTTTTAAATTACCCAGTCTTGGGTATGTCTTTATTAGCAGCATGAGAACAAACAAATACAACTCCTCCGCTGAGGGACAACAGAAGAACCCCAGGAAGAGTCACAATGCAGCCAGGCCAGGCAGAGGAAGGGGTGCATGAGGCCAGGAAGGAAGAAGCCCGGCATTCCCAGAATGTGGGATGCAAAGAGGAAAGTGGCCCCAGAAGACTCTCTGGATGGAGCATTTGGAGAGGCTTCTGGGACCACTCTCAGAGGCCACAGTGAGGAACCCAGCCTGATGGAGAGGAGCGTATGTGCTTTGCTAAGGCCCCATCTCAGTTTTCCCATTTTTGAAATGACCAAGCTGGACTTGCTAAAATGCCTCTCCCCAGAAAATGTCATGATGCTACATTATTCATGGAGGATGCTCAAAGTGCCTTTCTTGGGAGGTACCCCTGAGTTTTCCTACAGTGACTACAAAATAGCAGCCATTGCTGCCTATCACTTGGGTGAAAATATGGCCATATGTACAAAATTGATTCACTACCAGAGAAAGGGGCATTAATCCAGCTGCAAATTCTCTTTGCTGGGACATGAGGCAGTAAATTTCAGCTAGCCAGCAGCAGCTCCGATTCAGTGTGAAATATGGTGCTTATGTTTTGTGTGTGTGTCTTTTAATAAAGGGAACACTTTTTCAGATTCTTAATTGACAATCACATTTTCCCATCTAAAAACCATAGCAGATGATGAGATCATAAAAACAAGAAGCAAAGAAATGCCTTTTTTCTGCCCTTATTGACACTTCAAAACATGGAGTTAATTGAGTGAGCCTTTTTGTCTGCAGTCAGGACATTCCTGTTTTTGAGTATCAAAAGAAAATTAACTCAGCCAGAATAATTCATTGAACATCTATTAAATGCAAGGTGGTTTTCTCAGAACGGGGAATAACAATAGCAGTCTTATTGTTGTTATTATTGCCACTATCCTTTATTGAATGCCTACTCTGTACTGAGCACTTTTTACAACTCTCTAAGTTTTGAAACAGCTCTGAAAGACAAGCTCTCATTATTCCCATCTTCCTGATGATGAGCAGTGTGTTCAGAGAAGTGACTTGTCCTTGCTTGCACAACTAGATGGAGAATGAGCAGATTTGAACCCAGGTCTTATATTGCACCCCAGCAGTCCTCTACTTCTGTGATTTCCAGGAAAGACATGAAAAGGCTTCTGCCTCAAATCCCCTTGGGATGGTTAAGTGTATGTGTCAACTCGACTGGGCTGAAGGATGCTTTGATACATCCTCGGATAGCTGGTAAAACATTATTTCTGGGTATATCTGTGAGGATGTTTCTGGAAGAGATTAGCATTTGAATCAGTAGACTGAGTACAGACAATCTGCCTCACCAATGTAGAAGAGCATCAACCAATCAACTGAGGGCCTAAATAGAACTATTACAGTACAGGTGGCAAAAGCAGTTTAGGTGACCTCACACATTTAGGTGAGCCCCACACATTTGATCCATTGTCTCTCTCTCTGGAACTTAGAGATACTAATCACCTTTTTGATTCTAGACTTTGGGAACAGAAAGAGTTCCATTTTAACATTTTGTTAACTATTGATTAATTTAACACATATTTATGTACAAGACATTGAGCTGAGTGCTGCAGACACACAGTGAACAAGGGACTCAGTCCTGCCCTTGAGAAGCTCATGATTTAGCAAGGAAGACAGATACTAAACTGTAATTACCAGCGAAGTGGGTGTTTCAAAGGAATCCTGTGAAGATGCTGGGCATATCACCTCATCTAGGGTTGGGGTACAGTTTGAAACATGCAACACCATTTCCTCCTTCATCTGTCCCACAGCCAGGGTGTCCAGAAGCTAATGGTTGCCCTTGTATGGGTGGGAAAAGCATCCAGCCCACTCAGGGACCTAGTTAGAAGTTGGCTGAGAGGAGAAGCTGAATGTGACCCTCAGCCCCAGGGCTCCTGTCTTTGTTAGCTCAGGCTGTCATAACCAATCGCCATAGACTGGGTGAATTGAACAACAGAAGTTATTTCTCATATTTGAGGAAGCTGTGAAGTTTGAGAGAAGTGTGCCAGCATGGCCAGGTTCTGGTGAGGACTCTCCTCCTAGTTTGCAGAAGGCTGTCTTCTTGCTTTATCCTCACATGATGGAGAGCAGGGAGAAAAAGCAAGCTCTGTCCCATCTCTTTTTATAAGGGCACTAATCCCATCATGGGGGCTCTGCCCTCATGACCTAAATTACCTCCCAAAGACCCATCTCCAAATACTATCACAGGGGGATTAGGGTTTCAGCATATAAATTTGGGGGATATATTCAGTCCATAACAACCTCAAATTTGGGTACCCTGAGACCATCCTGCTTGGTCTTCAGTCTCAGCAGCTCACCCCCCCGACAGTTTCCCAGCCCCAGGGCAGCTGTTAGAGATATGATCCAAGGTGCTCTTACCTAGCTACACAGCCTGTTCCCTGCCTCACCCTTGGCCGTGCAGAAACAGGAGAGTAGCTGAGCAGGGATAGGGCCTCTGGTGTGGGCTTCCATTAGCCCAGGAAATGGGATGCACACTTGGTGCAGCCCCACCAGCCACAGCCGCTTCTCTCTCTCTGAAACTTATCCAGCAGAGCCCTTCCACTCCCTCACCAAGAAGAATGCACGCCTTGCTCTGCCAACCCTTGGGTATAAAACCAAAATAGTGACAGTTCCCGGCACAGGTGGGTGCCAGGCTTGGAAATGTGCCTCAGGAGAGCTTTGGTATGAGGGAAGATGTATAGATGTGGGGTGAGGGGTGCTGGAAGCAGGCTCCAGGACAAAGCCAGCAGAGAGGGAAATTGATAATAACCACCGTCTATCAAAAGGCTTTTCTGCACAGCAAGAATGGTGCTAACTGCATAAAGATGATGTTAAGTTTAATCTTCAAAACAGTCTAGTGTGTCTGCACATCTCCCAGGCGCTTGAGTCACATCACTGAAAATAACTACCCAACAGAGCCAACATCCTAGAGGAAGGAGGCAGACAATGAGTGACCAGCACGATAAATTTGTGCATCTGGAGCACATTAGGTCACAGATGCTATGGGAAAAAGTGTCAGGCAGTGTGAGGGGATTGGAGGTGCTGGGCCACAGGAGGCTATATTGATTGGGTGGTCTCATGGAAGGTGAAAGAGAGGATATGTGGGTGAGAGCATTCTGGGCAGAAAGAACAGCTAGTAAGTAAGGAATAGTGTTCCCAATTTACAAATGAGAAAGCTGAGACTCAAAGAAACCAAGTAATTTTCCCGATTACACAAGCTTATAAATGGCAGAGTTGCTTGTTAAAAAGTGGTGTGCTCTGCCCTCTCCCAAAACACTGCATCAAAATTTCTGGGACCCAGAATTGTTCTTATAACTCTAAAATTTGGGATCCATTATTCCATAGAGAGACTCTCATTCTAGGCCTTGTGATTTAGTAGCTGTTTCTGGGGAAGTCACTTAACAGCTTAATTTCCACTGTAATTTGGACGTTTGTCCCCCAAAACCTCATGTTAAAATTTGAACCTGTTGGAGGTGGGGGGCCTAATGTTTGAGACATGGATGTAGATCCTTCATGAATAGACTAATGCCCTTCTGGAGGGGAGGGGAGTGAGTTCTCACTCTATTAGTCCCCATCAGAGCTAGTTGTTAAAGAGCCTGTCACCTCTGCTCACCTCTTGCTTCCTCTTTTGCTGTGTGGTCTTTGCACACACTGGCTCCCCTTCACCTTCCACCATGAGTGGAAGCAGCCTGAGGCCTTCATGGGATACTGAGCAGATGCGAGCACCATACTCCTTATACAGTCTGCAGAACCTTAGGTATTGGCCCCAGGTATTCCTTTATAGCAACGCAGATGGACTAAGACAGTTCCCTCTTCTATAAAGGGAAGAGTGCATGCTCTAAGTGAATGATATTGTAGCCCTAAGCAACCTAGATGACAAGGCAAAAATGGAAAACAACCAAGTAAATAATGACCAAAAAAGAAAACACATCAGGTTATCAGAGGTGAGAAAATGTTCACAGTACATAGTCCTATATTGGTTTATATGCATGCTCAGCAACCATTAGTTCCCATCCTGGAGCTGTTTTTAGGGGTCCAGTGGTCACCCCCACCCAAGACCAGCCATAACAGCATGTGGGTTCTAAAAATGGATCCAGTCACTAGATCCCGCCTTCAGTACAACTAACCACATTCCCCAGCTGCTTCTAGAATTTAAA